>NC_000009.12:133869274-134183092 GCF_000001405.40 Homo sapiens
ACCACACCCAGTCCCATCTCTTAAACAACGACAACAACAAAGTCTTTAAGGCCAGGTGCAGTGGCTCACACATGCAATCTCAGCACTCTGGGAGGCTGAGACGGGAGGATTGCTGGAAGCCAGGAGTCTGAGGCCAGCCTGAGCAATACAACAAAACTCTATCTCTACAAAAAATAAAAAAAAAAAATAACCAGATGTGGTGGCATGCACCTGTGGTCCTGGCTACTCGGGAGGCTGAGGTGGGAGGATCACTTAAGCCCAGGAGGTCGAAGCTGCAGTGAGCTAGAATCATGCCACTGCACTCCAGCCTGGGCGACACAGTGAAACCCTATCTCAAAAATAAGTAAAAATTAAAAAGAAATTGGAGCCCTGAGCCACACTGGCGACCATGTGATGAGCCATCCGCCGACCCAGCCTGCTCTCAGAGGCTCTGCCGATCAGAAGAGCTTTCTGGCCCCGACCCTCCGACTGTCATTAGCAATCAGTAAGCAGGAACTGCACAGACCTGGCCCCAGCCGCAGACCTTCCTTATCAGCCATTACCACACATCTGGAAACACACACGCACACGCAGCCCAACGGAGCCAAATGGCAAGATTATCAAACTCATTTGAATATGTTGCCCCGGAAACTCACCT
Source organism: Homo sapiens (assembly GCF_000001405.40). Classification (NCBI taxonomy): domain Eukaryota; kingdom Metazoa; phylum Chordata; class Mammalia; order Primates; family Hominidae; genus Homo; species Homo sapiens. Next base: position 133,869,912 of record NC_000009.12, read on the forward strand.
ATCTGCCTTGGAAATCTACAGCTACTATTGCTGCATATTCAGAAGCAAATCATTATAAATTACTTTCTCTAACTCAGCCTGTGTTATCCTTCATTTTTTTTTCTTTTTTCTTGTGGAAAGCACGGACAGAAAAATTTGGGGTACTTGCCTTCAGAATGACAAGCGACCATCGAGTAGTGATAATTACAAAACATGTGCAATCACAGCTTCACATTCAGGTTTTGCCACCAGGAGGAGGCTGGAAAAACAAAAGCGAGCAGGAAAGGCACTTCTCAGCCAGTGCATTGGGCAATGGCAGGGCTGTGGGGCCCAACATCAATATCAGAAGTTTCTTCTAGGGGGCCGGCAGAGTGCAGGAAGAGAGGTGGGAGCCGCCCCCAGGCCCCAAGACAGCTGAGCGGCAAAATGAAAAATGCCACTCACTCGAGCCAGGCAACTAGCAGCGACTCTGAAGGGGAATGCATGAAAGGAGGGTCTGGTTGTCCTTACAAAGAAGATCAGGGCTCGAAAGTCATTTAGAAGGAAAGAAAAAGGTGAGAGCAACTTCTCTGTAAATGAACAGCTCAGAATTGGCCCACTCTTCCTGGAGCTTTCAACAGGATGTAAAAATGATACCCAAATATATACTTCCTCATCTCAGTGGGTCTGGATCAACACCTTCAAATGCAGGAGTCTGAGAGACCACCTGAGCCTTGGGGACCAGCAGCCCGAATCTTTGTGTCTTACACTCTGTGGGTGCTCCTTGTCTATGACATAGATGGATAAGTCGGTGGGTGGGTGGATGGATAAGTGGGTGGGTGGGTGAACAGACGGATGGATCAGCAGATGAGTGGACAGGTGGGTGGATGGACAGATGGATGGATAAGTGGGTATGTGGGTGGATAAGTGGGTGGGTGGGTGGATGGATGGATAGATTGATGAGTGGATGGGATGGGCAGATGGATGGATAAGTGGGTAGGTGGGTGGGTGGATGGATATGGGTGAGTGCGTGGGTGGGTGGGTGGATGGATGGATGGATGAGTGGATGGATGGGCAGATGGGTAGACGGGTGGGTGGGTGGGTAGATGGATGGATGGATGGATGGATAAGTGGGTGGGTGGGTGAACAGATGGATGGATGGATGGGCAGACAGGTGGATAGATGAGTGGGTGGGTGAATGGGTGGATAAATGCGTGGGTGGGTGGATGGATGGATGGATAAGTGGGTGGGTGAACAGATGGATGGATGGATGGGCAGATGGATGGGTGGGCAGATGGATGGATAGATGAGTGGGTGGATGAATGGATGGCTGGCTGGATGGATAAGTGGGTACGTAGGTGGGTGGGCAGATGGATGGATGGATGGACAGATGGATAGATAAGTGAGTGGGTGGGTGGATGGATAAGTGGGTGGGTGGATGGATGAATTGGGGGTGGATGGATGAATGGAGGGGCGGATGGACAGATGGTAAATGGGTGGGTGGATGGATGGATGGATGAATAGATGGACGGACGGATGGATGGATGGATGGACAGATGGATGGATTGATTGATGGATGGATGGATGGATGGAGAAGCGGATGGATGGATGGATGGATGGATGGATGGATGGATGGATGGATGGATGGTGGGTAGATGGATGCCGACTCAGAGAGATCCCTTTGCCCCAGTCCCTTCTGATGAAGTAAGGAGAGAAGAGAGAGAAGATGAGCCCCTGACGGCAGCCTCATACCTATCTCCCTGAGTCCCTAATACACCCTTGACAATTTCTGTACAAATGTCCTCCCTAATGGTGGGGGGTCCCAACCACCCACCATGGAGGCACCACTGACCCTATTTTGCCACTGAGAAAACCCAAGTTCAGAGAGGTAACATGACTCGACCAAGGTCTCATTGCTGTGGGAGGCTGAAGCCTGGGTCTGACTCAGAGCCCAGCTCCTAACAGTAAGGTACCTGAGAGCCACCACCTGCCCAGGGGTGGGGGCCAGCCCTGCCCCTTCTGAGCCCCCAGCAGGTGGTTCAGGGACACAGCCTCCAGCTAGACCCTGGCTCCATGGGGTCATCGCTCCACCCTTCCTCTGAGTGTCTGCCCCACTGGGAATGAAATGTTGGGATTCTAGTCTGGAAGGTTCTCCCAGCTGGAATCACATCCAGGACTCTCAGGCACTGGCACAGAGGGCAGACCTGAAAATCCTTGTGAGCTCCTCAAGGGGGTGGCTGAGAAGCCCCCAGAGATGGCATAGCTGTGAACGGGACACTGGCCAGGGCCAGGGATGTGGGGAGACTGATCGTATGTGAACCAGGGCGTCAGTGACCTGGCCGACCCCAAGAGGGAAGAGAAGAAAGGGGCAGGGGCAGGGGCCAGCCCCAAAGAAAACTGCAAGCCCTGGCTTCCTCCCTGCATGCTCGGCTCCCAGCACCCACGTCCTCCATGTTTCCATGGCTGTGCTGGGTGGGTGACTGCGAGTCTAACTTCCCCCTCTTCTCTGCCATGGTGTGGCCAGGCTAGAGGAAAAGGGCTGATGGCGTCCTCACTCCGCGCACCGTCTTTTCCCCACTGCAGTCAGCTACACTGGCCCAGCTGCCCCAACCAGCATGTGGGGGCACAGCCTCTCCTCGGCTTGAAGGGTCGGGGTCCTAGGCCCAGTTCCCGACACCTCCAGAGGAAACCCAAAGCCTGGAGCAGAGGCAGGAAGGCTGGCAGGGAAGCCCCGGGGGTCAGAGTCGCTTTGTGCACCTTGGGACCCGGGGAGAGAAGAGGCTGGAAGGGAGAAGTGGGCCCAGGTGGCCTCCTGGAGCACAGGAGGAGGCGTAAGCTGGTGGAGTATCCGGGGCAGCACGTCCTCTCCAGGCGGCCACTCCAACCATGGGGCTCTGGGAGCTTCTTGACTAAGACAGAGTCTACCGCTCAAGAAGCGGGGCAGATGGGTGGACAGAAAAGCACACAAGGGGGTGGCTCACGCCTGTAATCCTAGCACTCTGGGAGGCAGAGGCAGGCAGATCACTTGAAGCTAGAAGTTCTAGACCAGCCTGGGCAACGTGGTGAAACCCCATCTCTACTAAAAATACAAAAATTAGCCAGGTGTGGTGGTGTGCACCTGTAATCTCAGCTACTTGGGAGGCTGGGGCAGAAGAATTGCTTGAACCCAGGAGGCGGAGGTTGCAGTGAGCCAAGCTTGAGCCACTGCACTCCAGCCTGGGCGACAGAGGGAGGGGGCGGGGGGGTGGGGGAGGGAGGAAGGAAGACAGGAAAACACACAACAGCAACTGGGCTCACATGTTAGCTGAGTGCCTGCTCTGTGCTGGGCATGTGAGGGAAGCTGCAATTTAATCTGAGATCCTGAGCAAAACAGTACAGAGGCTCAGACCAGGACATTACGCCAGAGCTGGGATCAAGTCCTAAGCCTGCCACGGACGATCTCAGCCACTCCTCTCTGGGCCTCGGTTTCCCTGTGTGTGGAATAAGGAAACCGCAAGACATACAGATGGCAAAGGGCGTCCTGCCACACTCCCAGTCCCACTGTGCTCACGGTGGAGTCACTAGCTGGTCACCATGCCCCTGCTGAAGACACTGGCCTCTGCAGCTGTCTCTGCACAGTGCTCCGGGCAGACGCTGCCTGTGAAAGCAATCAGCACCCAAGACAGGAGCGGCACTGCCCTGGGAAACGCCTGGACCAATAGCCTCAGGTCCCCTGAACACTGACTGCCCACTGTTCCTAATGCCAGCACGGAAGCCCTGTGTCCCAGGGCTGGGCAAGCTGCATGAGGCAGCTGCATCAGGCGGCAGCTGCTCCCCACCAGGAAACTCTACAGGAATCAGTCGGGGGTCAGGGGCTGTTGGGGGGAATTTCCCGTCCTTCATGGAAGCAGCTTAGCAGCCATCTGGTCCAAATTCTCCAATTTTGAGATGGGAAACCTAAAACCCAGCTGGGAAGATGCAAGAGCTTCACAAGCCCACCCAGCAACTTCCAGGCAGGGCCCAGCCTAGAACGAGGGGTTCCTGTTTGGAGCCTGAGGCTCGTCTCTCCCAGACACGGCGTCCTCCAGGACAGCTAACCACCGTCTAGGCCTCCTGCCTGCCAGATCTTTCCCAGGTTTATTTCATTTTATTCCCTCAAAACCCCCCACGAGATGGTTCTGTGGCTCTCCCCTTTCTGAGGAGGAGTCACCGGGGCTGGGGCAGACAGCTGGTGCCTCTGGCAGCAGAGCCCGGCTCTCCACGCCGCCCTGCCCTGGAGGGCCGGCTATCCATCCTGGATTTGAAGCTGAGGGACAAACCACAGCCTCCAGGCATGAAAGCAAGGTTTCTGAGTGGGGGCCTGCAGCCTGCAAGGCCAGTAAACCTGTCCCAGCAAGACTGGCTGGGCAGGCTGGGCCACTCACTGTCTGCGAATGCTGCTCTCTCATTCCCAGAGACACTCCCCAGCCCCTCCTGGGCATCACTCAGCGCTGCTGTGGCTGCAGGAGCCAGGCACAGATGGCGCCTCCCTCCCCTGTCCACCAGGAAAAAGCGGGGATAAAGGTGGGTTCCAGTGTGGGAGGCATCCCAGACCCAGGCTGCAGACGAGCCGCATCAGTCCCTCTTTAATCAGAGGCAAGGCCGGAGACCATGACACAGATCTGCTGCCTAGCGCGTGAGTCACTGCCTCCAAGGTACAAGAATCCCACAGGAAGCTCAAGGTACCCGCCCAGACCTTGAGGCCAAGGTGGGGTTATGGGAACAGCACCTCAAGGGCAGGAGGGAGGGGTTCTGGCCTCCCCCACACCACCCCACTCTCTACACAGATGTCTTGCCCCCTCCAAGAACCTCCTGCGCTGCTTCTTCCTTGGACCCTTCCCTCTTCCCAGAGGTGGAGACAGTGAACCAAGGGGCTGGAACACAGGCGTCTACACAGGCAGATTCCCATGTGGGACCCTAGGATCCATCTCCCTCCCCAGCCCACAACTGCAGACTGTCCAGGCAGGAAGTGGGGCGTGGAGGCCTCATGGAGCCAGGCGCTGTGCATGGTCCGAGCTGCAAGAGGCCTTGGGGGAAACATGCGTCCAGAACCCTCACCTTACACACAGAGAAGACGGGTCTAGAAATGGGTGCGTCTCATCCAAGGCCCCATAGCCAGTCGGGGCAGAGCAGCCCCAGAAAGAACAAGGGTGGGAATGAGGACGGTCACCATAAAAACAGAATCACAGGCTCTCCCGCTGCAGACCCCAGACTGAGCGCTTCACGGGATCACCTGCGTTTCTTTCACTGCCCCCAAGCTCTGAACTCTCACCACGCTCAGGTCACGTGTGTGCAAGCCGGGGCTCAGGAGGTCACTCAGGGTGGGCTGGGAACCCGGGTTCACAGGGCCAGAGCCGAGTGCCGAACCCTCCGTGCCAAGGCCAGACCCAGTCCCCAGCCACTGCCTGGCCTGGCTTCACAGAGCCAACTGCCCCCACCACACAGCCCAGCGCCACAGCCCCGGGGAGCTATCCACAGCTGATGGGAACAGGCCACCCTTCTGCCGGCTAAGGAGCTCATCAGGCAGAGGGCAGGCCCTGAGCAGGCAGAGGGGGCCCCACAGACAAAAGGCAGGCTCTGGGCAACCCAGAATTGTAGTCAGAGAGTCTGAGCAGCTCGAAGTGAGGGCTGCCTGGAGGAGGCGCAGGCCTATGATAAAGTAGCAAAGAAACAGGCGATCCCCTTGGAGGCACAGACTGCCCGGCACTGCAGCGCACGGCAGGACTGACCCTGCCAGTCCCTTCAAAAGCTCAGCTACCAACTGCCCTGCGCCAGGACCTGCTGAGAAACACCGCAGGAACACACGCGAGGCCCCCGCTCCAGTCCCCTCTAGCACAAGAGGCTATAGAATGAATTGACGTTTGTGATGGCTAATGTGGCTAATGCTACGGCACCATCCTGCCTGGGCTAAGGGGTACCCAGAGGGCAGGTAGGACATTACCTCCGGAGTGGCTGGGCAGCATTTCCAGAGGAGACCAGCATCTGAGTCGGCAGCCGAGTATAGCAGACGCCTCCCGTGCCCTCGGGCCTCACCCAACTGCGGGGGCCCAAACAGGTCATGATGGCAGACGAAGGCCTTATTCACTCACTGCCCAGCGGGCACAGCCATCATCTCCTGCCCTCGGACATCGACGCTCGTCGTTCTCAGGCCTTTGGGCTCAGACTGGGACTCACGCCATCAGGCCCCTTGGGTCTTGGGCCTTCGGATCAGGACTGGAGCTGCACTACCAGCCTTCCTGACCTCCAGCTTCACAGCAGCTGGTTTCAGGACTTCTCAGCCCCCAGGATCGTGTGAGCCAGTCCCTGGTATTAAATCTTCCTATCTATCCATATGCTATCAGCGCTGCTGTTCTGGAGAACCCTGACTAATACAATATTGGAAAGGAGCATGCATCTCCCCTGGGATGGCCCCATTCAGGCACGCCCTGCTCCCACGCCCAGCACCACTGACCGCTGCCAGCAGAGGCGCTGTGGAGACAAGAGTGGTAGGGGGCAAGGGACGGGGTGGGTGTGGAGCAAAGACTATTCCCCTAAGGAAGGCAGGCCCCCTGGGACTGAGGGAGAGCAGCCAGTCAGCCAAGGCCAGGAGAACGTGCAGGGGCAGAGCCCACGCACAGGCCCGGAGAGCGGCCATGGCCACACAGGGGACCAAAGAGCGGAGGCCTGTCGGACACAGGGCCAAGGAGCTGGCCTCGCCTGGGGCAGTGGGAGTGCAGGGTCAGGCTGGTGTTTGAGAGATGCTTCAGGCTGCAAAGAGGATACTGGGTGGAGGGAAGGCAGGACCGCGGGAGGGGGGCGGCCCCAAGGAGTCTTCTAACCAGGCCAGGTGCACGATGGCAGGAAGGCCTGGGCAGGAGGCCACAGGGATGGACACAGCCAGAGAGGACACAGCCAGAACTGTTTAAAAGGCTGATCAAGGCTGCCTGGGTGCAGGGGTGAGGCAGGGAAGAGAGAAACCATCTCTGTCCTTTCTGCCAGGAGACACAGAAAGGGCTGGCCTGAAGAACGGGGACAATGGGGGAGGCTGGCCACCGGGGTCTGGACGCACAGTGGCCAGCTACAGAGGGGAAGGCAGGGGATGCCAGGGCTGGCGTCTGGGCAAGGCTGAGCTTAAACCCTTGGTGTGGCCTTCAGCAAGTCGCTGCCTGCCCCGAGTCTCCCTCCCCACCCACCTGGGGAAAGGGGAGGCTGAGAGGCACGTGGTTATCTGAGCCACCACCACCCCATTTCTGTTTCCCACAGAACCCCCGCCCGGCCTGCTAGACCCCCTTCTGCCACCTTCCTCTGGCCTCGGGATGCCCTGGCTGTACGAGGAGAGGCTCCCTCCGCCCTCAAACAGTTGCCAGCGCCTTTCTTCCCCAGCAGGTAACTGGCACACTCCACACTCTGCACAACGATGCCAAGATGCAGCCCACAAAGCTGGGACCCACACCCCAGACACACAGCAATCCACTGGCCAGGCGGACAAGCCCAAAATCAGCCACTGCCCACAAGCAGGGTGGGACCATCACACTGCCAGGAACCTTCTTGGAAGAGCCAGTGCTTGTGTTCTGGGTGACACGTTCGGCTCTGGGCTCAAAAGTTACCCCACTGCCTCCATGAATCCTCAACCACCCAATGAGGTCAATGTTACTATGCCCCTTGTCAAATGATGAAACTGAGGGTCAGAGTGGTCACCTGCACACATCAGCTAGATGGTCTGATGCAAGCTCTTAAAGGGAAAGCACCCAGAAGGAAAGGCCTCAGCCTCCCGACTGAGCCTCACCCCAGAACCCCCCTCTCATGGCCTGGTCATCCACTGCACGTTCCCAGTCTGCTAATGGGGACAGGTGACAGTAGCCATCACCTGGAGGGGCTGATGGGTTTCCAGTGGCTTCACTGGCCTCCCTAATTAATGGCCATTTTAATGGGAAGGGGACTAATAACTGTATCTCTAACACTACGGCAATAACTTTCCAGTGTCTACCCTTATCTCTGAAGCGATGACTTAGTAACTCGGTTATTAAGTGCAAGCGTTAACACAGGACAGGAAGGTGCGTGAATCTCCTCTGCGACGTCAACTCCACACCTGCTCCTGCTCTGAACTCCCGCAGGAGTGCCTGGAAGGGCCTGGGAAAGCACTTGGCCCCCCGACACCCCCCACTATTTCTCCCCTAGGCTGTCTGACGGTGAAGGAGGGTGTGGGGCCCACCCAGGCCCTTAGGCTCAGCAGGCGAAGTCTCTTTGCCAGTCTCAGCGTAGGGCTGAGCTCAGCACTCTCCGCCGGCCTGCGTCTCACAGATGCTCCGGGTGTACCACGGGGCAGGCACCTCTGCTGACATGTGGCAGCCAGGGGAGGCTCAGAGGCCAGGGACAGGTTGCTGGCACCTCTGCGGCCGTAGGAGCCACACAAGGAAGGCCTCACACGAACCACACGCACTACAGAGCCAACTGCGACCCAAGCACGATCGAGGCTGTGTGTTTCTGAAAGGATCTGACCGAACTGAGCACTAAGATTGTTCAGAATCTGGCCAACGCAGCTCCCCATCCATCCCCAGCCAGGTGGCCCATGGTGAGTGAGGCAGAGTCTTGGTTTCCTCAGCTGTGAGATGGGGGCAGCGGCACCCGCAAGAGTAAGGGAGACAACACACTGCCCACGGCTGCCCCGCTGCAGTCACCATCATCGTTGCTGCCCCTCCTGCAGATGCAAGCCCCCACCTCCACCACCGCCAAGTCCTCTGTGCATGTCTGTCACAGGACAGAGCTTAACCTTTGAGAGGCCATCCCTGCTGACCCCACCTGCCGCCCGTCTCAGGAGGAGGATTCCCAGGAAGTCACAACCGCAGGGGGATCCCCCAAGCAGTGGCCACGTCCCCGCCACCCACACCAGGGGGTCCCGATCCAGCCAGTGGGTTTCCAATGGGTGTGCAAAGCTGTGGGCAGTGGGGGCAGGGGCCAGGGACAGCAGCTGAGCACTCGGAGTGGAAGCGCCCTCGGCCCGGGCAGCCTGGCCTCCTTTGCACATATGCCAGGCTCCTCCGCAGGGGCAGAAACCTTTTCCCCAGGGTCGGGTCGCCCCATTCGAGAGATCAACAAATCCAGCCTTTGACTCCATGGAGCAGGAGCATGGTGGGGCAGGGGCAGGGAGGTGTCTCCTCAGGATCCCCCCGTTCCCCAGGCATCATCCGCCCCCATCCCAGGCATCCTGTGACATAGTCTTCCAGAGGGGACCGGGCCGGGCTTGTGCTGCTGAACCTGGCTCTGGACCCCGTCTCAGCTGCAGACTCGCAGCAGTGCCGGAGCTCTCTGCGCCCCAGGCCCTCCTCTGTAACGAGGCCCTCTGGGGGCTCTTGCTTCCTCACTCAGGTGTGCAATACACTTTGAGCAGCTGCTGCGTACCAAGCACTGTGCTAGGGTGACCTCTGGAGCTCCAAGGAACCAGCAGGGTGTGATCAATGCCGCAGGGTAAAGAACAGAGCAGCTGGGAAGCAGGGGAGTCCAGCAGAGTCCCTAATCAAGCAAAGCAAGGGGCAGGAGATGTCCAGGAATCAGAGAAGGCCCTCTGGAGGGGCTGCTGTCACCTTGAGGCCTGCAGGATGGACAAGTGTGTGTCAGAGGCTCACCATAAATGTGGGCAAGCCTCCTATAAGAAGGCATCGATCAGTAGGTGGCCCCGGGGCACTGCCACAGCCTTGAGCACCTGACATTACAGACCCACAGGGCAACCAAGTGCACATCTGAGTCCTCTGCCAAATGCAAATCTAAGCAACAAGCCGCACACACCAGGACGAACAGCACTGCTGGCTCAGATGAACCACCAAGAACCTGCTCTCCCTTCCAAAGCAGAACCTATCCGAGAATCCCTACCGCCTTGCGAGCTGCAAGTCCGATCTGTGCAATGTGAGCCCCTGCAGGAAAAAAGTCTAAAGTGATTTTTCCTCCCCGGTGCTTTGTGTTTATGGAAACAGATGGAAACCGGCCGCAGACGAAGCTCTGGCATCCAGATTTGCTTCCAAGCGGTTTTACCTTGATGACTGCTTAATCCTGGCCCATCAAGGGACTTCCCAAAATGGCCACTTTATGGATTTTTCTTTTCCTGTCTAAGGGTAGGATTCAAAAATGCACTTTTCCCAGAAAAGATTTTCTAAACCATGAGAGTGAGGACACGGATAAGGACAAGGCCATCTGGAAGTAGAGGAGAAAGAAGAGACGCTGCATGGGGAAGACAGGCCAAGGAAGGACCCACCTGGACCCACCTGCGCCGTCTGCAGGAAGAGGGGCTAGGCATCCCTCCACCAGCCCCTTGCCCACTTGGCACTCACGAGCAGCCCTGGACACCAGGGTACAAGGTGTGTCCCCAAGAAGCTCTGTGTGCCCCACCGGAGGAAAGAGCCGGCAGGCAGCACGGGGAGGGAGAGTGGGCAGGAAGCAGCTGAGCTGAGAGGGAGCCTCTGAACCAGGCAGGTGGTGAGGGACCTGTCAGCCAGGCTCAGGGACTCATGAGATGATAAAGGCGGGCAGGGAAGGACAATGGCCTTAGGGGCAGCCATGGGGAACTCCCAGGTCAGAAAAGGCTGGATCTGACCGATGGTTTTATAAAAGATGCCTTTTACACGAAGCACCAGGGACAGCTTCTCCAGTAGGAATCTTGTATATGAAGAAGGGGTGGGTGCGGGGGGCACTGCCAATGCCACCGCCCAGGGGACCAAGAGATGGCCAAGTGAATGTGATGTGCAGTCCCTGATGGGTCTTGGGACAGAGGACATAAAGGGGAAACTGAGGAAGCCAGAGTCACTTCAGTTAGTGACAATGTGTCCACACTGGTTCATTCATTGTAACCAAAGCACCAACTACTGTGAGGTATGGATGGGGGACCCGGGTGTGGAATACAATCTTCTTTTGCACTAGCTTCTCAATTTTGCTAAGTCTAAAACTGCTCTAAAATATCTAGGTAAAGCAGGGGCTGCCCCTTTGGCAGGTCAGGTGGGCAGCAGGTCAGCTTCTGCGGTCGGCCCTCCAGGACACTGGCCGTGGCTCAGGATGGAGGCAGGTGAACTGCAAGGATCCCTGGGCATGAGCCTAGGTGCTGCCTTCGGTGGCTACAGCACAGTCCCCCCACTGTCAGGTGCTCCCGGGGGCAGCAACACCCCCCTCCATACAGGGGCAGGTTCAGCAAGGGGCCAGCAGCCCAGAGCTGGGGGCCATGGCCCACCCACGTCCCAGAGAGGCTGGGCAGGGAGAGAGGCCCTGCTGGCACAGGGCCCGAGGTGGTGGAGCTAGGACTGGCCTTCAGGCTGCTGGGCTTCCCACCATACGACCCGGAGAACTTGTCCCCAGAAAAGCTGCCTTGGAGCCATGGGCTCCAGACACAGAGAGATGCGGCCTTCCCGCAGGCATGATGCTATCTGCAGATAGCGGAGCGCAGACGTGGGACAAGGCCCTCTGGAATGTGTCTGGACTTGCCCCACAAGGTTCCTCCCAGTGAGACGGGGCTTGTGAACAGGACTGAGAAGGAGGAGCGCCCAGCTCTCCTGCATCCCATCAGGGGCCTGGGTGACAGGAGGGGAGGCCCTGCATGAAGGCTGCAAAGGAGTCTCCAAGGCAAGCTCTGACGGATTCCCAGGCAGCTCGAGCCTCCAGCAGAGGCAGCAGGTGGAGACGAGGAACTGACGAGGAACACAGTCCACAGCTGGGAACACAAGGAAGGGGGAAGGTGCAGAGAAAGGCCTGAGATCCATGGTGGGCCTGGCAGCCAGCCACTGGAAACCGCCGAGGTCCCAGACGTCCTTGAGGGTGGCCTACAAGTGGCCGGGAACTTTGAGAGGCCCTCTCATGTGTCTGATACCAAATGTATAATTTAATATTCTATATTTTCAGCCCAGACAGGAATTAATTATTTAATGTCCTATCAAAACCAACTCCATCCTTCATACTACTCCAGGCAGCGTGTGGGGGCGGAAGAGTTCAGTGGCCCCGGCTGGCATCACGGCAACACTGGGGAGGGCGCAGATCAGACACGCAGCAAGTACGTGCTGAGAACCTGCCAGGGCGCCTGGCACAGGATCCCAGCATGACGCCTCCTGCTTGCCAGGTGCCCAGCGAGTGTGCGGGGCTACAAAGGAGGGCGTCAAGGTTTCAACCTAGTCTCCACTGACTCTCCAGAAGGTTCCTCTCCCAAGAGATACAGTGCCGAAAACAAAAGAGGCAAGAGGCAGCCATCCCCAGATAGCTGTGTGGCAGGCCCCAGGCTGTACGGGACACAGTGGACAGACAGGCCCAGCCATGCCCTGCAGAGCTCTCGGAGATTCCAGGGCAGGAAGCAGACTGTCAATAAACAGAAAGCAAGGCAAAGAACATGCTGGGTCCAGACTGAACCCTGCAGTGAAGCAGGTGAAGCACGCAGGCCGCCAAGGGCACAGACCCTGTCCGCTCAGCCTTCACAGCCCCAAAGGGGCGGCCCTGCTGTGCCTGGCCCGAACATGCTGCCGTCACAGCCAGCCGACATCTGTACGGGGCTGGAGAGCATCCCCTACGGTTCATGTCCTTCCTGGAACCTCAGAATGCCACCTTCTTTGGAAATAGGATCACAGCGGATGTCATGAGTGACGATGAGGTCACCCTGGAGTAAGGTGGGCCCTTAATCCACTGTGACCAGGGCCCTCAAAAGAAGAGAAAAGACATAGGGAGAAAGGGGAGGCCATGTGAAGTCAGATCCCCACCCCCGCGACCTCTGGAAGGAGCGTGGCCCTGCCGACAACACCTTGAGTTTGGAATTCTGGCCTCCAGGAGAGGGCAGAATAAATCCCCCTTGTTTTGCGGCACCAGGTCCGTGATACTTGGCTATGGCAGAGAGTGGACGCCAGAAAAAGGATAAATGTCACAAACACAGCGCTCAGCCCTTCAGAGCAGACAGACTCAGGGATACAAATGTCATAAGGTGACCCCTGGGGCCCCTGAACCCCTGCAGCAGAGGCAGCCAGCCACTGAGACAGGACCCCCAGGGAGCAGGGGGCGACAGCTGAGAGGCCCAGGAGGACAAGAGGGACTCTGCCATGCCAAGAAGTCAGGGACGGTGTGCTGTGACTGCAGGGACAGGGGTTCCACCTTCCCCAGAGGCCTCTGGCACCCTGGGTTCGGGATGTGGGCCCCACACCCACCCCATGCCAGGCTTGGCCCCCTAATGGCCCTCTTTCCCAGGGAACAACCTCCCCAGGCTCCATCCCTATGTCCCCACCCCCTGCTGCTCTCTCTGGATCCTTCCCTCCTAATTGGCATGGAAAGTCAAGTCCCTGAGCCTGCAAAAGACTCGGCTGTCCCCACACACCACTCCTGGAGCAGATGGGCCCTTCATCATTTGCTCATTTCACGTTCCCCTAATCATGCGAAGAGCCCTGGTAATTGACAACGATTCTCTGCACAAATGGCGGACCCACAGAGGAGCGAAGGCGCAGAGACCCATCCGTTGAGACAGCCTCCCTGCCGGGGTGTGCCAAGTGAGTGTGGGGCTGACGGGTGTGAGCCACAGTGGGCAGTCAGGGCCAGGGAGAGGAACAGAGCCGAGTCAGCTGCTGACCTGCTGCAGCAGCTCAGCCACTTAAAAATTCGTCGGAACATGTTGAAACAATGAGGGGATAGAACAACCACTCACCCTGCAGACTCCCAAGTCATCCCCAGCCACGGCAGGCAGACAGCCCAGCAGAGACTCCCAAGTCATCCCCAGCCACGGCAGGCAGGCGGCCCAGCAGCAGGCAGGTTTCAGCTCGGCCGGAGCAGGCCCTCAGGCACTGGACCTGGGGAGGCTTCCGGTCACCTGTGCAATGCCACCAGCAGCTTCTTGCATGCTTCCCATGACAGGGAGCTCACTACCCAAGGTGGCGGACGAGAAGCCCTCCCGGGATCCAGTGCCACTGTGAGGCTCAAGTACACCCCAAAACTCACACTTGAGGTCCACAGGTGACTAGCAACTTTGCTTAAATTGATTCTAGTAGGCCCGGTGTGGTGGCTTATACCTGTAATCCCAGCACTTTGGGAGGCTGAGGCAGGCAGATCACAAGGTCAGGAGATCAAGACCATCTTGATCAATATGGTGAAACCCCGTCTCTACTAAAATACAAAAAAATTAGCTGGGCACGGTGGCGCACACCTGTAGTCCCAGCTACTTGGGAGGCTGAGGCAGGGGAATCACTTGAACCCGGGAGGCGGAGGTTGCAGCGAGGCGGAGGTTGCAGTGAGCTGAGATTGCGCCACTGCATTCCAGCCTGGCAACAGCCAGACTCAGTCTCAACCAAAAAAAAAAAATGATTCTAGCAACTCATGAGCAAAGAGAGGGAATCCAAAATAAATGGTAACCAACCCCCACGTGCACACGTGCAATGAAGCCACCTAGATGAGCAGCACGGGAGCACACTGAATGAACATGTGATCATTACCCACCACCACCACGCGTCCTGCCTCCCAGCTGGACCCCAGGCTCCTCCAAAGTACAACTCAAAGGACGCTCATCAAAGCAGTGCTTCCTTAGGCGCTTGGGTGCTCACTGCAGTGGGCTGGCTGCCCTTCTCAACGCCCGCCACACTTTGTCAATTAATTAGGGAGGGGGGTGCCAGCCTGGGGGGCGTGGTGGGGACTCCGCAAGCACTCAACAGATGCTGGCCCACCCAGGCCAGCCTCTCCACCCAGGCCAGCCTCTCCACCCAGGCTGGTTCCCAGGCTGTTACTTTATGGAACATCAGCAAGCTGACCGCTTGGCACAGCTGCCTTTTTCTATATGCATAAGATGCTTCAATAAGAAGCTTGCTAAAAAGAAAAACAAAAAAAAACACCTCTGGCTTTAAAAATGTTTTAACTCCAAAGATTTTTAATTAGCTTTATTCACTCAAAACACACGGATAAGCTTGACGGCTCCGTGAGAATGCTGGTAGGGAGCAGAACCAAACACCCAGGGAAGGAAGCACCACTGGGCAGGCAGCTCTATCAGAGACCACAGGTGCACACAAGCATCCCCTCCCACTCAGCCAGAGGGGCGCAGCGCTGTCCACAACTCACACCCTCAGCCCCACTTCCAGCCTGATGAACCCACCTGAGCCAGCCACAGTGACAGGTGGAGCCTAGATCATTCCAAAGACTCCAAAGATAATGCCAAAGGCTCCACTTCCAGGCCGATGACACCATCTGAGCCAGCCACAGTGACAGGCAGAGCCTAGATAAGTTGGGCCCTTCTGGAGGGTTCTCTCCAGAGGACTGGCAAGCACAGCCAATATTCATCAAAATGCATGAATCTTCTCTGAACCAGTGACTTCATTTGCTCCAGTGTCCTGCGATTGATTCTTCTGAACTTCTGAGCCCACTCAACCAAGGGCGGCCCAGGGAAGGGCATGTATGCAGCCCCCGCGGCTGTCTACTTGGTCCATGTCCAGCCGCAGTGGAAGCGCCTGCCCTGCCCAGCTGCACTGTCTGCCTCTGCTTCTTCCCCACAAGTTCAAGGTCGGTGTACTCAGGCATCCCTGTCACATCGATGAGCAAACATGGCCCAGCGATTTGTGTTTCTCAGAGCCCTCTCATTCCAAAACAAGTCTTGATCCAAGGGCACAGCGGTGGCCGGTACTTCCTGAGGGCCTGCCACTGTGGACTCTGCAAGTGTCGTATTTACTAATAATGGTGCACCGCCAGGAGCGTGCAATGCCATTCAGATTTTACACAAGCAAGGTGCTCAGGCCGCAGGGGAGACGTGACCCCAGGGCGGACCCCTCCCAAGCTTGGTGTGGTGTTCTGCTGGGCCCCCACCTCCAATTTCCATCTAACAGCTCTGAAATGACTGGACTCTGCATCTGGCCTCACCAGGTGATGCTCAGCTGCCCCAAGATGGAGGTGGGCACACGCTCCATGCCATCTCCCTGACCTCGCAAACCCACCACGGTGCCGGCACAAACCCTTCACAAAGCACTCACCCACTTACCCTTGGGCTGGAAGGAACCACAGGCGCCACTGGGACGGCCCATTGGTGACAACCAAACTCAGGTGTTCCTGAGTGTTCCTGAGAACCAGAGTTCTCAGCTACCTACAAACTCACCATTAAGGGGACTATGCTAGACAACCAACTTTAAACTTGTTACAAATCCCAGAGAGAGAAGCGTGTGCAGGAGACTGGTCTGGTCCCATCTCCGTACTGACAGCTGGGGGGCGGGAAGGCCCAGCCGGGCCCAGAGCCACCCTGGGAGGCTGAGATGCAGCTCAGAAACCAGGGGTGAAGGGGCTGGAGCAGGCGGGGAGGGAAAGACAGGAAGGAGCACCCATGTGGGACCCAGGGTCCCAGACAACCCCAAAGCTTCCTGCAGGTGGGAAAGCTCCGCCACATGCAAGAAACTCCGCAAGAATAGCACATGAGGGGCTGGGCCTCGTCTGATGCTTGCCTCGGCCCAGAGGCATCTGAGCAGTGGCCACAAAGCCTCCATCCTGGAGGAGGAGTCTCAGAGCCTACCGCGTGCCTAACCCTGCCACAGGGAGGTCCTTTATAATTCAGAGGCTAAGTAACCTGCTGAAGGTCACCCAGCTTGAAGGACTCAAACCCATGTCCATCTGACGCCACAGTCTGAGCTCTGGCCAGGGTCCAGCTCTAACCTCGTCCCAGACAAGAGGAAGCCCCAGACTTGACAGCACCACACACCTGAGCCTGGGCCCCGTGTCGGAGTCAGTGAGGCCCACGTGTTTGCGCCTGTGTCTGGGGGGTGCAAATCCCCAATCTCCTACTGGAGACAAGAAAACAAGATGGGCCCAGAGACAGCACAGAGCCCACTCAGCCCTGCTCCGCGGGGCACCTGCACACATTACACACCCCGCCAAGACCTTCCTCTTCCGCTGGCAACACCCACGTCCAGAACAACCCCAGTGGCTGCACACAGGGTCAGAGCTCTGTTACCAGGAGAGCAGGTGAATTCTGCAAGCACAAAAGCCTGTGTTCATAATCCATACTCCAGGGGTCTGCTGGGCTTACAGGTCCCCTGGCTTGGGGCAGGTGGACAGGAAAAGGTGTGTTCCACTCTTCCAAGATGCACAGGAGGCCCAGGGGCAGAGGCGGCCCTTCAGGCAGGACTTTCCCAGTCCCATGGGGGAGGGAAGCCAGACAAGGCAGGTGCCAAGCCCCCCCTCCCCACCCCGGGCCCTCCTGCTCTCCCTCAGCAGTGGTGGTTCCCAGAGGGGTTCCCTGGGGCTCAGCCCAACTCAGAGGAGGGCCCAGACAGCAGGCCCCACGCAGAAATCGCACCTCCTTTGGGGCAGGGTGAGGTAGGGGCCATCTGCTGGGCCCATTCAGCAGGAAGGGACCTCTTCACCTCCACAGCCCTCAGGGACTCCCCATGGAAACTAATTGCCTCAAAGCATAAAACCACCCCAGGATGGGGGTGGGGGAAGGGGCAGTGAGGGCCCCAGACCCCCTTGGATGGGAAACAAAGCTGAACGCAGCTGCTCCAAGCCCACCCACCTGCTACTCCAGGGAGCGCATGCCCCAGCAGAAGCTGGATTTTCAGAGGTGTGGACATCTGGCCCCAGGGAATTCACAGGGCCTAAGATCCTGCCCTAACTCTAAAAACAGCAATGGCAGCCCCAGGGCCATGGTCGGATCCCACCCTACCCCACCCCACAAAATGTAACTTCTTAACCATTTTCAAATGCACAAGTCAGCAGCACTGAACTCACTCACACTGTGCAGCCATCACCACCGTCACACACACATTCCCCACGCGCCTCCCTGGGGACACCACGGACTCCACTTACCCCCAGCAGAGACCCTCCCCAACCCCAGCACCCCAGGGACATCAGAGGCTGAGGGATGAGATCACAGCAGCCAGGACACAGACCAGAGGGATGACGGCCAGCCTGACACGGCGATCAGCGAGGCCAGGAACCGCCCCTGCCCCTGCCTCTGCCTCCCATCCCCCGCCCCCCACCCAGGGGCTGCTTTTGCATCTTCAGGGGAGGGAAGGTAAGGCTCCTGCGTGGCCAGCCTCCTCACCACCAGCCCTGAAGGAAAGACGAGGCGCATTCACAGCGACCCTCTTCCACGTAGAGCAACGCAGCGTCCACAGAAGGCAGCCACTCCTCTATGCTCCCCACCAGGAACCCCCAGTTCCCAAGCCCGAGCTTAGGCTGAAGGGTAGACCCTGCCCAGGAGCACCCCTTGGATGAGCCTTGAGGGCCTTGTGCTAAGGGAAATAAGCCAGTCACAAAGGACAAATACCACGGGACTCCCTACAGGAGGTCCCCGCAGGACTCTCTTACATGAGGCCCCTGGAGCCGGCAGACTCACGCAGACAGCAAGCAGAAGTGGGGAGCCAGGGGCCAGGGGAGGCTGGGGTGAGCGCTGAATGGGGGCAGAGTGTCCGCCTGGGCGGATGAAGCAGTTCGGGAGACGGACGGTGGTGACGGCTGCACAGCAACGTGAGTGTGTTCAGAGCCACCGACCTGTGCCCTGGAAAATGGTTAAGAAGCTAAATGCTATGTTCTGTGTATTTTACCACAGTCAATAAAACAAAACAAAGCAGCAGCTGCATGTGGGGGCCACGCACACCTGGATCTTCCAGGCCTCCAGCTCTTTTGAACCCAAGGCCAAACACGGACAGGCAGGCCCAGACATGTCTGTCCCTACACCACCGGCCCTGGGTCATGGGGCAGTTTCCATAGAAACCGCTGTGTCCAGGAGCCACGTCACTCTCACAGATGGACAGACAGACGGATGCAGCTCTGGGAAGGGCTTTTCCAGCTTCCACATCTCCAAGTCTCAGCCTCATCGTGGACACGATAAGACCAACGTCCCCCAAACAGGGTCAGAGCTAGACAAACACCAGACTCCACCCCAATTAGTATCATGAGCCTGAGCCGACTGATCTGTTCCAAAGGGCGTCATCCCAGCGGCTGGCTGCAAGATACTTAACATTTAATTTCTAGGTCCAGGGAGGCTGCCATTAGCAAGATTAATTGTGTGCACACACAATTTAATTTCCCCCACCTCAGAAACAAAAGTGACACTTACCCCAATTACAGGACGCTGGGCCCTGGCGGACAGCCCGTCATTCGCATTCGCAAGGAGACGACACGAACAGCATGGAAATGAAGCGCCCCTGCCAGGGGGGCAGGGACACCGCGTCCCCGTCCCTGGGGAAGCCTCACTTCTGAGGAGCTCTTTGCTGAGATCAAGATGGCCTGAGGCAGGTCCGGCAGGGATCTGGAGCTGAGCTGAAAGGGGTCTCAGTGCTGCCTGCTCTTCCGCCCTCGGGGTGGGAAACCGAGGCCCAGCAAACCACAGGCTTGGGGTCGGATACCAGATGACCCCAGACAAGCTGACCCCCAGGTCTTGGCCTGGGTTCCTCGTCCAGGAAACTAGAGTCATCACAGTGCTCCTCTTACAGCGGGTGCCGAAGGGTGGGGGCTCACGGGCACGAGCCTAGAACATGCCCACGCCTGTGTGGGAGACAGCATGCCCACTCTGGGTGCTAGCTGCTGGCTTTCTAGACTGGCCTGACCCCTCCTAAGAGCCTAGGAGTCAAAGGGGTGGGGGAAGGCGGCCACTGGCACAGTGATCTGCGGTCCTCGGTTCCCTTCTCTCCCCAAGGCCACCCTGAGACCCCTGGAAAGACTAAGGGATGCTTGGGAGGGAAAGGCACTGGGTCCAGGGCCTGGGGGAGCACATAGCTTGCCTTGGGGCAGGTGTGGGCAGCCCACAGCTCCGCAGCAAGGACCACCCCAGTCCCACACTGCAACTGCACAAATACATTAAGCCAGCCGGCCCGTCAGCACCTGCTTCCTCAGCGACCGAGTGCGTCATGAAATCCCAGGAAACTCCCCAGGGCACCCAACGAGGCTCGGCTGTTTGTTCAGAAGACATTTCATTTACACACACACACAAAAAATTTTTTTCTTCTCTGTCCCCCGTTAAACCTAATCAGGCTTCCCCGATGTGATGGTGTTTTACTCATGTCTCAACTGTTAATGTCGATACAAGGCTGAAGACCCCACAGCTTCCATGAAAAAAGAACTCCAGGCTGGAATATTAGTGTTTCCCATGAATAATACATGACCCCGCAGGGCCACTCCTGGGATGACTCCACGAATTACTGTCTCTGCAGTGGAAGGACCTGTCATCCTGGCTGGGAAAATTAGCTAGTAACTAACAGGATATGGGCACACTCCGGGAGGCTATGGTGCCAGGGTGTGGGATGGTGACTCGCAGGGGCTGAGGCAGGTCCCCAGGCAGGAGTGGCAGCCAGGGCATGGGCAGCACGGATCGTGCCAGCCTGGCACATCCACAGGGCACAGAGCCCTCCACACAGCCGAGACTCCAGGGGGTGGAACCAGGGAGCCCAGGCCGGGAGTCTGGGCAGTGGTTTCTTCCGAGGAGCCAGAACTCGGCTCCACCGCGACCACACGGAGCCTTGCTGCCTGTCACAGAGGGACTGACGGCGCGTCTCACGCAGGCCGTGGGGCAACCAGGAGGAATCGTGGCTGTGAGTCCAGGAGTGAGCACGGACTGCAGCTTCCCAGCCCCGGACTACATTTCTTCCTTCCAAGAGGTGCAGGAAGAAACCACTTGGGAGAGCAGAAATGGGAAAAGTGCCGAGGGTCAAGGGGCCACGGCTCTCCCTAGCTGGAGCAAAGACGACCGCCCCCCACCACCCCCTAGAGTCCCTCTCCCCTTTGTCCATGAGAGGCAGATGCTTGATGGCTCAGGACTGCCTGCTAAAGACAGCACTCCCCACCCTCCCTTGCAGAAAGGAATGGCCCCAGAACCACGCTCTGGACACTGTGTAAGAAAGGAAGGGGAGGTGAGGAAGGGTCATGCACTTAAAAGGAAACAGCTGCCTCCCCTGCTTCTTTCCTGCTGCATGGAACACGGACGAGATGGCAGGAGCTCAGCAGCTACCTTGAAGCACTTAGGTGGAAGCCGCACGCTGGTGACGGCAGAGTGAGATATTCAGCACGCCTGAGCTGCTTGTGGGGACTATGGCACTGCCTGGGATGTGGGCACTACGGAGGGGCATCTCTCTTGCTACCTCACTGCCAGCCACCCATCCCTGCAAACTGGCAAGGACCTGCCACCTTTCACACCTGATAAACAAAAATACTTTAAGGTCTTCTAATATCTATTTGGGCATTTTCTGGTCTGAAGTGGGGAAGTTAAATGAAATAAGGTAGAGGAGTGAAAAATGTAAAAAAGGCAAAGAAGATTTTCTCTCCAAGGCTCTTGCAAGGGAGCACCAGAGCCCTGCTCAAGGTGCTCAGCAAGCAGAGGCCCGGGGGACAAGGGTGCAGGGGGCTGCCAGGGCCCGGCACTCACGCCACCCTCAGGAACACAGTCTCCAGCTCCAGCTTCTTCTCCCTCCCTCCCTCCCACTCTCAGCAGGAGGGATGGGGGGGAGGGTGGTGGGGAGGGATGGAGGGAAGGGATGGGGGATGGAGGGGGAGACAGAGGGGAGGAATAGAAGGGAAGGGATGAAGGGGGAGGGATAAAGGGGAGGGATGGAGGGGGAGGGAAGGGAGATGGAGGGGAGATGGAGGGGGGATGGAGGGGGGACGGAAGGGGAGGGATGAAGAGGAGGGATGAAGAGGAGGGATGGAGGGGGAGGGATGAAGGGGGACAGATAGAGGAGAAGGATGGAGGGGAGGCATGGAGGGGGAAGGATGGAGAGGGATGGAAGGCGAGGTATGGAGGGAAGGGATGGAGGGGAAGGAGGGAAGGGAGGGAGGGGAAAGAAGGAGAGGGATGGAGGGGAGGGAGGGCGGGGGATGGGGGAGGGATGGAGGGGGAAGCGGGAGGGATGAAGAGGAGGAATGGAAGGGGAGGGATGAAGGGGGAGGGATGGAGGGGAGGGATGGAGAGGAGGCATGGAGGAGAGGCAGGGAGGGGGAGCGATGGAGAGGGATGGAAGGAGAGGTATGGAGGGGAGGGAGGGAGAGGGATGGAGGGGGATGGAGGGAGAGGGATGGAAGGGGATGGAGAGGAGGGATGGAGGGGAGGCATGGGGATGGAGTTGGGAGAGGTGGGGATAGAGGGCGTGGAGTGAGAATGGAGGAGAGGGGTAAAAGTAGTGGATGAGTGGACCAAGGCATTCGGGGGAGAGGTGGAGAGAGAGGGAGAGAGGAAAAGGGGATGGAGGAGAGGGACAAAGGACGGGGTGCCAGGGGTGTGGGGAGACGAAAGGGATGAAAGAGGTGGGGTGTGGGGAGGAGGGGGAAGGAGAGGGATGGGGGCATTGGGTACGGGGTGGAAGGGACCCAAGGGCGGGGTGGGGGATGATGGAACAGAGGCCAGTGGTGCAGGGGAGGGGTAGAGGGGGATAAAGGGGAGATGAGGGGAGGGGTGGGGATCAGCAAGGGGCCTGCTCAGGTGCCAGTGGGAACAGGTGTCCCGGGTTGGCTGCATGGGGCTGTGCTGCTAGGAAGTGAGGCCTCCTGGTGCTTCCGCAGGGCTGCAGGGCTTTGTGAGCCAGGAGTGTCCTTTGAACACAAACAAGCCTCTGTTTATTTTGGAAATGTGGGGGCTGAGGAGGTGGGGAGTGAAAGCTGACACTCATTAGAGCACCCTTACCAGTGCACACACCTCTGTCTATAAGCACACTGGGGAGGAGACAGAATTAAGTCACTTGGCCAAGATCATCCCAGGGGTCAGCAAAAATCAATCTGCATCAATCCCTGGGCCCCATGCAGGGCTCGGCCAAAGGGCAGCCGAGCACCTAACCCGCCTGGCCGTCCCTCCTGGGTCTCCGTGCCTGAATCGGGCGTCAGAGTCCAGCAGAGACAACTGTCCTTCGGCTCCAACAGGGACACAGGGGCACAAGGAGCTCAGGAGGGCAGGGCAGGCTGAGCTGCAGGGCTAGAGGGAGGAGAGGACTCACAGGCCAGAGATGCAAGAGGAGGGGCGAATCCGGGCCAGGCTTCAGCTCAGAGGCCATTGCAGACGAGAAAAGCGGACCTGGCCCAGCCTTGGCAATAAAAAGCATTCCAGGTTCTTGTAAGGGGGAAAGAAAGAGCCAAGCGGTCTCCATCCACGGGGAACTTGCCCGAGCCCACCCCCAGAATTATCATCAGGATGATGTCTCACAAAAAGACTTCAAAGTGAGACCAGGAACACCATCTTCCTGGTCGTGAGGAGCAGGTTTTGCTGGGCGGTGAGGGGCCCTGGCCCTTAGACACGCAGTAAGGCGGACTCAGCTGCCCTTTCTCTCAGAGGACAGCACGGTCCAAGATCTATGGCTCTGAGTCCGATCTGGGCACTTACCAGACAGCCTGAGTCCCACCTCCCGCGAAGACTCCTCTTGCCACCCTCCCAAATCCACAGGCCTCTAAAGGTGGGAGTCTGACAGCCAGGTGCCTTCAGGCTGTGGAGGGGTCACACAAAGGCCCCACAGCTGCAGGGTGGAGGGTGGAGAGGGCTGAAGAGGAAGGGAAGAAGGAGAAAGGGAGGGAGGAAAGAAGGAAGGAGGCTCGGGTGGCGAAGGCGGCGGCAACAGCAGCTGGGCCTCAGCTGGTCCTCGGTCCCACAGTCGGGCAGCGCCACGGTGGGGCAGCGTGGAGGAGGAGGCCCTAGCGACAACTCTGGGGTCCTCAGGTGGCAAGGGACCTGCCCCGCACGGCCGCCTACCAGGGGCGAGCCCTCCCTCCCCGGCCTTCATAAAAGCAAAATCTAGACAAAGGAGCCAAGATGGCCGACACCCACTCCGGCCAGCTCCAAAGGTCACCTTCAAGAAACGGAGTTTGCAGGAAGTCAACGGTGCCTGCAGAACAGGGGCGAGCACCCAGCCCAGCCAAGGCCAGGAGGAGCCCAAGCCTTCCTCCGTCGCCACACGGCAGCTTTCATTGCCTGAACCTCGGAGGGTGGCGGGACGGTGATTCCACCCACAGCCGCGATGACCGAGGCCCAGCATCGCAGCAAGTGGCAGAGAAGCCAGAGTCCAACTACCGCCCCTGAAACCCACCGCACCTGACCCACACAGCAGCGGCGAGAGTCGGGCGCCCACGTGTACCACACACACAGTTGAATGCTTTACTGGACCTCACGGATCCTCACAGACCTCTGGAAAGTTCTGTCGTAATCTCCACCTTACATCTGCAGAAACTGAGGCTCGGGGAGAAGGAAGACAGTAACGGGCCCAAGGCCACCCCGCCAAGCAGCATGACATCCACCCCACAGCCCATGGCTGAGAATCCATCCCCCACTCCCCGCCTCCACTGCCCGTCAGAATTCAGGGAAGCTGCACGGGTGAGACCCTAGAGGTCACCTCGCTGGATCCGCCACAGTACCCACTGCCACCACCATGTCCGCTCTAAAGTGCACTGTGAGGGATCCAGGGACCGTGGACACACAGGGTTCCACCCTTTCCCAAGGATGGGGGAGCCGGGGCCCGGCCTGGCCAGGGATGGTGCCGGCCATCAGCACCGGCTGCAGCCAGACCCAGACCTGGTGCAACTGACCCAAGAAGGAGACCTAAGCTCCTTCAACAAAGGCTGGTGACAGGAGAGGCGGCTGGGTGCATCCATCCACAAAACCAACAGGAACACTGTGGCCACAGGAGCCACAAGGATCACAGGGCCCAATAAAGGTGGAAACCGCCTTTACGCCCTCTGAGCCCAAAGGAGAGGCCCCCAGAAACCCCAGAGCTCCCCGGGTGACCCTGCACAAGGCGGCTGTTGGGAAATTTTGCCACAGTTGCCCTCTGTCCAGGGAGGCATGAGGGCCCAGCAGGGTTCACAGGCTCCCAGGAGGAGGAGGGGCCAGCCCTTTCCCCACCGTCTCAGGCAGATCCTTAACCCCAAGGGGACCACAAACCCCTCCAGGAATCTAAGGAAGGCTGTGGGCCTCTCCCCAGAACACAGGGCACCCCAAGAGGCTCCAGATCCTGGCGCCCACCCTGGACCCCCAGAGAAAGAAGTCCAGACTTGGGGCCCCTGAGGTGAAACAGCAGCCTGTCCCCCAGCAGGGCCTGCCATGACGCTATGACCCTAGGCAGGGTCCAGAGCTGAGCACTCTGCTAGCCCTCACCGGCCCTAGACCCTGGGGTAAAGGACAGGAGACAGCACAGGCGGAACACAGAGCCCTGGCCATCGGTGTCACCGCTGTTGACGTGGGAGGCAGGAGGAAGGGCAGGGGTTGATGTTCTGAAGATCGCGTGGGGGGCGTCCGGAGATGGTGTGGGAGAGGGCGGCAAGAAAGAGGGAGTCAAGCTCCAAGCCGAGGCACCGAGGGCCGCCCGCAGGAGAATGACACCAGCACAAGGGGCAGGGGAGGGGGACAGGGGCTCAACTCCTACAGCAAAGAGTCAACAGGTGTTGAAAGCAGGGAATCAAGGGCTGGGCTCTATGGAGATCTCTGAGGGCTCCAAAGGTGACCGCAGGAGAATTAAAGACACAGTTATAGGTGCAGCTCCTGGGGGAGGCCTGGCGGGGCTGGGGTCGGGGAGGCAGGAGGCCACCATTCATTTCAAGCCTGTCTGTAACATGACTCTTTCTGCCGTGCGCATCTATAATTACCCTGCAAAAATAAAAAATAAAAATGTAAATGAGCAACTCAAATGTCCGTCAACAGATGAATGGGCAAACAAATTGCGGTGGAGCCACTATGGACTATCACGCCGACGTGAAAAGGAGAGAAGCTCTGATTCTCACCGCAACGTGCCAGCGGGTGCCAGCCAGGCACAGGGACAATCTATTGTGACATTCCATTTATAGGAAGTTTCCAGACCAGGCAAATCCACAGCAATTTGAATTAGTGGCTGCCAGGGGCTGGGGAAATTTGGGGGGGATGAGGAGTTACTGCTAATGGGTTGGGGTTTCTTTTTGGGGGTAATGAAAGCGTTTTAAAATTAGTGGTGGATACATGGCCTTGTGAATACACTGAAAACCCCTGCACTGCACACTTCAAACGGGCGAACCCCATGGTGTGTCAACTGCATCTCAACAATGCTGCTACTTTAAAAAGAGCAAGAACATCAGCTTTCTACACACTGGCAAAAAACTGTCTTGTAAGGCCAGAGTTGTCTGGTTCTCGGCCTTCTTAATTGGCAGCCACACTAAAATCTTTTTTTTTTTTTTTTTTTTTAATTGATCATTCTTGGGTGTTTCTCGCAGAGGGGGATTTGGCAGGGTCATAGGACAATAGTGGAGGGAAGGTCAGCAGATAAACAAGTGAACAAAGGTCTCTGGTTTTCCTAGGCAGAGGACCCTGCGGCCTTCCGCAGTGTTTGTGTCCCTGGGTACTTAAGATTAGGGAGTGGTGATGACTCTTAACGAGCATAACACTAAAATCTTTATTAACGTTAGTAGGTCGGGCGCAGTGGCTTACGCCTATAATCCCAGCACTTTGGGAGCGCGAGGCATGCGGATCACTTGAGGTCAGGAGTTCACGCCAGCCTGGCCAACACAATGAAACCCCGCCTCTACTAAAAGTACAAAAATTAGATGGGCATGGTGGCAGGTGCCTGTAATCCCAGCTACTCAGGAGGCTGAGACAGGAGAATCTCTTGAACCCGGGAGGCAGAGGTTGCAATGAGCCAAGATCGCGCCATTGCACTCCAGCCTGGGCAACAGAGTGAGACTCAGTCTCAAAAAAATAAATAAATAAAATAAAAAAGAATAAAATCTTTATAAACGTTAGAGCAGGTCGAAACGTGGGGACGACAGCCACTCTCGCAGCGTCAGATCTAGGCAACTTTCGTCATTGGCTCCACTATGCGAAACTTTCAAACTGTTGTTCAGGTCACTCTCAGAGGGCAGTTGCTCATTTCATTGGATCCGAGCGCCACTTCATTCACATAAGCAACACTGTAATTCCATTCTGGTTTGATTTCAGAAATTCTACCAGCTGTGTCTAGAATTGTGTTTACGAAGAAAAGTTGATATTAATATAAATGACATTTTCTTTTCTTGTCTTTTGCTTAAGAAACTTCAAAAAAAAATCCAACCAGGCGGGTACAGTGGCTCACGCCTGTAATCCTAGCACTTTGGGAGGCCGAGGCGGGCGGATCACGAGATCAGGAGATCAAGACCATCCTGGCTAACATGGTGAAACCCCGTCTCTACTAAAAATACAAAAAATTAGCCCGGCGTGGTGGCGGGCGCCTGTAGTCCCAGCTACTCGGGAGGCTGAGGCAGGAGAATGGTGTGAACCCGGGAGGCGGAGCTTGCAGTGAGCCGACATCGTGCCACTGCACTCCAGCCTGGGCGACAGAGCGAGACTCCATCTCAAAAAAAAATCCCAACCGAAACAGATGTTGGGCTTGTGAGAACGCAGCACTAGGAAGCGACTCGGGAGCCTATCGGCACATGCTGGTTATTGCTGAAGGACGCGGGAAAATGAGCTGACACTCGGGAAGAAAGCCGCTCCTTTGAGCAGCAGCAAGAGACTAAGTCCCCCTCCTTCCGCCCAAGTGGCAGAGGCGTCCAGGCGGGTGCCAGCCTCAGCCTCTCACTGGGTCAGGAGCCCAGCACAGGGCACACCCAGGTAGGGAGCCTCACATCTGGGCTCACACCCACAGCCCTGCTCTGCCCCCCTGTAACCCACCATCTGGCCCATCCCTCAAGACATCTTCCACCCCTACCTCCCATTCATCACCTGTTACCCAGATGGCTGGGCTGTGTCTCCTTGAACGAAACTGGGTCCCAGGAGGGTGAGCTCCTTCCTGTCTCCCCCAGCCCAGAGCTGAGCCCAGCTTCATCCATGGTGGTCAAGCCAGAGAGCTCTGCTGTCTCCCCACCTCCGCAGCAACACAGGCCCCCCTCTGGGTGGCCAAAAGGTGTGGCTCTAAGCCCTCCATTTCCAGATCGTCCATGATTGCTCTTCTATGCCTCGTTTAGTGAAGGCCAAATATGGAATTTCCAAGTCGCCTAAGGTCAAGATAATGCCAGACCATGACCATGCAGATGCCTGAAATGTCTGTATTTAATTAACGCTGGAGGCAAAAAGGTCACTGGTATTAATGGAGTGAAGAAAAAACAACCCGCCCCCAGGCCTCCAGAATGTCTCCCTGCCAGGGAGACAGCAGCCTCTGCCAATTAAAACTCCTCTTCAGAAGCGTCCAGCACCCACCAACTTCAGAAAACCTGTGAAGGCAGAGACAGGCAGCTGGCTTGCTGGTGGTTGGAAGGGGCCCAGCAGGGCTTAGGGACACTCTGCCCAGACAGACCACGCAAAGCCTCCTACCAGGGAAGGCCACGATCACTTCCCCCTTTGAAAATCCCAAGCTCTTCCAACATACTGCATCCGGGTACCCTGAGGCTGGGAGGGACCTCGGAGATGGGCCTGCCCCGGGCTGCAAAGCACAGAGAAGGAAACTGAGGCCGGGCGGGCACAGGTTGATCTAGTGTCACCGGCAGCCGACAGGGTGGCCAGAGGGGCTCCAAGGCTGAGTCCAGCGCTTTCTCCACAACGCCAGACCCTCAACAGAAAGAGACTTTTTAGGGCGGATGTGGTGGTTCACACCTGTAATCCCAGCACTTTGGGAGGCTGAGGTGGGCGGATCACCTGACATCAGGAGTTCAAGACCAGCCTGGCCAACATGGCAAAACCTTGTCTCTACTAAAAAAAAAATACAAAAATCAGCCAGGCGTGGTGGCAGGTGCCTGTAATCCCACCTACTCAGGAGGCTGAGGCAGGAGAATCACTTGAACCCAGAAGGCAGAGATTGCAGTGAGCCGAGATCGTGCCACTGTACTCCAGCCTGGGCGACACAGCGAGACTCTGCCTCAAAAAAATAAAAAATAAATAAAAAGATCATTTTTAATCCCCTCAACTGGTATTTAAAATCATCAGTTGAATGGCGAGGTAGCTGGACTTTTTATGTGGTGCCCGGGGAAGCTTCCAGGCCTCATGAGGCCAGGCCTGAGCTGGTGCTGTGGCTCTCCTGGCAGGTTCCCCTGGTCAGAGCCACCACAGGCCGTGTCGGATCCAGGGAGGATGCAGACCCTGCCTTTTTTTTTTTTTTTTTTTTTTTTTGAGACGGAGTCTCGCTGTCTCCCAGGCTGGAGTTCAGTGGCGCAATCTCGGCTCACTGCAAGCTCCGCCTCCAGGGTTCTCACCATTCTCCTGCCTCAGCCTCCCCAATAGCTGGGACTACAGGCACCCGCCACCACGCCCGGCTAATTTTTTGTATTTTTAGTGGCGATGGGGTTTCACCACGTTAGCCAGGATGGTCTCGATCTCCTGACCTCGTGATCCGCCCGCCTCGGCCTCCCAAAGTGCTGGGATTACAGGCGTGAGCCACCGCGCCAGGCCCAGACCCTTCCTCTTGATGAGAGGAATCACAGAGAGTTTGTGGGTATCTTTAGTCTGCCTCAGGGTCCCCATCACAAACGCGGAATAACAATGTCTCTTCCAAGGCCCAGGAGGAGACGACCTGAGGAGACCCATGGGGAGCTGGGACTCCTCAGGCCGGGTGCAGTGGTTCATACCTGTAACCCCAGCACTTTGGGAGGCCGAGGTGAGTGGATCACTCGAGCCCAGGAGTTTGAGACCAGTCTTGGCAACATAGTGAGACCCCAACTCTACCAAAAATTTAATATATTTTATTTATTTATTTATGAGATGGGGTCTCGCTCTGTCACCCAGGCTGGAGTCCTATAGCACGATCTGAGCTCACCGCAATCTCTGCCTCCTGGGTTCAAGCGATTCTCATGCCTTAGCCTCCCAAGTAGCAAGAAGCTGGGATTACAGGCACCTGCCACCATACCCAGCTAATTTTTGTAGTAGAGACCGCGTTTCACCACGTTGACTAGGCTGGTCTCGAACTCCTGACCTCAGGCGATCCACCCACCTCGGCCTCCCAAAGTGCTGGGATTACATGCATGAGCCACCATGCCTGGCCTCTACCAAAAATTTAAAAATTAGCTGGGTGTGCCGGGCGTGGTGGCTCATGCCTGTAATCCCAGCACTTTGGGAGGCCGAGGCGGGTGGATCACGAGGTCAGGAGGTCGAGACCATCCTGACTAACACAGTGAAACCCCATCTCTACTAAAAGTACAAAAAATTAACTGGGCGTGGTGGCGGGCACCCGTAGTCCCAGCTACTTGGGAGGCTGAGGCAGGAGAATGGCGTGAACCCGGGAGGCGGAGCTTGCAGTGAGCCGAGATTGCACCACTGCACTCCAGCCTGGGCGACAGAGCAAGACTCCATCTCAAAAAAAATAAATAAATAAATAAATAAAAATAGCTGGGCATAGTGGCACATGCCTGTGGTCCCAGCTACTCGGGAGGCGAAGGCAGGAAGGATCACTGGAACCCACAGATCAAGGCTGCAATGAGCCACGATTACACCACTGCACTCCAGCCTGGGTGACAGAGTAAGACCCTGTCTCAAAAAAACCAAAGAAGAAAGAAAGAAAAGAAAAGTAAAACCATGGACCCATTTTAGGAACATTTCATGAAAAAAGCCACTCCTGAGGCCCCCTGGTAATACTGGGGCTCAGAAAACACTCCAACATGAAGGCCCTCCTGTCACTAGTTCCATTCTCCCCTGGAGCTGGCCATAGAAACTAGAATGCCTCTTCCCCCAAGCAGGTCTTAGAAACCAGAACCCCTTTCCCCTAAAGCCAGTCATCAAACCTAAAAATAATACTCTAACTGTCCCTCCACCCTATCTGTATAAAAACTGGCCATAAAGAAATTCCCTGACCTACCTTGTTTGACTGTAGGTCATAAGACCCACCATTCCAGAGAGGGTCCTGCCCCACACCCAGAAGGAAGGGGCGCGGCTCAGAGAGGCCAGTAAGAATCCAGGCTCATCTGCCTGCCCATGCTTTGTGGAACTTGCACATAAAAATGAGCAATTTCCCCTATCTTTGGGACTTTATTTAGAATGTTCCCCTGTATAAATGTTCAATCGCCTTGCCTTTTCTCCAATTAATCAATCTACCTCCTGTCTTGATTTATTTATTTATTTATTTATTTATTTATTTATTTATTTATGTATTTTTGAGACAGGGTCTTGCTCTGTCGCCCAGGCTAGAGTGCAGTGGCAGGATCTCAACTCACTGCAACCTCCGCCTCCCGGGTTCGTGCAATTCTCCTGTCTCAGCTCCCCCGAGAAGCTGGGATTACAGGTGCGTGTCATCACGCCCGGCTAATTTTTGTATTTTTAGTAGAGACGGGGTTTCACCGTTTTGGCCAGGCTGGTCTCCAACTCCTGACCTCAGGTGATCTGCCCGCCTCAGCCTCCCAAAGTGCTGATATCATAGGCATGAGCCACCGTGCCCAGCCTCTCCTGTCTGATTTTCCAGTGAACCTTAAGGGGGCCAAGGGCCTTAGCCCCAACACTCTCAACTGATATTGAAAACCATGGCCCAGTTTTAGGAACATTTCATGTAAAAGCACCACTCCGGGGGCCCAGTGGTCACAATGGCGACCATTTATTGGGCGCTTGCCATTCAACAGGCCGGCTACCCACTCCCCACGGGTCTCCTCAGATCGTCTCCTCCCGAGCCTCAGAAGAGGCATGGTTATTCCCCGTTTGTGACAGGGACCCTGAGGCAGAGTAAAGATGGCTGCACACTCTCTGAGACTCCTCCCATCAAGAGGCAGGGTCTGTGTCCTCCCCGGATCCAGCATGGCCTGTGGTGGCTCTGACCAGGGGAGCCTGTCGGGAGAGCCATGGCACCACCTCGAGCCTGGTCTCATGAGGCCTAGAAGCTTCCGTGGGTGCCACATAAAAAAGTCCAACTACCTTGCCAGAGAGCCCACATGGGGAGGCTGGCCCTGAGCCGCAGGGGCCTCTCCTGCCCTCCAGCAAGGGCCCGGAGCTGCCCTGAGGGGCTCCTGCCGGCCCGGCCTGGTGACTCTACCTAGGTCTGTAGGCACTGGGCTGGGCCCATCCCTCCTGGGGTATTTATTTCCCCCACTGTTCTGACACCAGGCCCTCCCGTAAGCACAGACAGCCCTGCTGTCCCTGACTCTGGAACCCCAGCGCCCACTGCCACATTCTACCTTTTCCCAGGAGACGGGCCGATGGGGTCAGTGGCAATGTGCCACCACCATCGGAGGGGGCTGGGGGTGGGGAGGACAGCTGCGCTCCAGAGGCCAAAGGAGATGGGCCGACGTCCCTACCATGCACCTCCTCCTACCACACATCTCTGCCTGCCTTAGTGGTCTGCACGTCAGGAGACTCTGTGGATGCTCCGAGCCTCCATGTCCTACAGGTCAGACCAGAACCTCCCACCCCCACCTCTCTGGGCCAAAAGTGACACAGTTTCGTCAGGACCATGGAGATCACAGACTTGGACCCAGGAAGACCCAATTTAAGGCCAGGCCCATCAGCTCCCCCTGCAATTGGCCTCCCTGAGACCCAACTTCATTGTCTATACACTGGGATAGGAACGGGCATCTGCGTCGGACGTGTGAGGACCACGCAGGACAATCCACACAACATGCACAGGGCCTGGGACATGTCAGAAGCCTCTGCTGCAGGACACAGGACACCTGGCCCCACGAAGGCAGAGCCCTCTGAATTTGACCAAACCTCCTCCATGCAGACACGGCTGCGGCCTTGGGGCTACCACATCCCCAGATTTGCGGAGCCTGAAATGCGGCCAGCACTGGAAGCGGGGAGACTCCCACATTGAGATGTTTCTGTTCTCCCAGAGCTCCAGTAGAGAAAATGTTCACCCACAAACCCCCCAGGGTATCCAGAGGCCAGGGGTGCTGGGGTGCAGGCTGCAGACAGGTTCCCACATTTGGTGCAGGGGAAGACACACATCTGCTCAAAAGAAAAATGAGGGAGTGTTTCGGGTTGAACTGTGTCCCCTCAAAAAAGATACATAGGGGTGCTAATCCCCAGGACCTCAGAATTTAACCTTACTTGTACAGAGACTTCAAAGAGAAATCAAGTTAAAATGTTGTCACTGGGGTGGGACCTAATCCAATATGACCCGTGTCCTTATAAAAAGAGGAAGTTTGCCAGGCGCAATGGCTCACGCCTGTAACCCCAGCACTTTGGGAGGCCAAGACAGGTGGATGGATCACTTGAGGTCAGGAGTTCAAGACCAGCCTGGCCAACGTGGTAAAACCCCATCTCTACTAAAAATACAAAATTAGCTGGGTGTGGTGATGCACACCTGTAATCCCAGCTACTAGGGAGGCTAAGGCAAGAGAATCACTTGAACCCGGGAAGTAGAGGTTGTAGTGAGCCAAGATCAGGCCACTGCACTCCAGCCTGGGCAACAAGAGCGAAACCCTGCCCCAGGAAAAAAAAAAAAAAAAAAGAGGTAGTTTGGACACAGAGATAGGCACAGAGGAAAGACGACAAGAATACAAAAAGAGAAGACGCCGTCTGCAAGCCCAGGAGAGTGCCCCGGGACACAGTCTCCCTGTGCCCCAGAAGGCACCAGCCCCGCCGCCACCCTGATCTCAGACTTCCAGCCTCATTTCGGTTCCAGTACATTTCGGTGGTTTCACAGGGCTCCTTCCCTCCCCGCTGCACTGTCCCTCGGGCCCCTTCCTCTACCCCACGCTGGGTGGTGCTCCCGGCTCAGGGTCCCATGCCCACCCTGCACCGGGATTCCCTCTGTGAGGGCGTGCCAGGTCTGCCCCATCCCCTGGAGCCCCACATCAGGCTCAAAAGACAGGGGCTGAAACAACAATCCCGGGAGATGTGACGGCCACATCACCTGCCAGTCAGGAGAGGTTTTGTATCACTTAGAAAATATGGGGGTGGGGGCTGCACACAAGCCTTTTCTGGGGTTCTCAGGACACAAAGTCGGACATGGCCTCAGCCAGCCTCGGGTCCGGTGGCTCACAGAGGCTCACCTGGTTTTGAACCATAAAGAAATTTAGCAAAGGTCTACCCCTGCTCCTAGGGCTCTGATCTCACAAGCGTGGGCGTCACTGAAAAACAGCGTCAGAAAAAATTCTCAACAGGGGGATGCTGGCGAGGGAAAAGGGGTCCCTGGAGGGCAGAAAAATCCACTTCGTCAGGTCCACACTGAGACCCGGAGAGGGCTCGGGGAGGCAGAGACCCTGAGCTTGAAAGCCAGGGGAAGAGTTTGAAGAAACCCATTTCACACACTGAGTAAAAAAGGGCAACTTACAAGAACATGTTATTTTCATGTTTTTAAAGATGTAAACGATTGAGCAAATTAAATATTTAAGTAAATGTTGAACTACTTCATCTATCCCTAAAAGCTTATAAAATCATGTTGACCAAGAAACTTAAAATCCTCTTACTGGGAAAGGGGTGGAACCAGCTTGTATTTTGAGCTGCTTCCTATCCGGGTAAATTCTGTGCCCCAAATCACAGATGAGCGAATGGGGCTCCAGCCCGTGTCCTGGTGGGCCGGCTCCAGCCCAAGCGCCAGGCTCTCCCCCAGAGCTCCGCATTCTAAAGGGAACCACTCTGCCACACACAGCTTTGTTCTTCTGGGAGACCCCTCTAGAGAACTGAAGAGCAAATGCTATTTCTAGACGCTCTAAGACATTAAAAAGACACAGAAGAATCCCAAGTCCTCCCTTTCAAAACCTCAATGCATCTAATATACCAATAAAAGCGACCATCAACGCCTCACTTTCTGAGTTCATGTCCTCCAGGGTCCCGTGAAATTCAAACCAGGAAGCACCCGGAATCACTCCCAGACGACCACGTGGAATTCGATGAGTGAGCAGGCTCAGGACGGCAAATGCACTTGCAGGAAAGCAGCCCCTGCAACAAAGCACGTGTCCAGCCGAGCCCAAACGTGGGCACCAGGCACGTGGGCACAGGCATGCAGGCATGCAGCACACCCTCTCCCAGTGGAGTCGGACGACATGCCCGCTGCTCCCAGGACACAGCAACCGGCCACGGGGCCGTCGGGTGCCAGGTGTGCAGCCAGGGCTCCGTCCTCCCCGCAAGCTTCTCAATGCACCACTACTGTCCAAGCTGCTGAGTCAGTGCTGAGGGCCCCGTGAAGCTCACCTCCCCAAGAAGGCCCCAGAGTACCGGGGTGTGAACAGAAGCCCTCTCTGGGCCTCTAGGCACAAAATACTCTTTCGCCTGAGTAAATGATGGTGTTTTTGGCCCTCGTCCACCATACAGGGCCACAGCACCAGCACTGCTGCACTGGGCAGTCAGACTTGGGGCCCTGGCAGGGAGGGGATGCAGGGAGCGCTTGGGACACTGGTGAAGGGAGAGGGTGCATCTTGTGGCTTGGGCAGTGCCACGGGCAGCACCACACGTGGAGGCTTCTCCCAGGGCGGGGGGCTCTGAGCAGCTGCCCTGTGCAAAGTCACTCACCAAGCCCTGGCCCACACTTCACAGCACCACAGCCAGAACAGTGGCTCAGCCGGGCGCGGTGGCTCACGCCTGTAATCCCAGCACTTCGGAAGGCCAAGGCGGGTGGATCACCTGAGGTCAGGAGTTCGAGACCAGCCTGGCCAACACGGTGAAACCCCATCTCTACTAAAAAAAAAAATACAAAAAATTAGCCGGGCGTGGTGGCGGGCACCTGTAGTCCCAGCTACTCGGGAGGCTGAGGCAGGAGAATGGTGTGAACCCAGGAGGCAGAGCTTGCAGTGAGCCAAGATTGTGCCACTGCACTCCAGCCTGGGTGACAGAGTGAAACTGTCTCAAAAAAAAAAAAAAAAAGAAACAAAAGAAGAAGAACAGCAGCTCTGGGTCAGGGAGGGGCCTACCAAGGACATGATGCCATCCTGAGCCCAACATGCCCATCCCTTCTCCCCAGCTCCAGCTGCCTAGGCCCTGCCGACTGCCATTGCCCTTCCTTCCTGCCAGCCTGGAGACTGAAGCAGCACAGAAATGACCTGGAAGACCCTCAGGGCCCTGTGACATCTGGGGAGCTGATGGACAATGGGGCCTGAAGACCAGCCCTGGGGGGTAGCCACCTCTGTAGTGGATCACTGGGGCTGCAGCACAGATGAGGCTCCTATAGCTGGGCGAGGTGACTCACACGCCTGTAATCCCAGCACTTTGGGAGGCCGAGACAGGAGGATCACTTGAGCCCAAGAGTTCAAGACCAGCCTGGGTAACGTGGCGAAACCCCATCTCTACAAAAAAAAATACAGAAATTAGCCGGGCGTGGTGGTACACAACTGTAATCCCAGCTACTTGGGAGGCTGAGGTAGGAGGATCTCTTGAGCCTGGGCGGTAGAGGCTGTAGTGAGCCATGATCGCGCCACTGAATCCAGCCTGGGCAACAGAGTGAGACCCTGTCTCAAAATATACAAAAAAAGAAAGAGGTTCCTACAAGGAAACTGCCTGACCCTTAGACCTTCCAGACGGTAAGTCTGGAGGTATCGGCAGTCCCCAGTGTGGCGTGGATCCCAAAAGCTACAGGTGCTGGCCCCTCCATGGCCTGGGGCTCTGTGGGGACCTTCAAACATCCCTGCACACATCACCGTGTGCCTGCACTATCTGCCAGGGTCAAAATGCCCAAGACAGTGATGGAAACGCAGGGCTGTTTTCCACGAGGGGACCTCTATTAAACGCAGCCACATCTCCCAGTGTGGGAGGAATCGTGGTGTTGACAATGTGAGCCATGTCATTTGCCCCTCCTGCTCCAAATGCAAGTTCTAGGCCCATCACAGTCCTCCGGGGAGCCGCCCCCGCCCTGCCCACTCGCCCCACTGACAGCTCAGACTGCACCAAGCAGGAAGGCTGCAGAGAGCCAGCCAGGACCCCCAGCTTCAATCCTGCAAGGACGTGGGAGCCACTGGGCCCGATCAGCCGGCAATGAAACCAGGTCCATGAAAACACTGATGAGACCATGGTTGGGCGGAGCCTCAAGGCACCCCTGAGGCCAAGAGACTGACCCCACACCCTGGACCTCTGCACACAAAACTGGAATCCACATCTCCCCAAGTCACCCATGACCTCACGCCGCAGAACCTGGCACAGCTCACAAGTCAGAACCACAGACACAAAACCCAGTGGCGCCTGGAGAGCTGGGGGCAGCGGGGTCCCTGCGGAGCCAGGCTCTGGGTCCTCAGCCCTCCCTTCTGACGTGCGGAGACCCATGGCTCTACACCGGGGGCCACTCAAGTCACTGCAGCTGAGACACTTTGGGGACCCTCGCCCCGTCCCATCCCTTCACAACAGACAGACATAGAGACCTGCAGGAGCAGGGACCCTGGCCTGCCACTGGGCCCAGCGAGCCCCTCCGTGAGTGATGGCCGCTATGCTGCTCGGCCCCCTCAGGCCTGCCTCAGCCTGGCTGGCCGGCGGCGGGGGGAGGGACAAGGACCTGGTGTGGCCCTCTGGTGTCCACACTCTCTTGTCCATACCTCCTTCAGCCAAGGCCCCAAACATGTTGCCAAGAGCAGTGACGACAGGGAGATGGCTGCCGGTGCCAGCCCACGCTGGGCACACAGACACATGCGGCCCCAGCACCTCAAATTCATCCTCGCTCCCTACAGACCATCGAACCCAGCAAGCCCTGCCCTGCCCAGGCCAACAAGCCCACCAGGCCAGCTCAGAGCCCTCAGGCCACACCAGAGGAAGGCCACTGCTCCCCAAGGCCCCTCCCGGATGCCGGTCACTCCATCCCATCACGGTTCAAGCCCAGGCCGATCCTGGCTGGCACTTGTCCCTCATACAAAAGACAGAAGGAACCTCACAGCCACGCCCCAGCTGACCTTGGTGGCCTGGAGACAGAATCAGGAGAAAGCTCTTTAATCCAGCTGGTTCAGCAAACCCAGGAGACTAGCTCCTCGGCTGACTAACTTTAAGCTCCACCACGTTGGAAAGCCCCCTGGGAGATGTTTTAGGGGATGGGAGAAGGCCTCGCTGGAATCAAAACTGATTTATGGACTCTGGAGGGGACGCTGACATTTCCTAGATCCACCGCCATCCTCGTAAATCAATTCCCACTCTCCGCTCGGCTCGGGCCATGCCAGCCTTTGTAAAGAAATGCCAAGCCTAATGAGTTTTGAAACAACCAGGCTGAAAGTAACAAAGAGAATGCCAGTCATTGGCAGTCCAACTGCAGTGGCACAGACGGCACAGTGGGGAGAGCCGGGGGCGCCCCTCCCACCCCACCCCCTTTCCTTTACCGCCCTCCCCCAGAGAGTGGAGGGAGGGCCTGGGGCACCCCTCCCACCATGCCCCCCTTCCTTCACCACCCTCCCCCAGAGAGTGGAGGGTCTGAAGGCGCCCCTCCCACCCCACCCCCCTTCCTTCTCTGCCTTCCCCCAGAGAGTGGAGGGAGGGTCTGAAGGCGCCCCTCCCACCCCACGCCCCCTACCTTCTCTGCCTTCCCCCAGAGAGTGGAGGGAGGGTCTGGGGGCACCCCTCCCACCAAGCCCCCCTTCCTTCACTGGCCCCCCAAAGAGTGGAACTGGGTGGAGGCTAAAGTGAGGGGTAGCCCTCCCCTTTGAAGTGGCACCATAGTCCTTGCGGCCACTTAAAGCATGAGCTCCAAGGGGCCAGGAGATGGGCGGAGATGGGGTGAGCCTGGACCCGCAGCAGGAAAAGACAGAGGGAAAATGCCACCCTAGAAACTGAGACTTCGTTCCCCAGCATTGCCACACCCAAAGCTGAAACCCCCCATGCGAGGCCAGTGGGCACCCTGTCCTTCCCCAGTGGGGGCCCTCGGTCACTCAACCTCACACCCTCTTCCCCTGGAAATCTCCCCTCACCTCTCAGACCTTTCCCTGATGCCCCCAAGCCAGACAAGGACCCGCCCCCCAACTGCAGTGACCACCCCAACCTGGTGTCCACCCCCAGCCCATCCTAGGCCCCCACAGCACCACCTGGTACACAAAGGCACCCTGCACCAAGCCCAGAGCTTCCTTGGAAGTCTGGAATCTTTGAACCTAACGGCCCAGGAAGACTCAGGGAGTGGAAGGCAGCAGGCTGTAGTGGGTCTGCGCCTCCACTATGGGAACCGCTGGGAGGGCGTCCCCACGCCCTTGCCAGCGCTGCACCCCTCTGAGGCAGACGCAGCTACAAACCAGGTGCCAGGAGCAGGCCCCCTCGGGAGCGGACTTCCAACCGCTTGCCTGGTTTGGTTTTGCAGCCCCTGCAGTTCTGAAAATGTGTGGGGACCCAGGCACCCACAATCTGGTGAGGGCAAGGCCATTGTGGGCCCAGTGGGCATGCAGGCAGCTGCGCTCCCAGAATCTCCACACAGAACTCACACCTTCCACTAAAAGGGGCAGGGACCCACGAGGAATGATTGGGAATGAACCTGATCCGGTAAGAACATCGAACTCAAAAAGAAATTAACTTTGAATTACAAAACTGCAAAGTAGGGACCCAACTCCAGGCACCCCTAGCAATCGCGAGGAAGGATGGATTTGGCTGGCCCAGCCTGGCAGAGGAAGCATTTGATGAAGATGGTTATTGACTCATTCCGAGAACTGTCTCCCGGTGGAGACAAATCTGGACATGGGGAGGTTGGGCTGGGTGTTTTGGTCTCATTGCCTCCTCAGAAGGGGGGTGAAGATGTGAGCGGCCTCCCCCAAGTCCCTGGCCTGGAAGCCACTCACAGAGCTGAGTTTGAGTCCTGGAGCTCAGCAGGAGGTTCAAAACTCAGTTCTCGCACTGCTAACTGTGGGAGCAACTAACAATCTCTCTCTGCCTCTGTTTCTCCATCTGCAAAATGGATCAGGGTAGGTCAACTACTGCAGCAAACAAAGCCTGGAGCTAAATACCATCCAGCTATGGGCCCCACCTCAATGAGCCACACAGAGTGCTCAGAACAGCGCCTAGCACAAATCTGTGCCCACTGCAGGTTCGCGAGGATGGAAGGCTGTGCCATCCACAAGAGATAGCCAGCGGCTATCTCTTCCTCCTTGTCACTGACAACATGAACGCAGAGCTTGCAGACTAGATGGTCCGACTGGGCAAAGAGGGGGAGACAGCCTTACAGAAGATGGCAGACACACGGTGTGTGAGGCCGGAAGAAACACTCTGCCCTGAGACTCCTCTCCTCTATTTGGAAACTGCGCCTGAGGATTGTATTAATATTTCCATTGATTAACATGCCCTCTTACATCCCAAAACACATGCATTAACTTCAGATTCTTTATGTGTGCCAAGAAGGATGAGCCTGCCACTCACTCTCTGTCCTTCGCTTGGCTGCTCACAGGGCAAGGGCAGGGCTGGGGGCCTCCCATCCTCCATCCTCCCCTGCATCCTTACCAGCTATGCTAGCACTCCATCAGACAGCCCCCCACGAGCCACACGAGCTATGCCAGGCCATGTGACTAGAATCTGGCCAATAAAGAGGAATTAACACAGTGACTGGAGCTTCTGAAAAGTCGGCTTCAATGAATCAGCTTCCCCCACCCCAGCCCTCTCTATTGCCTAGAATGAAGAAGTGATGGCTGGAGCTCTTGCAGCCATTGTGAACCATGACCATGAGGATGGAAGAGGTAGAACAAGAAGCTGGGTGCACCTGGGTCCCTGAGACTATGGCACCGTCACCCCTATTCTAGACTGCCTACCTGCAACCCTCCAAGACGAACAAACCCTGGTGAGTTTCGGCTCCTGATGTACTGGGGTTTTTGTTAGAAGCAGTCAAGCCTACTCTAACTGGCGCAAGCTGCGAGTTCAGACCTTCCAGATGGAGGCACTGGACTGAAGGGGGCACCGTGCGGTGGGCTCTCTCATGTAACCGGCACCAAGCCCATTTGACAGATGAGGTGCCAAGGTTCAGTGAGTCACTTCCCCAGAGTCACACAGCTAGAAAATCAGGGACAGAAGGCTGGGCGCGGTGGCTCACACCTGTAATCCCAGCACTTTGGGAGGCTGAGGCCGGCGGATCACGAGGTCAGGAGATCAAGACCATCCTGGCTAACACGGTGAAACCCCGACTCTACTAAAAAAAAAAAAAAAAAATTACAAAAACTTAGCCGAGCGTGGTGGCGGGCGCCTGTAGTCCCAGCTACTCGGGAGGCTGAGGCAGGAGAATGGCGTGAACCCGGGAGGTGGAGCTTGCAGTGAGCCGAGATTGCACCACTGCACCCCAGCCTGGGCGACAGAGCGAGACTCGGTCTCAAAAAAAAAAAAAAGAAAAAGAAAAAGAAAACTGGGGACAGAAATGCAGTCAGAGTTGTCTGCACTGGTACAGAGGCGGGCACGGGAGTCTAACACAGTCCCGCAGACCGCAAGCCCATCCCAGCACACCGTGTTTGTCTATGGGTCACGGCAGTGATGGGACAGAGCCAGAGATGAAGCTACAGCTGGGAGCGCCGTGGCCTCCTGAGCACCCCAGCTCCTGGCCAGGCTACATGGGCTGCAGGAAGCAGGGCCGGGCACGCCCCTTCTTGGGAGCACAGGTCTGATCTCTACAGTTTCATATTTACCGAAAGGAATGTATTCACGCGTGCACTGGGGACCGGAAGCACATTTTTAATAAAAACTAAAAAGGAAAGAGCCTGCCTCACTCACTAAGCAAGTCCCACCAGGAACACACCCGTTCCCCAGCCCTTCGCCCTGGAGCGTGCTGCCCGGGAGAACTTTCTGTGAAGAGAGAAACGCCGTGTCTGTGCTGCGGATGCCTGGGCCGCCAGCCACACACAGCCTGCACACGTGAAATGCGGCTGGTGAGACTAAGACCTTGACGTTCAACTGCATTGAATTTACCAGACCTGTATTAAATTTACCATACCTCTATGGAGGTATGATCCACAGACGATAAGCTGCACACCCTCCAGAGAGTGTCATGTCCTTATTTTTACATATGTACACACCCGTGACACTGTCAACACAGTCAAGACGGTGAACATATTCACCGGCCCCAAAATGTTTTCTAGTGCCCACTGGTGACCCCCCACTGTATGGCCAGTGTCACTCCTGAGGCCTAAGTCAGGGTGGCAGGCACTTTAGCTGTGCATCAGGTAACTCGTCTTTCCTGCTCCCCCATCAACCTCCTGACCTCTGCATCACACACACACTAAAGACGCCATGTCCAAAAGTAAGCGCATTAAACAAGGTCCGCCTGGGCGGGGAGGGCTGCTCGTCAGCACAGGCCTTCAGCAAGAGCCTCAGGGATGCCAGTTACCAACCACACACCGAATGTCCTCCAAACCCACTCTCACGTGGCCCAGAGCCCCACAGGTCAGGATTGCCCAGGCCAAGAAAGTAAGTCAGATTTTCTTTTTTTTTATTTCCAACTTTTAAGTTCAGGGGTACACGTGCAGGATGTGCAGGTGTGTTCCATAGGTAAACGTGTGCCATGCTGGATTGCTGCACAGAGCATCCCATCACCTAGGTATTAGGCCTGGCATCCATTAGCTATCTTTCCTGATCTCCTCCCTGCCCTCCAAAGATGGCTGATTTTCAAAGATGGGGTGTCAGCTGAGCTCAGGACAGCCACCAGCTCCCGCTGGTGAACTTAGATCAGCTGCGGCTACAGTCCCGGCCTCCAACACACGTGGGAGAAGGGCTGACAACCAGGAGTGTTTTAGTACAAAACAGACAAACCAGAAACCTACGGCATCAGGACACCGTCACCGGAGGATGGTCCAAGAAGGCGGGAAGGCCTTCCAGGTCTGGGAACATGAGACCCGGGCTGAACACGAGGCTATGTCCGTCCAAATCCCCACAGTCCTGCCACACAAACGAGCCGGAGGCTTCTGGAGGACAGTGTGCCTAGATGAAGGAACCAGGACGCAGTGGCGCTTTTCCATCTGTACCCCAACATGTCAGGGTATATCAACACCCATATGTCACTGGTGCTGGGTCCGAGCATGGGAGCTGCAGCCAAATTCTGGGGGTGGGGGCACACGGGGAGAGGTTCCTGCACCCTAACGTGTTGCTTCTCTGCCCATTTCAATCGCGGAACACAAATTACACGTGTGATGCTCTTCTCCACGTGTGCACAGCACTCCCGAGGCGCTCCCAAGCTGTCAGGCAGCCATCCTCAGGGGCTGCAGTCACCGGTGGTTGACTATTAGGGGGGATAGTTGTGTTCTTTTATTTCTGCACTAAGCTAATAAGTACTTGTTCAGCCCCTCTAAAATCACAATCGTCCTGTCCTCGTTCCGTCCCTCTAAAATCAGAGTCGTCCTGTGAGCCAGTGACCACTCGTCCCAAACATAGCTTCTATTCATCAGAATCAGGGCTCCTGATCCTGGTGACTTTAAGGAGGAAAATCCAACTTCAGCCAGCACAGTCCACGGGCGGTGGAGTGCCATTTGGAACCGGGTTTGGGAGGCAGGCACTGTCCTCTGAAGGCCCAGCCTGACCCTGCACACCCAGGGCTGTTCGCAGACCGTGCAAACCTCACCTCACTTCCAAGACAAACGTCAGCTTTGGGTGGAGCCCTTTGCCCCCTCTTCCTCTCCAGGGAGCTGGCACTCTGAGAGGGGCGCCCCCAACACCCACCTCTGGTGAGACAATGTCCCAGAGCCCAGTGTTTTGGTGACTCTGGGCTGGAACACCCCCTGTGCTCCCAAACAACGGCTCATAGCTGGCGCCACGGCCCCCATGAGAAGGACGATAAAAACACGCGTTGCCACCACACAGAACGGGAGACACACACGAAAGGTAAGACAGGAAGGTGGGAACGATCGCAGGCACCAGCCACCTGGCAGTCAGCACAGAAGGGACCTCACTACACCAGCGAGAAGAAGAAACCAAAGTCCTTGTCAGGGGTGGTGCGCGCTTCCTGGTGCCCCACTCCGGAGGCTTCTATGCCAGGGATGCCAATCAGAATCTTCAAGGGCGGTTTCTCCAAAAAGTGCAGAAATGACCGATCCTTTGCCCCATCTGCCCTTGGTAAAAAACCAAAGGCAGAGCCTGCGCACATGGTCCCAGGAGGCGGGGGACCGGACGCGCACACAGTAGGTGCACAATCGACACTCATCACGGAACCTGCCAGTT
The DNA here is from genome assembly GCF_000001405.40 of Homo sapiens. Lineage (NCBI taxonomy): Eukaryota > Metazoa > Chordata > Mammalia > Primates > Hominidae > Homo > Homo sapiens. The sequence continues at coordinate 133,913,653 of NC_000009.12, forward strand.
TTCTGAAGACCTACAGGGAGGGGGCAAAGTCAGGGCAAACAGCAGGGCCACGACTGAGAACTCCCAACCCCATGGAGATGCTCAGATGCCAGGCCTTGGGCACCGCGCCCAGGTCAGTGAGCCTCGGGGCCGGCTGTACGCTCGTGGGAGCTGACACTGCCATTGGGGGCAGCCATGGTGGGATATTCGGGAAGCAGGTGAGCAAAGGAGGAGCAGGAGGTGGAGCCCGCAGCAGACAGAGGCCCAGCAATGCCAGCCTGGCTGTCCTCAGCCACTCCCCCAGACTCTGCCTCCCACCTCCCTGGAGCTCTTCGAAGGGGTTTCTGTTTGGTCCCCACTCCAAGAGCCGCTGGCTATGACTTAACATTATCCTGAAACGTAAACCAACAAGCAACCAAAGACGATGCTCACCGCAAACCCCTGAGACCCTAAGCCCCAGGAGGTGCCCTGGACAGTCCAGCTCAGTCAGAAAGGCCAGCCTCCAAACCCAGCATGGGCTGCCTGGGGCTTCGAGACAGATGTGTCTCACAGCGGGCTAAGCACACATCAGAAAAGGCAGCACTCACTGGGCCAGACACAGAATTACCGTGAAGCCCAGCAATCCCGCTCCTGGGTATGTACCCAACAGGATGGGAAGACAGGTGTTCAGAAATGCACCGGGACACGAATGTCCCCAGCAGTGATCTTCACAGTGGCCAAGAAATGTAGACACCCCAAATGTTCATCAGCAGACGGATGGATAAACAAAACGTGGTCTACCTGGACCGTGGAATATTCTTCAGCCAGAAGAAGGAACGAAGCGCTGACTTAGTGAGCCTGGAGGACACCACACTCAGGGGAAGATGCAGACTCAAAGGGCGCGCAGCGTGTGACTCTGGTGACCAAGGGCAGTGGGGATGGGGTGGGGGTGACGGCTGCCAAGGGATGGGATTTCTGCTGTGTGTATTCCTACCACCAGAGAGAGAGAGGAGGGGGAGAGGAGGGGAGGAAGCAGGAAGCAGGGGAGGGGGGAGGGGAGGAAGCAAGGGATGGGGGAGGGAAGCGGGAGGGGAAGGAGAGGGGAGGGATCACGGGAGGGGGAGGAGAGGGAAGGGGAGGGGAGAGGAGAGGAGGGGAGGAGGGGACGGGAGGGGAGAGGAGGAGGAGAGGGGAAGGGAGAAGGGGAGGGGAGGGGAGAGGTTGGCATTCACTTCTCTATCTCTGTTGCCGTCCCACAGCTCCACAAAGTGGAGAGGGAGGTTTGGGACTTTGGAACAGGTGAATGTGACCAAGGTCACCGGTCCACTCAGCGCCACACCAGTGCTGGGCCAAGCGGCATCAAACCCAGGACAGCTCGCACGGGGGGAAGGACCTGGGAGGGAGCAGGGAAGCACGGGTGCTGTGTCTGGGAATCTTGAAAACACCAAGGAGTGCTTTGAAACAGGCCGCTTGGCCGGAAGAGCACCGGCCTGTTCTCCATTAGTGTCCCCTTTTCCTGGCTCAGGGAGTTCACACCCACTTTCTGACGCCTTGACTCTAGTCCTCATTGGCTCTGGGGACATCAGGGAATTCTCCATGGTGGGGCAGAGTGGGGACATCCACAGCTGGAAGCCACAGTCAGCCCCCACACCACCGTCCCGCCCTCCTTGTGATCACGTGGTTTCACGACTACACTTTTTGAATTCCCGGCAGCCACCATCCACACCCCTCAACCTGATATTTTCAAGGGGATTCAGCACGATCTGGCGTTCTACAGACTCCACCTGCCAACGGCCAGCTGACTTTCTCCCAAGGAGCACAGGTGGTGCAATGAGGAAGTCTCTACTGAAAAAAATGCCGGACAAGGGGCTGTGCCCACTTTACAAAGCACCCTGAAAACAGGAGCCCTCACTGGGCCCCTTGTCTCCATGGAGAAGACCCCTAGAAAAACTGGTGCCAGTCTCAAAGACAAGGCGCACACACACACACTCCCACACAATGCACACATAATGCACATGTGCACACGCACACGATGTACATGTACACGACGCACACATGCACACACACACAATGCACACGTGCACACACAATGCACAGACGCACACGATGTACATGTACACACAACGCACACATACACACACGATGCACACATACACACAATGCACACACGCACACGATGTACATGTACACACGATGCACACATGCACTCACACACGCACACGTGCACACACAACGCACACACACACGATGTACATGTACACGCGACCCACACATGCACACTCACACACGATGCACACGTGCACACACAATGCACACATGCACACGATGTACATGTACACACGATGCACACACGTACACATACACACTCACACGATGCACACATGATATACATGTGCACACATGCACGGAATGCACACAAGGCACCCATGCACACTCACACACAATGCACATGCACACAAGATACACACGTGCACACACGCACCTTCCCTTCTGAAGGAAGCCTGGCAGGAAACGGGCACAGGCCACGGCTGCTCCCCCAGGGAGAATGGAGGGAAGGAGGGGCTTTGCTCAAACACGCCTCTCTGCTCCTAGCCAGCGGGGTTATCCAAGGCTCCATGGAGGAGGCGGACAGGCAACACCGAGCTGGGCTTGGTCCCACTCGATAAGAAGGAAGAAAGGCGCAAGATGAATTGCCCGCGGAGCCTGTGACTTGCGCTGAATGCTAACTGACAGTGATTCACTTGGAAAGTTTCTCTCCACGGGATAAAGCCCTCTTTGTAGAAAGGGAAGGTGGTGGGTGCCAACGAGGGCCCGGGCGCACAGGCCCAGGACTAACAAAAGCGTCGGCGTCACCATCCCAGAGCCTGGCTCTCTGCCACCCTGGGAAGTGCTGGGACTCTTGCTGGGAAGCTGGGCAGTTTGAGGATGTGGGGCTGGGTGAGTGGGGGTCTCACTGGTGATATGGATGGAGAAGGGGAAAGGAGGGGGTGAACAGAGAAAGGGAGAGAGAAGAGCCGGGAGTGCCTGTGTATTGATCCCAGAAGCTGAGCTGGAAGAAAGAGTTGGCTAGAGGCTCACGGCTGGGCCTCCAGGACCAGCACAACTTTGTCGGTTCCCCTGCAAAGGACACCCCGGATGCCTCCAGCCATGCAAAAAGCATTAATTAAGTACCTTCTGAATGCAGATGTTGGGACTGTTTAGGTCAAGGGGTGTGAAGGAAGATGCTGGCATGGCAGAGTTGAAGAGAATGTCCCGGCTCTGCCATTGTCTGTGTGACCCATGGCCACTCACCCAACCCCCTCTAAGCCTCAGCGTCCCCGTCCATCAAATGTGAGGATTAAATGAGACACATACAAAGAAACCCGGAGCTTTGGGAACACTCAGCAAGGACTAATAAGGACGAGGTTGCCACTCTCACGGGGTCCTGTCCCCTGTACATCCCACCCTGGGTTTTCCTCTTTCTCTACTGCAAATCTCTTTGCACAAAAGCCCACCCAGCAGGCCCCAGACCTGCTCCCCACCCAGAGGCCTATGACAGCCTAGCCCTAGAGCTCACTAAATCATCTCCCTTCCCTGAGGGGCCCTATCCCCGTCCTCCTCTTCCAGGGGCCAAGTTCTTTACCTGTTCCTGATGTGAACCCATTTTCAGGAGAGGAGGTGACAAACTCAGCACTCAAAAGGCAATGGTGGAGCCCAATGGATTACCTACGCCGACAGGGACAAACTCTCAAGTCAAAGGAATGATTCTCTAATGGTGGAATGTCAAGCTGAATATTTTTTGACTTAACAGAGAGCTGGGAACCCATCATGAGAAAAACAGAAAACTCTTTCTTTTTTTTTTTTTTTGGCTAGAAGGGTTTTATTTGTTTATCGTTTCTAGTAAGTCACAAAGACGCATAACCTCCAAAGGGAAAACTTATGCCACTGAAAATGTCAACACAGCACAGAGGGGCCCTGCCCATCCCACAGAGGCCATGCAGTTGGGACTTTGCCTACCCCCTCTGGGCCTCACTCCCTGTCCTAGCCTGCCTGAGAGAGTGCCATCCTCCCCTTTATTGACGGGGAAACCAAGGCTTAGGGAGGAAAGCGACTGGCCCAGGCCGGGCATCCAGTTGAAGGACTAAGCTGGTCCCATCTGACACTGACCTATGCTGGGCCCCCAAGGACAGGACCGAACAGATCCCAGAGAGAGAACCCTGTGGACAGAAAAGGCTAGCTGGACCCACACCCTCCCGAGGGAGACCAGGACAGTGGGAGAGAGAACTGACGCAGCCTCCTGGAGACCCTGGTCCCCCGCCCTGGTCCCCCCACCCTCCCGGCTGAATCCCCAGCCCCCTAAGCCCCGGCCCATCGCCACTTCCACGAGCACAACTCCCAGATTCTCCTTCACTGACCTCCTTCCACAGGAGGTCAGCAATTTCTCATTTCCCTGCTTCACCAACTCCATTTTCCAAAGTGATTGAGACTCTAACACCATTAAACATGATTTAATTTGCTTTTCCTAATGATATGCCCACAGTATTAGGACAGCTCTCCTTTTCCACTTGAAAGGCATCTCAGGGTGGTTTCCTCCAGTGACATTAATAGGGAAACCGTCGGAAATGCTAAAGAGGACTCGGTGCCTCCAGCTCGGCTAGAAACTATTTTTAAACAAAGGAGCGCACTCTCTGCGGCGGCAGAAAAGCGAACCAGAGAGCAGGAAGGCGGCGCTGGCTCCGAGCCTTGTGTCTGCATTTCCCGCACTTTCATCTGCTGGTCCGGACCCAGGCCCAGCTGCTAGCCCGGGCTACCACCACCACCAGGAAACACTCAGAAACCCAGGCCAGGGGCCCTGGAAAGGCGGCAGACTCCTTCTCGGTGGCACCCATTGTAAGAGTCAGCCTGGAATCTCTGAGCCCCAACTAGTGCCAGGACAGTGCCAAGTCCTTCACGGCAGCTCATTCGTTCCTGCCTCACAACTCCACGTGGCTGATACTGTTATGTCCATTTCGTGGGTAAGAAAGCTGAGGCCCACAGAGTCATGTAGCATGCCCGAGGTCGCGCCTTTAATAAACACACAGGCAGACCTCAAATCCAGGCCCATCTGAGTCCAAAAGTCCCATTCTCAACCCCTGGGCTCCTAAGCCTCCCAAGAAGCAGCCGCCATGTGTGTGTGTGTGTTTGTTTGTTTGTTTGTTTGTTTTGAGACAGAGTCTTGTTCTGTCGCCCAGGCTGAAGTGCAGTGGTGCGATCTCGGCTCACTGCAACCTCCGCCTCCTGGGTTCAAGCGATTCCCCTACCTCAGCCTCCCAAGTAGCTGGGATTACAGGCGTGCACCACCACACCAGGCTAATTTTGTATTTTTAGTAGAGACGGGGTTTCACCATGTTGTCCAGGCTGGTCTCGAACTCCTGACCTTGTGATCCTCCCACCTCGGCCTCCCAAAGTGCTGGGATTACAGGTGAGAGCTACCACCCCCGGCCGCCACCATGTTTTTAAAGACTTCCCCACATCCCATCCTCACACTTTCTTCACTGACCTAGCTCCGCCCTCTCCATCAGGCCTGGCTCTGCCCACAGCCTCTCCACGCACCCCCTCACTGCTGTGCCCTGGCACCTCTGACACTCCCCAACCACTGAAAGGTAAAATCACAACTGCCTGCTGTCCTGGAAGCTTCTCTGGGGCTGGCACCTGAGTTTCACAGCAATCCTGCTAAGCTGGCACTTGTGGGAAAATAGAGGCTCAGAAAGGCTGGAGACTCTTAGGGCCCCACCGGGCTTTGAAACCAGATCCTGGGAGCTGCAGACCATAATCTCTGCTTCACTGGGTGGGGCCTCCTCACTGGACAGCCCTGGGTGAGGGGTTCCAGGAGCCCAGGTGTCCCGGCTCCCAGCCCAGGGACTCACTGTCCCCCGGGGCCAGGTCGGCTGGCAATTTCTAGGCTGTTCTAAGCCACGGGTCAAGGGCTGCCCACTCAGCAAGGGAAGCCACCAGGACACCGGGTTTTTCCTGAACATTCCTCCCATCTTGGGAGAGAAAAGATGCTCAGCCACTTTTGCCACCAGCTCAAATATTTCAGTCTCAGATCAGAGAGGAATGTAAGCCGGAAACAGCGCAGAGAGTGGGGCCAGATGGACGTGGCCAGTCTCAGGGGAGCAACACAAACAGCGCATTCTTGGCATCCGTGAGGCAGAGACATGGAAGATGGAAGGTCCCCGCTGCCCCGACTGTCCCTGCCGCCCCGGCCACCCCTGCCTCACCCACCACCCAACCGCATGTCCTCCGCGGAGCCCAGAGTCAGTTCTGCTGGACATACAGCGGCGGACCCAAGGCTGCTTTCCACGTTGCCCAGTCCTGCTCTGCCAGGCCCCAGGCATCAGTCAGCACCTGTTCTCTGCGCTGAGCCACGTGCCAGGAGGCCAGACAGGCCTGGGCGTGGGCCCCAGTGTGGACCCCATCCTCCAGCTGCACGGGGAACTGACAGGTACTCCCTCTTACCGCACACCGAGAACCAGGCCTCACTCACTCCTGCACATGCAGCCAGCAGACAGCTCAGCAGGTAGAGGGATCTGCCATCAAAGGCAGAGCTGAGAGCCTCCTTCTAGTCAGCCCCAGAAAGGCCTAGATGGAGGCCAAGGGCCAGGAGAGAGAGTCCGGGCTCTGCCTCCAGTCCACAAAGGGCCACGAAGCAGCCCTGGCCCTCACCAGGCCTCAGTGTCCCCACTGCACAGCAGTGCAAGACAGCTGAGGGCGCTTTTCGCCAGCCATGTGAGCACCTGTGCCTCTCCCTGCAGGCTGGGGCAATCCAGGGTGGCTTCATAGAAGAGGCGGTGCTGGGCTGGCCCAGAACCACACCACTGGATCACTCACTGAAAGCCCATGGTCATTAGGCAGAGGTGTCCAGTGCCCCCTCCACCTGCCCAGCTGGCCTGGGAGGCCTGAGCACTGAGGTCCCTGAGGCCACATGGAAAAGCGTCGCTGATACCAGCAGGGGAGGTGCCCCCTCCCCAGGTGTCCCTCCCTCTGAGCGCCCCACAGACCCATCCAGGACCAGGTCCCGCCCACCCCTAGGCCCCGTCACACAGAGGAGGCTTGGCTCAGCTGCTCGGCTCAAGGCGGGGGATGCTGTCTGTCACTGTCTCCCCACAGCAGGCCAGTGCTGGGCAACATACTGGCCGCCTGCTGCTGCGGCTGCCTGACGACACGGGGCCGCACCTCCACTAGTGAAAGGGGCCCCAACTGAGGTCCCTGAAGGTCATGTCCCAGGAGTCTCCAAGCACCCTGAACATCCCCAAAAGTCTAACTCATACCCCTCGGCCCACCCGCTTCCTGGCTGGCCCTGAGTGCCCTCCGTGGGGGGCCCTGCTATCGTGCGGGATCAGAAACTCTAATTGGGGATATAGCTCATAATTAGTCTTTGATTAATTAAAAAATGAGAAAACCAATTACTTAATAAATGTCGTTGGCTTAATATGCATAATCTCTGAAGCCGTGCAGCCCTGAGAGGGGAAGGCAGGCTATTCAGAGGAGTCCTTGGAGGGGAGACGGCGGGGGATACAGAGTCAGCCCACTTCCCTCCGCCTGCTGTCTCAGACACCAGAGAGTCCCCACCAGATGACAGCTCTGTGCGTGCCGGAGTGTGGGCTCTGCTCCCTTACCACTCCACCCCTGCACCTGGCCATGGCAGGAGCGCCATGTTTGCTGAATGAATGAATGAACACATGAGTGAATGAATGGCTTCTTCTTCAGACCACTGAACGTCCACAGGCCAGGTATGGTGGCTCACATCTGTCATCTCAGCACTTCAGGAGGCAGAGATGGGAGGACTGACTGGGGCCAGGAGACCAGCCTGGGCAACACAGCAAGACCCTATCTCTATTTTTCAAAAACAGTAATAAAAAAAGAAAGAAAGTTGTGTCTCACTCGAAGAAACCCAGCTTCCCAGTGCCTCTCCCTGCAGCCTCTCCCTGTGCCTCTCCCTGCAGGCTGGGGAAAGAAACTCTAATTGGGGATATAGTTCATAATTAGTCTTTGATTAAACCATGTCCCTCATAAGGGGTTAATATCCACAATATGTAAAGAACTCCTACAATAAGCCCAGATACGGCCCAGGCCCTGCTCCCCTGACCAAGTGCTCTCAGCAGCCTCTGCAGTGTGGAGGGGCTCGGCCACACACAAGGACCCCTAGCCTAAGCAAGTATAAGAAATCAACCGCGGATGAACTTGAGTTTCAGCAGAGCCCCATCCGTCATGGAAACGAACCGTCACAGTGGTTCTAATTGTGCTGGATGCGAGTGTGGTTCTGATCGTGATGGGACTGGAAGCGAGGGTGGTTCTAATCCCGTTGATGGGCAGTAGTCAGCCTGCTTGCTTCCCGGCACCGGCAGGGCGAGTGGGCCAGCTAATGGCGCACGCACAGGTGTGTTTGGCTGGTGCAGACGCCATGCATGCAGGCACGGGATGGGCCCCGCCTGCTGGACCCCAAGCCCACGCTGTTAGGGGGACCCGGACCCGGCTCCCTCTGCTTTGTTTGCCAGGTGGCAGCGGGAAGCTTCTCCAGCCCAGTCTTGGGAGGTGGTGGGGCAGCACCCACCTGCTATGCCTGGCTGGGCTAGGAGAAGGAACCCTGCCCTGCAGAAGTCCTCCCTCTGGCTCTGTCATAGCCGTGACCCCAGAGCGTCTACCTGCCTGGGCTTCACATACCCAGGAAGGGGCTTGACACCCACGGGGAAGCAGATGTGCCCAGTGGACCAAGGGGCCTGGTGATGATGATGCCAGAGTGGGGCAATTTAAATGTAGGGGCACGGGGCAGAAAAGAGCTGGGCTTGGCGGGGCAGCCCCTTCACAGTGAGCAGCTGACCTGGTCATCTGTGAGCATTTACCTTCCTGCCCATCAGGTGATGGCTTCTGGCTGCCAACCCGCAGGCTGTATATTATGAACCAAACACTTGTCCTCAGGTACGTGGCTGAGTGACTTCTCACAAAGATTCCAAGGCCATTCAGTGGGAAAGAATCATCGTTCCAACACATGGTGCTGGGAAAACTGGACAGCTATATGTAAGAGGATGCAGGTGGATCCTTATCTTACACCATATACAAAAATTAAATTAAGGCAAAATGGATCAAAGACCTAAACATAAGAGCTAAAACTATAAAACTCTTAGACAAAAACATAGGGGAAAAGTTTCATGACATTGGATTTGCAATCATTTATTGATATAACCCCACAGCACCGGCAACAAAAACGAAAACAGACAAATGAGACTACATCAGACTCTAAAACTTCTGCCCAGCAAAAGAACTTATCCACAGGGTGAAAGGCAATCTACTGAATAGAAGCAAATATTTGCAAACCATGTCTCTCATAAGGGGTTAATATCCACAATATGTAAAGAACTCCTACAACTCAACAACAACAAAATCTGATTTTAAAGTGGGCAAAAGACTTGAATAGATATTCCTCCAAAGATGATGTAAACCTGGTCAACAAGCACATGAAAACATGCTCAACATCACTAATCATTCGGGGATACAAAGCAAAACCACAATGAGCTTCAGACCTAGGCAGAGGACGGCTATTACCAAACAAACAAAAAGACACGTGTTGGTGAAGATGTGGAGAAATGGGAGCCCCGCTCACAGCTGGTGGTCATGGAAAATGGTGACGCCACTGGGGAGAACAGTACGGAGTTTCCTCAAAAAATTAGACATAGAACTACTATGCGATATGATCCACCAATTCCACTTCTGGGTATATAGCCAGAAGAATTCAAAGCAATGCAGCCAACAGACACATGAGAAAATGCTCATCGTCACTGGTCACGAGAGAAACGCAAATCAAAACCACAATGAGATACCATCTCACACCAGTTAGAATGGTGATCATTAAAAAGTCAGGAAACAATACATGCTGGAGAGGATGTGGAGAAATAGGAACGCTTTTACACTGTTGGTGGGAGTGTAAATTGGTTCAACCATTGTGGAAGACTGTGGCGATTCCTCAAGGATCTAGAACTAGAAATACCATTTGACCCAGCCATCCCATTACTGGGTATATACTCAAAGGATTATAAATCATGCTACTATAAAGACACATGCACATGTATATTTATTGCGGCACTATTCACAATAGCAAGGACTTGGAACCAACCCAAATGTCCACCAATGATAGACTGGATTAAGAAAATGTGGCACATATATACCATGGAATACTATGCAGCCATAAAAAAGGATGAGTTCATGTCCTTTGCAAGGACATGGATGAAGCTGGAAACCATCATTCTCAGCAAACTATCACAAAGACAGAAAACCAAACACTGCATGTTCTCACTCATAGGTGGGAATTGAACAATGAGAACACTTGGACACAGGGCAGGGAACATCACATACTGCAGCCTGTCGGGGGGTGGGGGACTAGGGGAGGGAGAGCATTAGGAGAAATATCTCATGTAAATGATGAGTTGATGGGTGTAGCAAACCAACAGGCACATGTATACCTATGTATCAAACCTGCAGATTGTGCACATGTACCCTAAAACTTAAAGTATAATTTTTAAAAAAAGAATTCAAAGCAGGGTCTTGAAGGCATTATTTATTTTTATTTTCATTTTTTTGAGACAGTCTCGCTCTGTTGCCCGGGCTGGAAGTGCAGTGGTATATCTCTGCTCACCGCAACCTCCAATTCCCGGGTTCAAGCCATCCTCCTGCCTTAGCCTCCCGAGTAGCTGGGGTAGACTACAGTTATGCACCACCACACCCAGCTAATTTTTGTATTTTTAGTAGAGATGGGGTTTTGCCATATTGGCCAGGCTGGTCTCGAACTCCTGGCCTCAAGTGATCCACTGGCCTCGGCCTCCCAAAGTGCCGGGATTACAGGCTTGAGCCACCACAGCGCCTGGCCCTTATTATTTGTGCTACAGTTAACAATAGCAGTAATCACAACAGCCCCCAGCCTCACCTCATCCACGGCTCCAATCTGTACACTAAGTCACCTACACTGCAGCAGGCCTGCCCCTGAGCTCAGACAAGAACACGTCCACTAGGAGGCCAGTCACCACCAGCTCTTCCCTCAAGAGGAACAGCCTTCAGGGTCCAAGGGGCAATGTCAGCTCCTGGGATCCTCATGGTGATGGTCTCCTGAGCCCTGGAAGGGAGGGGGCCTATGGGCCAGAGGGCTCAGGACTAAATGACCATGAATATTCACAGGAGCCGAAGGTGAAAACAGCCCAGTGTCCACCAACAGGTGCATAGATGGACAAGCTGTGGTCGATCCAAACAGTAAAATATGATTCAGTCACAAAAAGGAATGACCCACTGGCGGCTTCCACAGCGCAGGTGAAACCTGAAACTTCACGCTCAGTGCAAGAAGCCGACGCTAAAGGCCACATATTGTAGGATTCCACTTATATGAAATGTCCAGAACAGGCAAATCCACAGAAACAGAAAATGCATTAGTAGTTACCAGGAACTGGTGGATGGGGCAAGAGGAAATGGGATTTTGTTTCAGGGTGATGAAAAAATTCCAGAACAAGACAGAGGGGATGGTTGTACAACACTGGGAATCTGTTCGATGCTGCTGAAATGCACACTTTAAAATGGTAACTCTTATGTTATTTTATCACAATAATTTTTTCTTCCCCCCACCGGAGACAGGGTCTCGCTCTGTTGCCCAGACTGGAGTGCAGTGGCACAATCTTGGGACACTGCAACCTCCGCCTCCCGGGCTCAAGCAATTCTTCTGCCTCAGCTTCCCAAGTAGCTGGGATTACAGGTGGGTGCCACTACATCCTGCTAATTTTTTGTATTTTTAGTACAGACGGGGTTTCACCACGTTGTCCAAGCTGGTCTTAAACTCCTGAGCTCAGGCAATCCACCTGCCTCGGCTTCCCAAAGTGCTGGGATTACAGGCATGAGCCACTGTACCTGGTCACAGTAATGTTTTTTAAAGATTGAGAATCAAAAGGATCACCCAGGGCTCCAGCCCCAAAGTCCCCAGGGGCAGAGTGGCCAAGGAATCTGCATGTTTCGCCACTGCCCTTGCTGCTGGGGATCTGGGAAGCCCAGCAAGTTCACAGCCACACACTTTGTCATTCCAGAGCCGCTGCCTTCCCCAGCCCTAAGGGCCTGACCCCACAGCTGATGCCTGGTACCAGGCTGGCCGCCCACTCCTATCTACCTTCAAAAAACCAGTACTCCTGGAGAAAGGTCTTCCAGGGTGCCAAGAAATGACACTTCGTTATAATTAATTACTTACACTTTGGTATTTTTTTTTCTTTTCTCCTTCTTGGTCTCATTTGGCTTTTTTGCTGCAAACATCAAATTGTCAGGCTCCAACAGACACAATTAATGTCTTGGGGGCACTGGGGAGAAACAATTAACCATTTAAAACTTAATTAACTGTGGACATGGACCAAAAAAAAAAAAAAAAAAAAAAAAAAAAGCATGCACCAGTTGCACCAGGACCAGCTAAGAAAATGCAAGCTCTCAGCCAACGGGGTGGGGACTCACAGGAAAGAGAAGTGACAAAGACCCACCCAAGAGGTCATCCAGCCAGTCCAACCAAATGGATTGATTCCCAGATGGGGAAACTGAGGCCCAGGGAGTAGAGCAGTGACCAGTCCACGTACAATGAGAAACAATGGCAGGGCCTGAGCACACCTCCTCTGCTCCTAGTGCGTCCTGAAGCGTGGGCTGCTGCCACCACTGCCACCCAGAGGCCCCTCTTCCCAGAGCCAAGTCCTAAGAGGGAAGGGAGACAACAGGTGGGCATCACTCCCCAGGGCGCCAGCCCCCGGCAGCCCAGCAGGTGCTAAGTTATTATTACTAATTCCAACAACCTGGCTTGCAGCTTTAGATCGTGGGTCTCCCTTCTGAAAACCCCAGGATAGCACCCCAAATCTCTCTGGTAGGGCTCTCTGGCACTGCCCTAGCTCCTGCCCCTCCCAGTCTCCTACTCCAAGCAGACCTCCCTTCTAAACCTGAGCAGGCCAGGCCACCGCCACCAGCCTCTGGACCTTTGCACATGCTGCCCCTGAGACCTCCCATACCACCACCTTCACCTGGTGAACTGCAGCTCACATCTCGAACCCCAGCACCTCCTCCAGGAAGCCCTCCTTGACTAGCTCAACTGTCTAACACACCTCTGCCCACCAAAGTCCCTGTCACTCTGCACAGTAGGCAGTGGCCCCTGGCTCCCTGTCTTCCCAGGCTCCGATCATCTGAGGCTGCATGTCCTGGCACCAGCTGAGCTAAGCAGAGCACACAGAAGCAGAGAGGACCACCCTCCTGGCAACAGCCCCACTGTGGAGGGATGGGGAGGCCCAGCACCAGCCCTGGCCACAACTATAGCAACTCCCCAAACCTCAGCCATCTCAGAAAAATCAATGCAATTCTGCAAACACCGGGCAGCCTGTCACAGACACCCGCAGCACTTCTGCAGGTGCCCACCCAGCATCCAGTCCTTGCTTTACTCAGGCTGAGTCCCCCCCTACACATGCTCTTATCAGGACCTACCTTACCAGTGGTGGCAAGAACAAGGCAGGCTTCTGGAAAGCACCCCTCAGCTATTGTGCTCTCTCCTCTTTCTGGGGACACGAAACCTGAGACCAGCTAGCCCAGGAGTGGGAAACCCCTGGCACATGTACCCATGCTCTCATACCACACCCACGGCAGACAACGCTAATCAATGGCTGAGCCTCGGGACCCTTCTCAGCTGAGCCCTCCAGTCAGCCACTACCAATCGATCAGGATTAACCAAGTCTTCAATTAGGCTCCTACCTCCACTGATGTAGTAGGCACAGGGAAGAGATGGGAGGCCACCCACGGTCAGAGAACACAGCAGAGGCTCAGCCCAGAGGCTCTTGTCCCGATTCCACGGGGCAGTCTTTTCAACAAATAGGGCTGGGAAAACTGGATATCCATGTGCTAGGTGGCCCGTGGGGCCTGGCATTCACTGAAACACTGCTCTTGAGGTCTTGGCCACACACCCACACCCAGCACCCCAACTCACCCCCTGCACCCTTGCCTTTCTGTCTGGAGTTGGCCCCACTCCAAGCGGCCCCCAGATCCTCCCCTCTGCGTTTATCACTCTGGTTTCTATTCCTTCACCCCTCAGCCTTCTATAAAAAGCCAACAGTAATGACCCTCAAGCAGGTACAAGTTCCCAACCTGGCACCACATTTCCTGGCACAGGAGCAAGAATCCCTACCTCACACCACTGGCATGGAGATCAAGGGATCCACTCATGGGCCAAGGCCGCTCCCAGAGCTTGAACTCAGGTCTTGAAATCACAGCCTCCTAGGATCCTGTGAGCAGGGTTGAGGCAAAGACCCATAGGCTTCCTGGCCTGGCGCGCCAGGCTCAGCCACCTCACATGAAGCACAGTGGGCTGAGCCTGACCTCCAGGCACGCAGCTCATCAGACCTGTAGGGACTCGGCTACCAAAATTGAACCACCCTCCACCCTTGTCCAGTGTGAAGTTAATGACGGGCATGGCTCCCGCCTGGAAAGGAAAGCAGAGAAAAACCTCTCCCATCCCCAGTTATAAAACGGCGGGTCAGCATCCGATGGGCTTACCGACTCCGTGTGTGTGTGTGTGTGTGCGTGCATGTGTGTATGTCTGTGTGTGTGCGTGCATGTGTGTGTCTGTGCCCATGTGCAGCATATCTGGTTGTCAAGTTCATCTGAAAGTGGGTGGGTGAATAACGTCCTGAAATGACAACAACTAGCAGATAAAAGAGGAAATGTTTTCAAGCAGAAACTCTGAAGGCCTTTGCCAACAGCCCCTGCGCCGGGCTCTGCCGGGAGCCTGAGGCAGCTCCCCACCCCAGCGAGGAGCGACTGCATTTTAATAAGTAATTAGTGTGGAGTGGATGCTGCTACAAAGACTAGCACGTCTCACTGCCAGCATTAAGGCAGGGAGTGCAAATGAACTCACCGCAGCATTAGCATCTCAGAGTCATCAGACCGACTGGCAGAAAGGCCTCGGGTGAGCACAGAGTCTTCTGCACTCAGCAAATTAATGAACAAATACGAAGAGGAAATGAACAAACACATGCAGCCTCGGGGCCTGGGTGTGGAGATAAGGGGTGCTGGATCAATACCCCAAGGTTACTGCTGTGTTCTCCCCTGGCCAGACAGAGCCTGCGGGACACATTCATCAACGCAGATGTAAAATGGAGAAATCAATGACATGGCTGAGACGGCATCTGGATACACTTGTCCAGCCCCAGACGCAGGGCAGGTGGATGGTGGGTGTGGGGCAGGATACACTGGCCGGGTGAGGCTGGCACTCCAGGCCACTGGAATGGCCATCAGATGCACCCCTGCCCACTGCCAGGGTCATCACCCACGTGCTCAAACGCGGCTGGTACAATCACAGCACCACTCCCAGGAGCTTCCTCACGAGACCCAGCCCATGAAAACAGGCAGCGGCACCATCTGGAATCTCCCGCCCACAGCCCTCGGCATGGGGGAGGCAAATCTTTAGACCCATTTTACAGATGGGGAAATGACAGCTGCGAGACCTGAAGCAACCTGTGGGACAAACTGGGTCCTGATGACGGCCTGATCCTCGGCATCACAACCTGTCCCCAGCCCTCAATGGTGTCTTCGTGGGTCCACTCTCACCTGGCCCCAGAAGCACCAGCAGTCTCCCACCTGAGCCCTCAAGTTCAAGTCCGGACAGTGGTGGGTGGGTTTGTGGTGGGGGAAGGGGCAATGGCAGGGGTTGTGGCAACAACCGGGGAGCAGATGGGAAGTCCAGGGTGACAAACTGGGGTCCCCCATTGTGCCAGCTCCTGGTGACTGCCAGGTGCTAGGGTGCTGGGGTGCTGTGCTGACAGGTGGGAGGTGCCAGGATGGATTCGAGGTGCCTGCCCTGGCTCAGGTGGATAGAGTGACAGCACATGCCAGGAGGTTCCACGGGGGTAGGGGGACCCAAGGCTGATAGACAAGGGTCCCAGGCAGAAGAGGAGAGGAATAGAAGTGGTGAGGGAGGGGTCTTACTCCAGCAAGGAGGAAGGGCCCCTCTGCCTGCACGCAAAAGCCAAGGGGCCTCTCAGCTGCTGACAAACCCAGGGCCAGAGGGACTGGGATGACCACAGCTGCCCGTCCATCATCTGCAGCAGGTGCACAGCCGACTCCCTCATCCTGGACGTAGTGATGCGGCCTGTCCCCACCACCAGCGACCCCAGTGGCCTGTCCCCACTGCCAGTGCCCCCAGCGGCCTGTCCCCACCGCCAGTGTCCCCAGGCCCAACTCAAAGGAGGCAGGTTTCCTCAGCTGTGACGGATCAATGGTTTCCAACTATGTTTTTACCCTCTTCAGAACCCTTTTTTTAAGCAAAATGTCAGCAAAATGCCACATAAAAAACAGATAAAAGTGGAGCTATTCCGATTCAGCAGGGCCCTGCCCTCCCTTCCTCCTCCCAGCCTCTTGAGAAGGCCCAGAGTGGTCTGAGATTCTCAGCTGAAGGGAACCATCCGTACCTGCACTGACGCCGTCAGCACCGACACCGGTGGTCATTGCACTGCATCCTCTATAGACTGCTGGTCAGCGCCCTCCCCTCCAGGGTCAGGCCTTTTACTTCCTCTCCCCAGACAGCCCCACCGGCCTCCACTCTGCCTCCTGGCCTCCTCTCTGCCTCCCGGCATCCTCACTGCCTCCCGGCCTCTTCACTACCCTCCCTGCCTCCACCCTGCCTCCTGGCCTCCTCACTCCCTCCTGGCATCCACACTGCCTCCCAGCAGCCTTGCTGCCTCCTGGCCTCTTCACTACCCTCCCTGCCTCCTTGCTGCCTCCTGGCCTCCACACTGGCTCCTAGCATCCTCACTGTCCTCCGGCATCCTCATTGCCTCTTGGCCTCTTCACTGCCACCCGGCCTCCTCTCTGCCTCCCGGCATCCTGGCCGTCTTCCGTGCGCCTTCCATACAGACAACTGTGCTGCGTGCAACAGCTGCCTTGCTAGTCAGAGGGAAGAGGGCACAGCCGAGCAGATAAAAACGGGGCCCCTGTCATCAGCAGGACCTGAGGATGCCCCCAGCTCCACTGTACCGCAGAGCACACGTGAGATGCATCTTCTCTGTGCCTGTTTCCTTCCTCACTTCTTAAGGTCCCTGCAGGGTGCAGGTGCTCGTGGACATAAAGGTCCAGTAGCCACAAGTGATTACTCCCGTGGAGGAGGGAGGGGCAGCAGGAGAGGCCGGCACTCAGGTGACCGGTGGTGTGCGTCCAGCGTCGCCAGCTGGCACTTCAGAATCTGTAAGCAGCCATGGAGCCACCCCCAGACAGTGCTGAGAGCCAGTTTTAACTGCCTCAGAAGTCTCTGAGCCTCCCAAAATGCTTTAATGAATAATAAATAGGAGAATTAAGCCCGTTTATTGGAAGGTGCGCGCTGCTCTTTAACTCGAGCAAGAGAAGCGGCCTAGCGATTTCCTCTGGGAAGGTTCATTCCGCCCCGAGTGAGGCTGGAGTGAAGTGCACTGCCCAGCCAGCACCGCGGGTTCCTGGGGCCAGGCAGGGTGGCCTGGGCTGGGACACCAGAGAAGCAGCATCAGACTTCACTCGGAAACCTGTCCCCGCACAGGGCAAGGTGCCATCAGGGCAGGCCCTGCTGGGCCAGAGCTGAGTAAGGGCCTGCAGGAGAGCGGGAAGGCACCAGCAGCTCTGGGGAGAACCTTCCAGGCAGGGGGCAGCCAGAGAGCCCAGCAGCAGGAGGGGCTGAAGCAGCTCCACAGCAGCGAGGGGGAGCAAGGGGCAGGGACCAGGGAGGACAGAGCTTTCCCTCTGACAACCAGAAGCACCTGCGCCCAGGGGGCCCCCCTCCTGCAGGCAGGGAGCACCCTGTGCTGCTCAGGAGAAACACGTCCTTCCCTCTTCCCTTCTCCCCTCCTTTCTTCCCTCCCTTCTGCCCAGCTGCCTTCCCTGTCCTCTGCCCAGAAGTGCAGCCCTCACCTCCTGAACGAGTCTGTCCCTTTGTCCCCTGACCTAGGGTGCAAGTGCACACTGTCAATGGCAACTATCCCCACAAAGGGAGAGAGCAACAGCATCCTCATCACGCTCTGCTCACCCCGCTCCAGCCCTAACAAAGAGCTGCCTGTGACCCGGTGCCCAGGAGGCTCTGATCAACAGGGGAAGCGGGACCACTGTCCTCACGTCACAGGAGAGGACATCAGGCTCAGGGAAAGCCACCTGCCCAGGGCCCCGCGAAGGAGCTGGACGGATCCCAATGACAATGCCATGACCAGGCACCTGGGGAGGGAGGACAGCGAGGGTTTGAGGACCCAAGAAACTCACAGCCATGTTACCGTGCACCAGTTGCTTAGGTGGGGATAACACAGGCGACACCACGGCACATGGTAAACAGTCAGTGCGCTGCCGGGGTGCCTTCCTTCCCTCCCGCAGACCTGTGCTCAGTCCCAGCTCGCAATGAGATCAGAGTCCCTACGGTCGGAACTATCATGATCTGCAGAGTCCAGGGACCAGAATCTCAGAAGCAAGCCACAGAAACCCCGCAGCCTCACCAGAATCCTCCCTCCAAATGCCCGACCGGATTCCAAGCTGGGGCAAACCAGCCCCTGGAAGAAGCCGCCAGAGCTGGCGACCCATGGGCTTCTCCACACTCCTTCCCAGCTGGGCAACTGGACAAACCGCCCAGACACAGGGCACAGAGGAAAACAGGAAAGGATCTACAGGCCGTGGCGGGGAGCAGGGCCAACGGCTCCCATCAGCAAGGGCTGCGGACTCACCCTTCACGCTCGGCCATAACTCGGCCCCAGCACGCCCACCCCGGGCAGCACAGGAAGCCGGACACAACTTATTTGAGCCAAAACCTAATCTCTTTAATGCAACCCTTTGAAAAAAATACCAGGAAAGCAGCCAGAAGAGAAACACTTCCGGAATAAACCTTCTGGATCCTTTAGTTCCTACTGGAACTTGCGGGGTGAGTGAAGAGGAAGAAAATGCTAATAAAAATGACTAGGACCTGCCGTTCATTTTTTCACCGAGTCCTTTACAGCAACACCTCCAAGGGGACAGTCTCAAGCTTCATTTGATCCCTGCAGAAACAAAGGCTCAACGAGACCAAGTATCTACAGAGTCCAACTCGCGTCCAGGTCTGACGGAAGCTTTGCTCTCACCCGCCTGCCTCCTCCAGGGCCCGCCTGGCTCCACCGAGCCTGGATGAGAGGAGGCACCAGAAGGCAGGTGCAGTGGACCACCTGGCAGGCTTCCCAGGGCTCCAAAACCTGGAGGGTTTCCAGGGGTCCATCTGCCTGCTGCCCAGGTCTCCCCAGGTGGCAGGGGCCAGGAGCAGAGGGAACCAGGCTGACTCATGGTGGGTCCCCTCCCAATGCTCCTCCTGGGTTAAGGAAACCCTCTACACCTGTCCCAAAGGGAAGGCAGAAGAAAAAACCCAAGGGCCAGTGGGCGGAGACCGCCCTTAAGCAGCAAGTGAGGGCCATGAGCAGGGAAAACACTGGTCAAACCAGCCTCCACATGGGGCCATCCCTGGGAGAGGGAGACAGTCTCATTCACGTTAGTGTCCCTTTAACACGTGGAATGATCCTTTCCATGATAAAATCACAGAGGAAAGACTCCAGTGTCCAAGGCTGATTGTGGGCCAGAGCCAGCAGGCCTCGGGGCCAAAGCTCCAGAGTTTTTACTTTCTCACTCCTCTCTCCTACCATTAATTGCTCAGCAGCTAATCTGAGGGTCCCTGTGAGGGCAAAGACTACGTGAGTCTCCTCATTTTAACTCCAGCATACTAAGTGCTTACTAAATACGTGGTAAATTATATGCTTAACAGAATGATAGATGGATGAATGAACTAATGAATGGGTGGATGAATGGTGGATGGATGGATGAATGGATGGGTGGATGGATGAATGGATGAGTGGATGGATGGATGGATGGATGGTGAATGGATGGATGAATGATGGACGAATGGATGAGTGGATGGATGGATGGATGGTGGATGGATGGATGGATGGTGGATGGATGGACAAATGGATGGGTGGAAGGACGAGTAAATGAGTGGGTGGATGGATGGATGGATGAATGGACGGATGGGTGGATGGGTGGACGGATGGATAGATGAATGATGGATGGATGGATGGATGGTGAGTGGGTGGATGGATGGATGGTGGATGAATGGATGAGTGGATGGATGAATGGATGGGTGGATGGGTGGATGGATGGACGGATGGTGGATGGATGAATGATGGATGAATGGATGAGTGGATGGATGGATGGATGGTGGATGGGTGGAAGGATGGGTGGATGGATGGATGGATGAATGATGGATGGATGGATGGGTGGATGGATGGATGGATGATGGGTGAATGGATGGATGGATGGATGGATGGTGGATGGATGGATGAATGGATGGAAGGATGGGTGAATGGGTGGGTAGATGGATGGATGGATGGATGGACGGATGGGTGGATGGGTAGATGGATGGACAGATGAATGATTGATGGATAGATGGATGGTGAGTGGATGAATGGCTGGATGGATGGATGATGGATAGATGGATGGATGGATGGATAAATGGATGGATGAGTGAATGAACGAATAAATGAATGCTTTTTGTCTTCCCAAGGAATGACTCCCACAACATGAGAGACTTGGGGAGCCGGGAGGCAGCTGTTTAGAAAATGAATGACAACAAACCCAGAGCCCAGACAAGATCTGAAACACCACAGACCTCCTTAAATAATAGGGGAAACGGCATTTCCTAAACCAGCCAGAGACACCAGCCAGCTGTGATGGTGAATTTTAGGTGTCAACTTGACTGGATGAAGGAACACCTGGAGAACCGGGGAAGCATTGTTTCTGGGTGTGGCTGTGCGGGTGTTTCCAGAGGAGACTGGCCTGTGAGCAGGTGAGGAGATGCCCTTCCTGTGGGCGGCACCATCCAAGCAGCTGGGAGCTCAGACAGAACAAAAAGCCAGAGAAAATGTGATTCCCTCTCCCTCTCCTGGAGCTGGGACTCTTGGTCTCCTGCCCCCAGACATCAGAACTCCAGGCTCTCCAGCCTTTGGTCTCCAAGACTTGCCCCACAGGTTCTCAGGCCTTTGGCCTTAGACTGAAGATCACACCATTGCTTCCCTGGTTCTGAGGCTTTGGGACTGGGGCCAAGCCCTGTCACCCCCGTTCCTGGGTCTCCACCTCGCAGAAAGCCTGCTGGGGGCCCTCCACCTCCACAGTCGCGAGAGCCGATGCTCCTAATCGGCCCCTCTTGTCTGCCTCTACCCGGCTGCTTCTGTCTCTCTGGTCTCTGGAGGGCCCTGACTAATGCGCCGGCCAGTCGGTCAGGCTCCTTTCAGCCCTGAATGCTGTGAATGTAAGTAGGAGCCGATCAGACAAGGAGTAAGAGAGTCAGCTCTGCCCCTGGTAGCCCTGGAGTCCCCAGCCCCACACCCCCTCGGTTACCCCTGACCAGCCCCACCCACCCCAGACGACAGTCAGTTCTGACTGCAGAGCTTTGTGTTCTGGGGAGAAACAGCTGCCACCCCCGTCCTGGGCAGGCCAAGGGTGGGAGGAACAGGGGGAGGGCACGCAGCCATATCTTCATGGTCTGAGGTTGCTGGAGGCCGCCGAGCTCATTTGGAATGGCCAGGGCGTCCCAACTGGGCTGAGCTCATGAATGACAAAAGATGAATCTGGACGTGTAGGAAACGCTCAGTAAATGCCCCGAAAAAATGAAAGGGGCATTCGCTCTTCATCTCTGTGGCCAGAGGGACCGATGCATGGAATGGCCAAGTAAGGAACCAGGCCTATCAGCCCCGCCCTCCACACCGGCTCCTTGTGGTCAACAAGCTGGGAGTCCGGGAGGCCAGAGACCAGCAGCCTCGGCAAGTCCCCTCCCTGCTCTGACCCTTCCTCCCCTCTGTCCACGGCAGGGACTGCAACAAATACGCCCCGGCCCAGCAAGAGGTCCCCAGGAGTCTGAGCACCTGGGCAGACCAGGCCGCAGGGAGGAGCTGGGCTTTTGCTTGTGTTTTGTTTTTCCAGAACACCTGTCCCGGAGAAGCCAGGAGGCGCTGGCAGAGCAGAACCGTCAGGCTCCAGACCGTGGTGAACGTCCCAGCTCCCCAGCCTCCGCTGGCCCCAGGCCAGACTCCATTTGGAAGTGCTGACCACAGCTTGACCACGGTAGGAAAAACATCCAGGGAAGGAAGCAAGCACCGCCACAGAGACAGGGCTGGCGGGGCCGAGGCCAGGCCCACGCTGAAGGGCAAGTGCGGGTTCCGGCTCCATTGCTCCCAAGTGTGCCAGCACCCAGCACACGGTCCCAGGGGGCCCGGTCCCCAGCCAGCTGTCCCTGACACACCACAGGCCACATTCACGCGGGCTCCAGGAGGCAAAGGGCATGGCTCAGATGCGGAGACCAGAAGCAGCAAGGCCCCAGAGTGGCGGGGCCCTGGGGCACGTGCGGTGCTGAGACCCTGCACACATGGCTTGACCCGCTCAAGGGAACTTTGAGGGTGGGAGTGTCACCGCCATTTTACAAATGGGACTTGGAGAAGCTGAGTCACTTGGGCGAGGCCGCACCCTGGGATGGCAGGGCTGGGACTCAAAGCCAGCCTGCCGGGGTCCAAGTCCATGTGCTCAGCCACCTGCTCTGTCTCCCAAAGGTGCAGCCATTGCGTCTTTTTTTTTTTTTTTTTTAAGACAGAGTCTCACTCTATCACTCAGGCTAAAGTGCAGTGGCGTGATCTCTGCTCACTCCAACCTTCACCTCCTGGGCTCAAGCAACTCTCCTGCCTCAGCCTCCCAAGTAGCTGGGATTACATACGCCCACCAGCACACCCAGCTGCTTTTTGTATTTTTATTAGAGACAGGGTTTCACCGTGTTGCCCAGACTGGTTTCGAACTCCTAACTTCAAATGATCCGCCCACCTCAGCCTTCCAAAGTGCTCAGGTTACAGGCGTGAGCCACCATGCCCGACCCAGCCATTGCATCTTTATGTATAAAATAGTGGAGAGAAAAACAGTAGGCACTGCCATCTGTGTGTGGAAGTCTGGACTTGTTTTAAGCGACCGGTGGGGGGCGGCAGGAGCAGCAACCTGCACTTCACAAACACCTCCTGTGGACCTCATCCAGTCTCCTCAGCTCAGCCCGGGGGTCTGCACGGTGACATCACCTCCATTCCCAGCACCCCACACCATGACTCATGGTCCAAACCCGCCGTCTACTCCCAGCTCCCCATGAGAGATGCCACAGCTTGGCCAGCACCACCACTGACCGCCACGGTGAGACATGGGGAGACCAGAGGCCAGCATGACAAGAAGCCCCTTCTGCAGCCCCTCAGAGCCGCAGCCGCCTCACTGGAAACCATGGACGATGACAAGGGCTGCCCATTTGCAAACTGCTTGGCCACACAGCTGGTAAGTTGAATAATGAGAGTTTAATCCAAATTTATGTACGTCTTACATCACTGCATTCCGCCATAGCAAATTAAAAGCAAAATGAAATTATATACTGAATACGCTGCATTTTAACTGTTGGCCAAGAAGTAGGTTTGGCCAGGGTTTTCCTGTATTTTTCTCTTTACAGTTATCATAAATACCAGTTGAGTGTCTAAGTATGTGTGTACATGTGAGACTGTGTGTGTGTGAATGTGTGTGATATGTCCGTGTTGGGGGGCTGTCCATGGATGTCTGTGTGAATGTGTATGGGTGACTGTATGTCTGTGAATGTGTGTGTGTTAAGTTGTGCATGTCTGGGTGTGGGTGTGAACATGGAAGACGGGTTCAAGTGTGTGTATGTGTGTTTGTGTGTGGTGTGTCCATGGATGTCTGTGTCAATGTGTGTGTGTGAGACTGTATGTCTGTGTGTGTGTGTATGTGAGCTGTGTGTGTCTGAGTGTGAGTGTGAACATGTGTGGGGTGGGTGCAAGAGTGTGTGCGTGTGAGTGTGTGTGCGCGTGTGAGAGTGTGTGTGAGAGTGTGTGTGTGTGTGTGTGTTCTGAAGGACCTTCACTAAGTCCAGAACCATCAGCCTCTCCATTACCCAGGGTGCTGCAGGCAAATTCATCTCTGCTGCTTGCAGGGAAGGAACAGGAGAGAGTTCCAACTCATTTCAAAACAAATCTGTAGGAATTGAGAAGCCACTTACAGGAAAGAAACAGGCCCAGGCCATTCAAGCCTCCCTGACTCCAGCCCAGCAGGCAAGCCCCTGGACAGCAGGACCCACAGGCCTCAACAGGGCATCAAACTCCCAGGCAGGTGCGCTGCTGCAGGGAGGGGGCTCAGTGAGTCATTTAAGGGACACAAACTTCTAAGGATTCGATGATTACACAGAGATGGGCTCATGAAGAGGTCCCCAGATCTCACGTCTGGAGAATTCCAGGAGCGAGGAAGGGAAGCGCCAAGCCTGGTGGCTCCGGGATCGCCCTTGTTCCAGGTCCTGACCTGAGGCCGTGCAGCACTTCCACACGCTCCTCTCAGAACCGACTTCTCAGCATGCGCCACTGCAAACCCAAATTCCCTCTGCGCCTCACAAATCATGTATTCACAGAGCATTTCCTTAGATACCAAGTCCCTGATAATGATGCTCAAATAAACCAGGCAGTAAATATCTTGTTACTTCCCATCAGCAGGTGGAAATCCATTCTCCCGGTGGTCCAGGAAGCAGTGTCTCCTAGAGGCAGCCCAACAGCAGGCGGGGGCCTGGGGCCTCCTCGGCCACCGTCAGCACCTCCGGCGTCCAGCCCCGAATCCATCAGGAAGCTATTGAGACCCTGATCCCATCCATTTAAAAAGAGTAACCGTGGAGCTGCTGGGCTCTGGAAGGCAGGTGGCCCCTGCGTCCCTCTGTACCCAGGCTCACCAGGAGGCCACCAATGAACTACAGCCTCCCAGGGCCTTTGCACCTGCCAGCCTCAGGGTCCCCTCATGTGCACCAGCCCGGCTCCTGCATGCAGGACTGGTGCCATGTGAGGCTTCCTGAGAACACAGAGACACTTCCCGGGGTCACCACTGGAGAATACCCCCTCTTTGCCCAATACCTTCCCAGAGTCAGAGACAGTTCTGCTTGTCCCGGGGTAACCGAGATAATCCATTTACAGAGCACACAGTAGGCGCTTTCCCCTCCTCATCTCCCCAGCCCCTTAGGAGGTGGTACTAACTTCGACCCATTCTCAGAGGAAGAATCAAGATTCAGGGCAGGAGGTAAATGCTCAGCATCCCCTGGCTAGAACCACAGGGCCAGGGTTGTCTGCACTCTGCTCTTCCCCCACCCGCCTGAATTCGTCACGCCTGGCCTCACCATGACTGGAGAGAGAAAGGGGCCATCCCGTTGTCCCAGCCCCGACACACAAATCTGGCTTTCACACCTTCCTGTTTGTAACAGGACCTGCCTGCACCTCCCGGACATGAGGGTGCAGAAATCCACTGGCTCTGTGTTGGAGCCAATCAGGCTGCTCCATGGATCTGGCCCACCTGCCGCTGAGCCGGCAAATCGGCCACCACAGCTGAGCGACCGAGGCTGGAGAGAGTGACTGCTCACCTTTCCAAAGTCTCGCACATCGAAGAGGTCAAAGGGGTCAAACAGCTCGCTGTTCCTTAATCCAAATTTATCGTGGCAGACTTTCAGGAAGGTGCGTATGTTCTTCAAACACAGAAACTAAAGGGAAAAAACAAAGGGAGGGCAAGGAAAAACTTATTAAAACTGTAAGCTCTGTAAAAACCGTAACAGCAACAGCAGCAAGCTCTGGCTTCCGTGCGCCAGCACATCCAAGCTCATTCCTGTTTTCTCAAGGAGGAAATGGGCTCAGAGAGATGACGAAACCCCCCGTCCCAAGGCTGGGGGGTGAGAAGCCAGGCCTGGATGGAAGTGGAAGCAGGCAGACCAGCTCCACATCCGAGGGTGTAGCCACCACCGCCCCCAGCCTTCTCATCACATAGCTGCAAAACCCCCAAGGCCTGTGCATTCAGAAGACACGCCACTCCCCGTAACCGTAGGTCAGGGCGGCAAGGCAGCACCCTGGGCCCTCCATGACCATCCAACCCAGCTCTCCCAGGCGCACCCAGCACATGTCGAGGCCGACAGTCACAGCTGGGGCAGAATATGCAAGCCTTAAATCAACAAGAATGGATGGCGCATGCTCACGTGGGCACGTGCACAGGCGTGCGTACATACACGAGGCTTCTGACAACACCAACACATCCTTCCTAATCACGGGTGACAAAGCCAACAGCCAGGGGCCACCCCCAAGAAGCCACGGAGGACCCAGAGAGTGGCAGGTGCCAACTACAGTGGAAGGGTGGAGGGAGCACAAAAGCCAGAATTCCCAAATCAATGCATGGGTCATCTCCTCTCTGCCCACTGCCAACCAGTGAGCTCTCGGCCCTCACTGCGCCTGACGTGCCACAGGGGCGGAAGGCTTGGCTGGGGCGGAACGGCCATCTGCCCAGTCCTCGTGGAGAAACAGCTTGGTAAGGAAACTTATAAGGCAGCAGGTGAGGTGGCCCGGGGGGCACGCTCTGGAATCACTCGGGCCCCAGGTTGGAATCCTGTCTGCTGACTCCAGCAGGGAGACCAGGGTGAGTGGTTATGCCAGGCCTGGTTTTCTACCGCCACCTGCCTCACGGGATTAATCATGTGCCCTGATGACCAGAGTGGGCACTGGGGTGTGGGAGCCATCAGCCCCCCAATCCAGCTCAGCACGGGGATTCGCGAGGGGAGGGTGTGGCACACACAGCCCAATAAGAGCCCAGGATTGTCATCCTCATCAATAACCGTCCCCTATGGACAAACTGCCCAGCTCCAAGAGCAGTTCAGAGAGCCTGTCCCTGCTCACTGGAAATTTAGACAAATGGACAGACTTAGACATAGTGCACGTCAGAATCAGAGCCTAAGAGCGTAAACCAAGCAGCACTGAGAACGCCCTGGGAGCGGAGGGTCCCCCAGCCAGGACATACGCCCCTGCTGACCCCTCACCCTGCCTCACAGCAGGCAGTGCTCACCCCAGCCCCTTCTGCCTCAGGCCACTCCTCCCATCCTGGCAGGGGTCGGCTGCTGTTCATAGACAACAGACTCATCTGTTTTATCCTAGAGTCCCTCTCTGTCCACGTGCGTGTGTGTGTGTGTGTGTGTGTGTGTGTGTGTGTGTTTCTGAACACTCGAGATTAACTACAGTAATGACACTCCTTTATCCCTAAATACCTGAGTGTGTAATTCCTAAGAACAAGGACATCCTCTTCCATAATCACAGTACCTACAGCAAAACCAGGAAATTAACATGGACACCACACGGTTATCTTATCTATAGACCTTACTTGCATTTCCCTAATATATAAAGGACAACCAAAATGTCCTTATAGCTAAAAGAAAAAAAAAAAAAAACTGGCCCAGGTTCCAATATGGGATCACACACAGTTTCTGCTGCCATGCCTCTTCAGTCTCCATTAATCTGGTACAGTCCTCCAACAGAACTTTCTGGAATGACAGGAACGTTCTATCCATCTACCGTCCAATAGGGCAGCCACTAGACACCTGTGCCCACCAAACACTCAAATGTGGCTAGTCCGGCTGGGCGCAGCAGCTCACGCCTGTAATCCCAGCACTTTAGGAGGCCGAGGCGGGTAGATCACTAGAGGTCAGGAGTTCAAGACCAGCCTGGCCAACATGGTAAAACCCTGTCTCTACTAAAAATACAAAAATTAGCCGGGCGTGGTGGCGCACACCTGTAGTCCCAGCTACTCGGGAGGCTGCGGCAAGAGAATCATTTGAACTCAGGAAGCGGAGGTTGCAGTGAGCCGAGATCGCACCACTGCACTCCAGCCTGGGTGACAGAGCGAGACTCCGTCTCAAAAAAAAGAAAAAAAAAAGGTGGCTACTGAAAACCTAGATTGCTAATTTTAAGTTAAATTTTAAAGCTACATGTGGCTAGTAACTGCTAGCTTAGACAATGTGAGTCTAAAACACTCCATGATCTTTGTTTTTCACGACCTGTTAATTCTGAAGAATACAGACATGAAAGGACAAATCCTGTGTGAGTCCACTTTTTTTTGGGGGGGGGGGGGGACGGAATTTCGCCCTTGTTTCCCAGGCTGGAGTGTAATGGTGTGATCTCGGCTCACCACAACCTCTGCCTCCCAGGTTCAAGCGAATTCTCCTGCCTGAGCCTCCCGAGTAGCTGGGATTACAGGCACGCACCACCATGCCCAGCTAATTTTTGTATTTTTAGTAGAGACGGGGTTTCTCCACGTTGGTCAGGCTGGTCTCCAACTCTTGACCTCAGGTGATCTGCCTGCCTCAGCCTCCCAAAGTGCTGGGATTACAGGCGTGAGCCACCACGCCAGGCCGTGATTCCACTTTCATGAGGCCCCTGGAGTCGTCAGATCCACAGAGAGAAAGGAGAATAGTGGGCGCCCTCGAAGGGCTGAGCGATGGGGTGGTTTCGTGGGGAACAGAGCTCTTGCTTGGGAAGACCAGAGAGTTCTGTGGATGGTGGTGATGGTGCTTGCCAACAAAGTGAATGTGCTTGACCCTACTGGACGGTGCTCTAGAGGAAAACCGGAGAAGACACTGAGTTTTACGTTATGTGTATTTTACCACAATACAAAGATTAATTAGAAGAGACACAGAGAGACATGGAGACACAGACCCACGAGGAGTGCATGTGAGATGGGCCCCTTTCCTTAGCAACTGGGAGTGACACAGCTGTGGGCCAGCCACTCCAAGGGTGGCCACCGTTGCCAGAAGCGGGAGAGGGCGTGGGACGGGCTCTCCTCCGTGGCCCCACGAAGGAGCTGTTGCTGCCACACACAATTGATTCAGGCTGCTGGCCTGCAGCCCTGGGAACAATAAGGTTCTGCTGCTTAAAGCCACCACGGTCGATGGTGCTTGGTTAGGACAGCCCCAGACACTGGAGCTGGGAGCAGGCCTGAGCCGGGGCAGGGGCTACGCCCTCTCGCTCATCTGCGCGGCTGCATGTGCTGCAGCTTCCAGCCTGGCGTGACTATTTTTTGAATATGGCTTGTCTGTAATTTCCACTAAGCATTTATTTTCATTCTTCCTCAGCCTCCCAAGTTTAGAGTTAATTACACAGATCCCAACCATAATCACAGCCGGCCAGGCCCAGGCTTCCTTTCGGGCACAGGATGGGCCCAGCGCACCCCTTTCCCATGGGCCCAGCAACTGCTGTGCCTGGCCCGGCCCCACCCGTGGCCACTCTGGCCACCCTAACCTTTAAGAAGTCCTCCTGGTGCAGCTCTGGGCCCAACCCAGGGTGGTCTCTGCAAAACTGAGCCACACAGGCTGATGCAGATGGCAGGGACAGGGACTGCACGGACGGGGATGGCAGAGACCGGGACAAAGCCTGGGGGCCACGTCAGGCTCCACCTCGAGGGAGGCCACACACGGCCCGGCCTCCCTTCAGGGAGCATTTCCTGTGCTTTCTACAGTTCATCCCATTTTCCACAAAGGGAAACTGAGGCACAGAGAGTTAAGGACGTGGGCACCTGACCAGAGGGCGGCAGCGCCAAGAATGAAGCCATGTCGACATCGGCCAGGGCAAAGGCCCTCTGAGAGGACGGGCGTGTGGGCAGGCACCAGGTCCCTCCTGCCATCCCTGTACCCCTTTCCTCAGTGGCCTGGTTTGCAAGGTCTGTGGTCGCTCTGGAGCCAATCAGAGCCTCAAGGTCCAGGTTCTAGACAGAGACCCTGACGGTTGGCAGGGACCGGACCCAAGGCTGAGGTTGCTGCAGGTGCATCATGGCCACAGGGGCCCACTGAGGACACAGGCCGAGGGACAGTGGCAAAGGGAGGCCCAGATGGTGGTCAGCGCCAGGTGAAAAGTCCCCTGTCCACGCCCAAGCTATGAAGGCTGGCTTCAGCTGTCACCTGTGGCTGCAGGAGCAAGCGGCATTCTTCTCTCTCATTGATCCAACCTGGCCTTCGGGACCCCCCACAAAGGCAGCCACTGCTTCCCCCAGCATCCTGGACTTTAAGTCCAGCTGAGTGGCCACAGCAAGGGTCTGTCCCCAGAAAACAAGCCCTGTGACAAGGGTCCCAGGGCTGAGTGCCCTCTCCCCCAGGCTGGCGGCTATGGGGTCCCCACTGTGTTTGTTTAGGGCACTCTGAGGGGGCATGGGCTACCCCACCTCCTGCTCCCCACAGCCCCAGACTGCAGGGAGGGCTCCCGCCCCTGGGCCCCAAGAATCCCTTGTCCAGGCTCTGGCGCTGCAATGAGAGGCAGCGTGTAGTGTGCCCTGGAAACGTCAGCCCCTTTCTCTCCGGCCCATTCATCGGCAGCCGCAGATCTAATCAGGCTGAAATCGGATTAGTGTGGTGACACAGGCTCCATGCCCAGTCGCCCACCTCCCCAGGTTCAGCTGCACTGTCCTTCAGCTCTTGCAAGGCGCCAGGGCGGGGTGTCACAGACAGGAGAGGCGGCGCAGGGCCGGAGAGCCAAGACCCCAGAGCCAGGAGCCCAGGTCTGAGCCACAGGTGAGGCCCGAGGGCATCCTGGATGGCAAGCTTCACCGGCCAAGCTCACATGCTCACAGGACAGTCACGTCTCTTTAGGGTCTCTGAAACAATCTATTGTGATGGGGACACAATGGCAGGGACAGGCCTCTCTGCCCTGCAGAACCCACGGCAGCCCACCGAGAGCAGGGGCGCCCTTCAGCCTATGTGGGCCCTTCCACTGCCCCTTACTGGCAACGGGTCACCGGCAGTGCTGGAGTGGGAAACAGGACAGGCCTGCCTCGCCCTCCAGAGCTGGCATCTAGCCGGCATGACCTGAGAGGGGTACAAAAGGGGAAACTAAGCCGGGGGAGGCAAATCCACTTGCCTGAGTCACATAGCCAGCAGGCCTCAGCTGGGGAGCTGCAGTTTGAACACAGGTGGCTTGGCCATCGACCCCTGGGCAATGGTGATGGAGTAATAGCAGAGCCTGACAATGACCACAGGCAGGGAGGATGCTGACGTGCACAACAGCCAACTCACTCACCACCTGCAGAGCCTGTGAGGTGTGCACTGGCCCACTGCACAGACAGACAACCAAGCTCCAAGCAGTGAGCTCATGGGTAGGCCCAGGATTCAGGGGCAAATGGAGTGGCCGGGATGCAAAAGGGCAGCAGGCCCCCGCCTAAGGGGATGCAAGAAAGTCCTGTCTCGCCAAGGACGGCAGCACAAGGCCTGCGTCGTCAAGGCAGGTGCCACACTGTCTCAGGGGCTGACTCCTGGGCCCCAGCTGGACCATGCAGGAGGAGCGTGGGGCCGGGCTGACCTTTATGGGAGGTGACCCTCGCTGCTCCCTCCTCCCAGGAGAGCTCGGGCAAGTCTCCTCATGTGCACAGTGAGGCTCTGGCACAGAGCTCCAGGCCCTTCCGGCCAAGACTGGCTACGCGTCTCGGTGCGCTGACTCACAGTGATTATAGGCGCTCCACGGCCGCCAGGTTTTCCAGAAGGCCAGGCACTGGGCTAAGAGCTCCCTTGAGTCACTGCAGCAATTCCTAATTTACAGATGAGGAAACTGAGGTTTCAGGAGGTCAGCTGGCCTGCCCAAGGTCACTAGCAAGGATGTAACTGAGCTAACAATGGATCTGGGATGGTTTGACCCCCAAGGCCAGACTGCTGGCCTCTAAGCTATCCTGTCTATGGGTTTCTGGGCAGGGAAATCCCATTATTTTTTCTTTTTTAAAATGACAACAGTACTTTGACAAAAACTCAGTCTGTTCAGAGGAGATGGGGAGGCACTGAGTGTAGGAGCCCGGCCTTTGGGCTTGAGGGGCAGGCCCCACCCACAGAAACCAAGGCTTAGGAATGGGGCCAGAGAGGAGGGGGCTGACCTGATTGATCGGCACATAATAACTAACTAGCACGCATGCGCCATTTCACAGCCCACTAGCACTTTCACATCCACATTTGCTCCGTCAGATGTGGAAATGGAGGCCCCAGAAGGCAGGTGACCCGCGATCTGAACCCAGGCCCGGTTCCTCTCAGGATGCCCCCAGCCTCTGGCAGGCCCATGCCCGGGAAAGTCCCTTTGGCTGCCCCACCAGGAAGGTCAGGGGCCCGGGTGTCCTCAGTCCCAGGAGTGGCACTCAGCTGGGGGTGGGGTCCTGCAGGGAAAGCCCCAAGCTGGGGTCTCCAGATCGCCTGGCCCAACCTTCCCCATCCATGTAGATCGTCACCAACAGGCAGGGCTCCTCCCAGGTCTCTGGCTGGCATCCCTGAACCACCGACTCCTGTCCTGCACAGTCCTACCTCCCCCTGGCCTCTTGCACACAACCACATTCCAGTGCAGACCCCACAGCAGGTGCTCCAGGTGGGGACAACCCAGGCCTGCTCCCACTCAACAGCCACACAGCTTCTCTGTACCTCAGTTTCTCAATCTGTAAAATGGGCAAGGAGAACCCTGCCCTCTGACTCCCACGATGCTGGGACTCTCACTCAAAGAGACTGTACTGAGGCCATCTCACTGGGGAAGTCCAGAAGTCCCCTGAGACATTGGTCACTGGGAGAGCTGGCAGGGGGGTTGGGGTGCCACAGTTAGCTGGAGCTGAGGAGCAGCCACAGTGCACGAGAACCTGGGCCCTTCATCACCATGGTCCCACCCTGGAGCTGTTAGCCCGCCACCCCGCTGGCCTTTAGTTCGCAGCAGAGCTCCTCAAGGCAGCTGCCAGGGACTGGGGGAGGGACACAGGCCGACAAGGGACTTCTGGGGCCTGGCCTCAGGCTCTCTGCTCATGGCCAGAGCAGCCCAGCAACTGGGAGGTGAAGACCCCCACCCCATGTGCTCCTTGCTGCAAAAGGGAACCTGGGCACCACAGCCCTGAAAGCAACAGGGCACCACAGCTTCTGGGCCTCAGGAGAACAGGCACTCTCTTTTCAAGCCTCTGGGTCTTTCTGAGCAAGCTGGGGGTCTCCATGTGCAGCCTCCACGCCCTGCGGCAAAGGCTCCAGGAAGTACCCACAGACATAGATAGACATAGTGCGTTTTCTTGAAATACTTCAACAAGTGTCACTAACACTGCGCTTAGCAGAGACCGATTGCACGCCTGGCTGCTCTGCTTCCAGCTGGAGTGGTGCTGACTCCCTGGGGCCACAATGCTGCGTCGTGCTGATCAGAAGCTCTGACTGGCAGCTGAGGATGTCTTTGATCAATAAAAAAATGGGAAAACAAATTAATTTCCTGTTTTATTTATGCCATGCTCATTCCAAAAACCACTTAAAATAGCTTGATTACTATTCAACAGATGCAGCTTGATGGAATGGATCAAATTTGGGGCCCATCAGGTAGATAAACAGGTGACCCTGGGTGACAGGCTGGCCAGGTGCTCACGGAGACAGGAGCTGACGCCGTTTGCTCCCTCTGGGTCCCAAATGCCCTGGACAATGCCTAGCCCATCACACGGGCTCAGTATCTGGTAGACGAACAAATGAACCAATGAATTAATGAATGAACAAATGAATGAATGTCTAGGAAGCACTCTTAGGTGTCCTCTGACTGCTGACACCTCTCAAAGGGCCCTGCTTTCTCCTCAAGCAGCAGAGAGTCCACGATGCCTTCCAAGACGTCAGGGGCCCCCAAGGACAGCCACTGCTGCTTAGGTGGCAACCTCGCTTCCAGAAGCATCTCTTCCGAAAACAAGCAAGCAGGTGAAAGGTAGGGTCTGGCCTCGACCCCTTATTCCTGCACACATCAATGTCACCTGCACAACTCTACACACCACCCCACCAGGGACCCATTAGCTGGTCAGATCCAATAACCACTCTAGCAGGGGGCGGGGGTGGTCCCTTATCACCCATTTTACAGATGAGGAGACCGAGACTCAGGGAGGCCCGTATCTGCTTTAAAACTGGTCTGTCGTTGGGCGCGGTGGCTGACGCCTATAATCCTGGCCCTTTGGGAGGCCAAGGCGGGTGGATCACCTGAGGTCAGGAGTTTGAGACTATCCTGACCAACATGGTGAAACCTCGTCTCTACTAAAAATACAAAATTAGCCAGGCGTGGTGGCGCATGCCTGTAATCCCAGCTACTCAGGAGGCTGAGGCAGAAGAATCGATTGAACTCGGGAGGTGGAGGTTGCAGTGAGCCGAGATCATGCCATTGCACTCCAGCCTGGGCAACAAGAGCAAAACTCCGTCTCAAAAAAAAAAAAACAAACTGGTCTAACTTGACAGTCATCATGAACACTGAGAGGCTTCCCAGGCCATCACCAGGGCCCCCGCGCTATGGCCTTTGTGAGTGTGTGTGTGAGACAGAGTCTCACTGCATCAACGAGGCTGGAGTGCAGTGGCGTGATCTCGGCTCACTGCAACCTTCACCTCCCAGGTTCAAGCGATTCTCCCGCCTCAGCCTCCCGAGCAGCTGGGACTACAGGCCTGTGCCACCAATGACGAGCTAATTTTTGTATTTTTAGTAGAGACAGGCTTTCCCCACGTTGGCCAGGCTCGTCTCAAACTCCTGGCCTCAAGTGATCCACCTGCCTCGGCCTCCCAAAGTGCTGGGATTACAGGTGTGAGCCACTATGCTCAGACCGCACTGAGCCCTTAAAGAGAGGCTGCAGTGCGGGGCTCCCAAGGCAGATGTCCGAGGCCACTCCAGCTCATTCACTGCTCCAGGCAGGGAAAGCACAGCTCAGCCAGGG
Organism: Homo sapiens; assembly: GCF_000001405.40. Lineage (NCBI taxonomy): Eukaryota > Metazoa > Chordata > Mammalia > Primates > Hominidae > Homo > Homo sapiens. The sequence continues at coordinate 133,948,201 of NC_000009.12, forward strand.
ATTGATTGAGGAGTGTCACGAGTTGATTTTGTCTGGACAATTGAACTTCCTTCGCTCGGGCCCATTTCCTCAGCTCCGCACGCACCAGGACCAAGGCGTCAGGCCAGCAGGCTGAGTAATGAACCTGACCCGCCTTTGCGCATGGCCTCGCATGAGTGTCCCCCTTCGCCCAGCTGGGGTGCGGAGCTGCTCTACCTGCTGTGATCTGGAGGAGTGGGGTGGTGTTTTCTTCGTGCATATCAAGGTCTTCGGGGGCCAGCCTTGCCCCCAGGTCAGGGGCAGGCGACTGGCAGAGAGAGGGGCAGGCCAGATCAGCAGGGCAGGCGGCCCGCGTGCCCTCAGGAGTGGAGCTCCCCCCACCAAGAGCAAGCAGCTTGAGCCATGGCTGCTACATTTGTCCACAGGAATGACAGAAAGGGCTGCAACAACAGCGTGTCTCGTTTCACTATTCTGTAAAGGTTTCCAGCATTCTCAGTCTCACTAACACTCGATGTGCTAAAACAACGTCCGGTGGCTCTTCCACTTTCTCCCATAACAAACAGCGCCCGCTGAGTCCGTGCCTGGCGCAGCACGAAGCCCTTGACGTTCCTCTCTGCTTCATCCTGCTAACGAGCTGTCACGTATCCCTGGTCTACAGGTGGAGAAACGGCTCAGGGACCACCCTGCTCATCAGGGTAGTGAGGGGAAGACCCAGGTCTAATCCAGGTGGTCTGGTCCTGTCCCCATGGGAGCCCCACGGCATAGGCAAGAGGCAGCCTAATCTGCGGACAACCTGGGAGGAGGGAGGGTCCCGGCTGGCTTGCGTGAAGGCAGAGCTAGCTGCACACAGGCTCTGTCGGTGGGTGCCTCTCCATCCCTCTGACACCAGCACTCCTGGGGAGAAACATGCTCCTCCCTTACGCTGGGCCCTCCTGCTTCCCAGGGCACCTCCCAGGATGACTACCAAAACGCGACTCACAACGCACTACACCACCTCGGCACTGGTAGAGGAAGCCCTCCAAGTCAGACCCACAGAGGCAAGTCCCTGCCCTTAGCAAGCTTCCGGACCCCTGTCTCTGCACACTTCCCCTCCTTCCCCGAGGACGCCCTGACCCAATTCCGGTGCCTTCCAACACTTTCCACAAGGTCTCCTGGCCACTCCCACCCCCAGCTTTCCAGCTTTGGTTCATTCAAGGTGGGCTGGGGGCCCTGGATGCTGGAGACACGTGGCTGACACGTGGCACCCGCTAGGGCTCTGAGCCTTTGACTGTGCTGTTCCAGTGGCCTGAACACTGTTCCCTATCCCCACTTCCTGACCTTGTCTCTTTCAACCCAAGCCCAGCTCATGAAAGGAAGAAATGGCCTTTCTCCTCCTCTGTACCTGCCCCCTCGAATGGCGGGTCACCTGCTCACCACACTCCAGGCAATGCTGCTGCGAGATGGGAAACAGGCTTCCCAGAGAAGATGCCAGAAGACTCAGAGGGCCCAGCCAGCTGTCTCCAAAACAGGGCCCCGGAGGCATGGATTCAAAATGTCTGCTACCAGAGCTCAGACCCCAAACTCCAACCTGCAGCACGCAGGCAGCCCTGGGTCCAGAATCCCAGGATCTTCCCCAAAAAGGGATGGGGCAAGGTTGCTTTGTGGCTCAAGGCCAGGAGGTCCCAGAGAGGCAGAACACCTGCCCCCGACCCGGGCGTCTCCTGCTGTTTAGGGGTTTCACGCTCAGCTTTTCTCACAGTCTGCTCCTGTGCAGCCTGATTTCCAAACGAGCTCTGCTGCAAACTTCAAGCGCCCAGCCGGTGAGAACCAGCAAGGACCAGCAGCCGTGAAGTCCAGGAACCCCAGTGCTGGGGCTCCCACCCGCTGCCAGGGTCTGTCTGTCCACAGCCCCTGAGCCATGAGGAGTGGGTTCTCAAAGGCTGAAAAGTCAAGATCTCAAGAAAAGAGAGACACTCTGGCTGCCCAGCAACCCCTGGCACAGGCAGGCAGGGCCAGGCCAAGCTGCAGCATTGCCCCTCTCCATCCTGACGGTCAAGTCCTTCCTCAGCAGCACTCGAGAGGAAACCCAGCAAGAAAAATCAATTCTGGAGAAGCCTCATTTGGAAGTCTGAGTGGAGCAGGTGGGCAGCTGGGAGGCTCCTATTCAACTCTGCACCCGCCTCCAGTCCACAGTCAGACACCGAATAAGAGGCACCTACTGCATGCTAGGCCGCCGCCCAGCCGTGCGTGTTCAGAGCCAGCAGCTGAGAGAGGTCTCAGCTTTCCACGCCTGCTCCCCTGAAGCCCTCCAAGGACCCACCTCTGCTGCCGACGGTGGGTTTAAGCCAAGGCGGGGGGTATAAAGAGTGGCCCACACAATCGGGACTTCAAGGTCAGGGTCAAACCAAAGGTTTTCTATAAAGCTAGCAGTAAATTGCTTTTCTAGTATTTCTCTTTATAACCATCTTCCCTGAGCCGGCTTCCGAGTGCCGGAGGGTTCAAATCCTACTCTCTGGCCACCTGGCTCTGAGCAATTAGCCCAGACGCACGCCTGCGCCTCGGCCCTCCGGGTTGCTCTCATAGGACCTCAGCCCCTCCTCTCTGCTGCAGCCCACAAGCCATCTGTGAAACGGGCTCTTGTCTCTGCCACCTCATTTTCTCCATTTCTTCCCCCTTCCGGAAAGCGGCCTCCGAGGTCAACATGAGGGCATTCGCACGCTCTCTGGAGCGCCCTATCTCCAGCGCAATTGGACAATCCAACTCCAGACGGACCCAAGCAGAGGGCGCGATTCTTCCCGTTCCCCCACCACCCACTAAAATGAAAGCCAAATGGATCCCTTCACAGCCAGCAGACACCGGATGATCGCTCTCCAGTCTGAAGGAACGATTCTCGCTATTATCCCTTCCTGCTGGGCTAAAAATATTGAAGGAAAAATGCAACCGCAGCACTAGAGAGCTTCCCAAGCAGGGGGGTAAAACTGAGCCTCCTTCTATGATCAGAAACCAAAGGCAGGCACAGCCCTTGGCTATGGAGGCAGCAAGGTGGGAGGCGGCCTCTTCCCCTGCAGAAGGCCACAAGCCAGCCATGCGACAGCAAAGTGTCAAAAACTCTTCTTAGTCAATTGCCAAACGGGCAACTACGGGGGCTGGAGAACAAGAGCTGGCACCCAGCAGGGTCAGAGCAGGAGTAGAACAGGGACTGTGGGGCTTTCAGCCTGAAAAGTGTCCCTCATGCCCGCCATGTCCCCATTTGGAGCTCCTGCTGGAGCCTCTCCTGCAGGTGCCTACAAAGCCCCACCCACTGGTGAGTGGCCGTCACCCGCCAGGCAACCCCAGCTGGACCCAATGTGGCACCTCCTCCTCAGCAGTCCCTGTGCTTCGTGAGGCCCATATGTGGGAGCTGGGAGCGCTAGACTAGAACCCCTCTCAGCCTGGACCCCCGGGACCTGCCCTTCACCTCTCAGAGCCTCAGTTTCCTCACCTGTCAAGCAGGGGTGGCAGTCATACCCACAGCAGCTGACACCAGACCACGGGTGGGTCACTCACCTTGTGCTGGGGACAGGGCTTTTAGGCTGCTCGGCTCTGCTGCAGGAATAGGATCCTCAAAGCAGAGGCGGTTTCCCCATTTTACAGATGGGCAGAGTGAGGCTTCAGGAAGCGTAGTTATCTGCTTGGAGTCTTAGGCAGCTGCTCAGGATGCTACAGCAAAATCCCACAGCCCGGGAAGCTTGTAAACCCAGGGGCTTCTTTCTTGTAGCTCCAGAGCCTGGAAGCCCAGTGCCAGCGTGGTCAGGTTCCAGTGGCTTCTCCTTGTACCATTACACAGCAGAGATGTACCCTTACATCCACAGAGAGTAGAGAGAAGCAGTCCCTTTTGGTACTCTTAAAAGGGACCATCCTATTCATGAAGGGTCCGCTCTTACGACCTCATCTAAACCCAATTACCTCAAAAGGCCCCAGCTCCTAATAACGTCACATTTTGGGGTAGGGTTTCAACATAGGAATTTTGGGGAGACACAAACATTCAGTCCATAACAGCAAGTGTAATGGGTTGAATGGGTGGGCCCCAAGGAGACAGGTCTGCATCCAGACCCTGAGAAGCCTATTTGTGACCTTACTTGGAAAAACAGTGTTTGCAGGTAAAATTAAATTGATGCTCTCAAGGCCGGGTGCGGTGGCTCACGTCTATAGTCCCAGCACTTTGGGAGGCCGAGGCAAGCAGATCATGAGGTCAGGAGTTCGAGAACAGCCTGGCCAACGTGGTGAAACCCCATCTCTACTAAAGATACAAAAAATTAGCCAGGCATGGTGGCACGCACCTGTAATCCCAGCTACTCGGGAGGCTGAGGCAGGAGAATTACTTGAACCCAGGAGGCGGAGGTTGCAGGGAGCCGAGATCGCACCATTGCACTCCAGCCTGGGCAAAAGAGCAAGACTCTGTCTCGGGGAAAAAAAAAACAAACCTGAGGCTCTCGAGATAAGATAATCCCAGATTACCCAGTAGGCCCTAAATCCAAGTGTCCCTAGAAGAGAAGACAGAAGACAAGAGGCCGTGTGACGACAGAGGCACAGATTGGCATGATGCAGCCACAAGCCAAGGAGTGCCTGGGGCCACCAGAATCTTGAAAAGGCAGGATGGAGCCTCTCCTAGAGCCTGCAGAGGTTGCACAGCCCCACTGACACCTAGAACCTGGAGGGAGCATGGCCCCCGGGACACCTAGAACCTGGAGGGAGCATGGCCCCACTGACACCTAGAACCTGGAGGGAGCATGGCCCCCGGGACACCTAGAACCTGGAGGGAGCATGGCCCCCGGGACACCTAGAACCTGGAGGGAGCATGGCCCCCGGGACACCTAGAACCTGGAGGGAGCATGGCCCCCGGGACACCTAGAACCTGGAGGGAGCACGGCCCCACTGACACCTAGAACCTGGAGGGAGCACAGCCTGCCAACATCTAGAACCTCCAGAGGCAGCACAGCCCTGCCAACACCTAGAGCTTCCAGAGGGAGCACAGCCCTGCTGACACCTTGGTTTCAGGCTCGCGGCCTCCAGGGCTGCTGCTGGAAGGCGCTGGCCTGTGGTTCTTTGTTGGGCAACTCCGGTGGCCAGCTGGTGGCAGGCAGTCCTGTGCCCTTGGCGCTGTGCCCCCCAAGCCCACCACAACAGGCACTTGGAATGGCTTTGGGATGAATGGGCACACAATGGAATGAATAGGGCTTGGATGAGAAACTGAGGCAAGAGTTCTCCTGGTTTCTTCCACCCTTTGTTCCCGTTCATGCCAGCATGGGTTTTGCAATGCCCTGCACCCCGGCTCGGAGCTGGGAGACCCTGGACCCTGGGCCTGGCACACTGGGGCCCTCTGAAAATGTGGTTTTGACCCCCAGGCTCAATTCAGGGCTCTTTGGGAAGCAAAGTCCCCAGAGGGACCCTGGCAGGGTGGGAAGTCAGGAAGCACTTGTGTGGAACCTCAGACCCAGTTCCCTCTGACCACCATGGGGCCCAGCTTCAGACACCCTTGAGTGGGGACAGGGGGCTCAGGCACAGGGTGGGGCACCTTTCCGGCAGGGAGATGCAGGTTCAAATCCTGAAGGTCCCCCACACCCACCCTGGGAAACCCAGCTCCCATGACCCCGGCTCCCAGGCCTGCATGTCCAACAGCTGCCTCCCTGTCTCCAAAGAAGGCACCTGGCCCGAGTACCCCAAAACCAAGACCTGTGGGCCTCCATCCCTAGGTGTCCTCCCTCTGCAGAAAAACCCACTGCTTGCCAGAGGCTACAGCCAGCACCTGACAGGCAGCGCCTCCCACCACCCCTTGCACAGGCAGGTGGCTCCACATGTGGGACAACCCACTGCACATGTGTGACATTCTTAAGATCCCAGCACTATACACGCCATGGGATGTAAAACACCCTTCTCAACGTGCAACAAACACGGCCGAAACCGTCACCGAAAGCACTGCGCCTGTCTGCTGCTGGGGAATCACTCCGTGGTTAGCACCCATCATTTCGAGAAGAAAGAGTCAATTGTGATGTTCTGTTACCATCCCAGTCATTTCCAGGGATTTCTGAGAAGCGGCATGTGCCTGGTGTCCCTCTGTCCATCTGCCCATCTGTCCATCCGCCCACCAGCACCTGCTGAGGGCCTGCGGCCCTGCATGCATGGCCCAGGCTGCCAAATCAGTTCTGTCACCATGGGGCGGCAAGGCACAAGGAGGAGCAAGTGCGCGTGAGACGCCCAACAGGAGAGATGCCTGCACTTCAAGGAGCTTTCTCGCCTGGTGCTGGAAAGGACCCAAAGTACTCAGTGCCGCAGCAGCACATCGCAAGTGCGCAGTGAATCTGAGTGAAATCCACGCACGCCTGAAGGCTTCCGGAGAAGGCATCGCAGGTCCAGCCATGGGAGGCTGGGGGGAGCGGGAGCTGTGGCACTGCAGCCAAGCACTTACATGTGCCACACACCTGTGGGGCGGGCGGGGGATGCTGCTGATGCTCGAGCAGGGCAAGGTCTGTGATGTGTGTGTCCTCATGTGTATGCGTGTGGGGTGCCCATGCACATACATGTGGGGGTGCGCAGGTGCTTAGGGGTGTACAGGCGTGCATGTGTTCATGTGTGTGCACATGTATGTGTGCATGCTCATGATGTATGTACCAGTGTATGTATGTGCAGTGTGTGTCTGCATTACGATAAATAAAGCTAAGCAAAAATACATCTGCAGGAGGGCAAGGACCGAGATAAATCATTCTGAACTCCAAACAGGTGGAGGGTAAGATGTAAACAGATTTTTCCTGTTGTTTAAATGTACTTCGTTTTCATTATACTGCTGTTTGCGTGCAATGAATGCAAGTGCACTGAGGTGAGGAAAAAGGAAGGCAGACACTCCTTCCTCCGGCTACCCCACAGACACCCACACCATGAGAAACTAGGGCACCCCTGCAGATGGGAGGCAGCGGTGAGGTCGCCTCCAGGCTCGGCCAAGGGTACAGGAAGGGCAGAACCTGACCAGGCCATTTCCAGCCAGACTCTGCTTCCTGTGGGGAGCTCCTGCCCCTTCAGGTCCTAAACCTTCAATCACCCAGATTCTGGGGACCCCACAGGGAGCAACATAGTCATGCCACCCTCCACAAGCCCAGCCAGGGAGTGTGGCCCCATACCCGATGCCAAGGCGAGGCTCCTGGCTGCGGAAGCTGAGTCGGAAGCACGGTCCCCACACTCCTCCTTACTCCCCGCCCACGCTCCTCCCCACTCCCCACACTCCTCCCCACCCCCCTGCTTCTCCCCACTCTCCCCATACTCCCCACTCCCCCTGCCATGCTGCCCCAACTCTCCCCATGCTCCTCAGTCCCTCCAATGCCCCCCAAGCTCCTCCCCATTCCCCACATGCTCCTCCCCACTCCCCACGGTCCTCCCCACCTCCTTTCTCCCCACTCCCCCCATGATCCTCCCCACACCCCCACTCCTCCCCCCTCCCCACCACGCTCCTCCAACTATCCCCACTCACCCCATGCTGCTCCCCATTCCCCCCAAAGCTCCTCCCCACTCCCCCACACTCCCCCCACGCTGCTTCCCACTCCCCCCACGCTGCTTCCCACTCCCCCCAACGCCCCCCCCACGTTCCTCCCCACCCCCCCACTTGCACTCCACTCCCACTCCTACTCCTCCCCACTCCTCCCCACAGCTCTGGCCTCCCCCAGCCCGAGGGGAGCCCTCTAAACCCTCCAGCTCAGGCTGCTCCGTGAAGCTCAGTTCCTGCCGCTTCCGCTCAGCACAAAGGCACGGCCCCTGCTGGAGGCCCCCGCTCCGGGGAGCTCTCAGACGGGCAGCCAGCACCTCACTGCCCATCTGCTCCTTCCCTGCTTACTCGCAGAGTCAAGACCTGGAGCCCACGGGGCCAGGAGGCACAAAGCACAGCTTCCCAGGTGACGCTGGACAAGTCGCTGACCCTCCTGGAGCCTCAGTTTCCCCAACCCAGTGGCTCTGAATGAATTCCCTGGATTCCTGAGAAGGAGGGAGCTTCCTCACTGGTTCACAGGGAGAGAGGGAGGGAAGGGGGTTCTGACAATTAAAAACAGGTCTGCAAGTCAGGAACTCGATGATCTCCAGAGGTGCCATGATCCCCTCGTCTACCCAGCCTCCCCTGGGCCCTGCAGCCCCTCCCTACCCTGTGACCCTCAGCCCAAGCCCCTGGGGAGGGTCTCTGGTTCTCAGCTGTGGGGTTGGGCCCAGCGGGTCTGGGGGCCTGGTGGGGAAAGGGTGTCTAGGGTACTCTGTCTTTCTACCTTTCTGAGTTGTTTCTTCTTTTGCTTTGTTTTGTTTCGTTTTGTTTTTTTTCCAACGAGTAGACATTACTTTTAGAATTTCTTAAAAAGTTATCTCAGCTTTGGGTTGGGTTAGGGAGGAGGGAGTCCTGGGAATGTATAAAAAGCACGCAGCCAGTTAGTTCCTGAGAAGTCAGAAAATGCGAAGATCAACTGAGAAGCTGTACTTTCTGGAAATTCCAGGCGAACCAGCACCAGGCCCCTCGGCTGGTGGGCAGAGCACCAGGGGGCGAGGGAGCGGGAGGGGGATTCCCTGCTGCCAGGCCAACAGCTGGGCCAGCCAAGGTCAGGAATGCTGCAGCTGCAGCCTCGCCTTCCGCCCCCACCCAGGCGGGAGCCCAGTGGGAGGGAGGCTGCCCCTGCCAGGGCCTGGGACAGAGCCCTCTGTGGGGGACAGGCCAGGCAGGAAACCCGGCCGTCCTCAAGCAGGAAAGCTGGGCCAGAGCTGGTACTTCAGCAGGGAGCTGAACTCCAGTCCTGGGCGCACCTGTTTGCAGTCACAAAAAGGGCAGACTGCAGCACCCACCCACCTGCCCAGCTCCCCACCCAGCTCCCCACCTGCCCGGGGTACCCAGGACTCTCTCCAACGCCACCAGTGTCTCTCTGGTTCCTCACTCTGTGCAAGCCTACCCTCTGGTGCTCTCCCGGTTAGGATGATCGTCCCTGCTTTACCAGGTGGGGAAACTGAGGCTCGGCCTGGCAGTTACGGGCCTCCCCTGTACCAGCTGCTGCAGGTCCGGTCTCATTTCACCAGGGAAGGATGTGTGCCCAGGACGCTGCTCCCTGGGATGAAACGGGTTTGTTTTTTTCTCCCAGTATAGAAATAACCCTGCCTGGATGAGGGCAGGGAAGTAGAATAACATGAAACCGACAAGAACTCCCATCCTAAAACACCACTAACCACTGAGGGCGTTTTTCTGTCGTCTCTTGACTCTGGGTTTTTAGGGGTTTTTTATGTGTGTGTGGTGTTTTCTACATATTTGACTACTGGGAATAATATGGCATATTGCGTCCTGGTGCCCCTTCGCTGACAGCACAGGTGTCCCAGCTCCCTGCCTCCCCGGCTGCAGGGCAGGGCGAGGAGGGGAGGCCAGGGACATGCGGGCCTGGTACCTTCCAGGGCAAGAGGGACGTCATCCCCGTGGGCAGAGCAGGAAATGGAGGAATGTTGAGTTCCCTGCACCCGCTGTCACCGTCACAGCTGGCCCCACCTCAGCCGGGACACCCTGCCTGGGCCACTCCAAGTGACTGTCACAACCCGAGAGCCTATGGCCAAGATGAGCTCCACCAAGTAAAAATGGTGGAGTGTGGGGAAAAGCAAGAGAGATCAGAGTGTCACTGTATCTGTGTAGAAAGAAGTAGACATGGAAGACTCCATTTTGTTATGTACTAAGAAAAATTCTTCTGCCTTGAGATTCTGTGACCTTACCCCCAACCCCGTGCTCTCTGAAACATGTGCTGTGTCAAACTCAGGGTTAAATGGATTAAGGGCGGTGCAGGATGTGCTTTGTTAAACAGATGCTTGAAGGCAGCATGCTCGTTAAGAGTCATCACCACTCCCTAATCTCAAGTACCCAGGGACACAAACACTGCGGAAGGCCGCAGGGACCTCTGCCTAGGAAAGCCAGGTATTGTCCAAGGTTTCTCCCCATGTGATAGTCTGAAATATGGCCTCGTGGGAAGGGAAAGACCTGACCGTCCCCCAGCCCGACACCCGTAAAGGGTCTGTGCTGAGGAGGATTAGTAAAAGAGGAAGGCATGCCTCTTGCAGTTGAGACAAGAGGAAGGCATCTGTCTCCTGCCTGTCCCTGGGCAATGGAATGTCTCGGTATAAAACCGGATTGTACGTTCCATCTACTGAGATAGGGAAAAACCGCCTTAGGGCTGGAGGTGGGACCTGCGGGCAGCAATACTGCTTTGTAAAGCATTGAGATGTTTATGTGTATGCATATCTAAAAGCACAGCACTTAATCCTTTACCTTGTCTATGATGCAAAGATCTTTGTTCACGTGTTTGTCTGCTGACCCTCTCCCCACTATTGTCTTGTGACCCTGACACATCCCCCTCTCGGAGAAACACCCACGAATGACCAATAAATACTAAAGGGAACTCAGAGGCTGGCGGGATCCTCCATATGCTGAACGCTGGTTCCCCGGGCCCCCTTATTTCTTTCTCTATACTTTGTATCTGTGTCTTTTTCTTTTCCAAGTCTCTCGTTCCACCTTACGAGAAACACCCACAGGTGTGGAGGGGCAACCCACCCCTTCAGTGGAGCCAACAAGGATGCTGCAGAGCACAGCTCCATCACCACCTGCATTCATCCATTCATCCTTCATTCATTCATTCCTCAATCTTGTGTCTGGTCCTACTTTGTGCCAGGCTCCAGGCACCAGGAAGAAAGCCCTGGGCCCTGCCCACAGGAAGAGACAGTCACAACCCGAGGTTCCCAGGCCAGGCCTGCGAGGTGCTCCCTGCCCCGCCCCAGGTGTTATTTTTGGAGGAGGCGGTGGGGGCCTCCCAGGGAAGTGAGAGGTGCCGAGAAACAGCACAGGCCACTGCACCGGCCACAGCCCCAGGGGCCCAGGCCCAGGCAGGGCTTGCAGCAGAGACAGCCCCAGATGATGGGGTTCCTGACTGAGCTCTCCTCCATGCTGACAGCTACTGAAAATGGCAAATCCATAGGCACTAGAGATGGTCCCACTGCCACCAACAGTCCTCAACCCCAGGCTGCAGGAGAGATGCTCAGAACCTGCTGGGCCAAGCCCCTGGCTGTCACCTGGGGCAGCTGCTGCACGGAAGCCACAAGAGAGGCACAGCTGGGAGGCACAGACCCAGGCCCTGCACCCCGACCCACCTCACTCAGGCCTCCGCTCCGGGCTTCCCCAACGGTGACCTCCCCAAGCTCCTGCCCACCCTCTGCGCCAGACTGCTCCTTCCCAGGGTGACCACCTCTCAAGCTGTTCCTCTCACCACCCCTTTCACACCCCATTCTGCTGCAGGCCTGAGCTTTCAGGGCAGGCTCTGACCCCTGCCCCTCCCTACCAGGGAGCCCAGGGCACAGAGGCACCAAGCACCCCGTGACCGTCTGGACGGAAGAAAGAGTAAGCAGTGCAGAGGCTGGACTGTGCACCACGTCCCCTATCTTGTCCTGACTCCCAGAACCTCCAAACGTGACCTGATTTAGGAAAACGGTCTTTGCAGATGTAACTGAGGTAAGGACCTCAAGAAGAGGCCATCCCAGGTTAGGGTGGGCCCCGAATCCAATGACCAGCATCCTCTTAAGAGACAGAAGAGGAGAGAGGCACAGGGATGAGGCCCTGAGAAGATGAAGGCAGAGGCTGGCCAGCCAAGGAGGGCCCAGAGCCGCAGGAGGTGGGGGAGGCAGGGGGACCCTCCCCTAGTGCCTCTGGAGGGAGGGGCTGCAGCCCTGATGTCCCTGAGAATTCGGACCTCTGGCCTCCGGAACTGGAGGAGAATGCACGTTTGTTGTCCAAAGCTCCTGAGTTTGTGGTCATTTGCTGTGGCAGCCACAAAGCACACAGTGAGAGCCGGGAACACGGGTGCCCCCAAACCTTACAACCGCCAGGCCCTCGTCTCTGAGGCATCCTCTTTGCCATCGCCCCTGCCCCGGGGCTACCGCTCATTGTTCCACTCTCTATCAGGAGAAAGAACTGTGAAAAAGCAGCAAATGAACCAAGCTGGGGCCGACAGTCCAGCGGATCCCAGCAAGACAACGCGTTCCCAAAGGCATCGCTGCAGGTGCACTGTGAGGTCAGGGCGCCCTCCGGGACCAAGCTGGGCCAGAAAGTTCTTATCTGTGGGGGTTTTCATCATCTCTCAGTTTAAATTCTCAATCTTCCTGCCTGCACTGGCCACCTGCTCCTTGGTCTCTGGCAAGGTCTCCACACTGGACAGAGGCCCAGGGGAGCTGGGGGACCCCACTGGAGCCTCACTCCCTGCAGGCTGACCCTGAGTGCCGGCCACGGGAGCCTCTGACTCCCACATGCATGGGAGGAGTCATGAAAGTGGCTCCTCAAAGCCTCTCCCCCAAATCATGTCTCCGCTTAATAGCGGCCGCCAATTATTTCCCAAGCCAGGGGATCAAGGACTTATCTGCGGAGAAAACGGGAAGTAAAGTGCATTCTTTTCCTGTTCACTAGGAGTCAGTGAACGCCCTGCTGACTGGCACAGAAAAGGGAGGTGCCCAGTATCCAGGCCAGGCTCTTTCCTCCCCCAGCCCCGGCATGTGGCGCTTTGTCTGCCTGACTCTGTAATACCCTTTGTGGAACGCAGGAGTCCCGAACCCAGAGAGGAGCTGCAGCCTCCCTGAGGGAAGAAGAACTCTCATAAGTAAAGCTCAGGGACCACCTACTCCACACTGGCTGGTGCCAGGCTCCCCGGGGACAGAGCCAACGGGGCAGGAGGCCGTCATGGGAAGGGTGCTCGAGCCGGCCTTGGAGAAGCCCAGGAGGATGGTGAGCACAGAGGCAGGAGGGCGTGCTTGGAGAGGAATGGTGACCACAGGTCTGCCGCCTTGCAATGCGACGCCTGCCTGGGAGCGCAGGTGAGGGAGCAGGGGCCTCCACTGGCCCACACCCGGCACACATCACGGGCGGCCCCAAGCTCTCCAGGTGGGAGCTGCTGAGCGCTTTTAGTTAGCCCAACACGGACCAAGGCCACCTCGGCTTCATTCACCAAGCGGTCCCCAAGAAACAATCACTGCAGTCCAACAGAATAGTCAACCTTTTGATCTCAGAGGAGTGTCCATTAAGAGTAGGGTTCCTCACTCTCAGAGCAGACCTCCCAGGGACCCCCGGCCAGGACTCAAGCCGGCCAATGAGGGCTGAAGCTTCGGCCTGTGGCCAAGACACCATGGGCAGTGGAATGAGCAACGTGCAGTTTTGCACCCAGAAACTGGTCAGGCTTCTGATGGGAACGGAGGTTGGGAACACCAGCATCTGGGGCTGCAGACCAGAGGGCCCTGGAATCCCCTTCTCCAACCCAGTCGGGTTTCAGTGACCCAAGGTCAGAGGCATGGAGGGAGCCCTTTCCCACCCCCCGCTCAACAGGAACACAGCTGCTTCACCTCTCTGGGGTCTATAATGCCCTCTGACCTCACAAAGACCCACGGGGCTGGTTTGGGAGGCCCAGCCCAGGTGCTCCAGTCCCCAGAGCACGCATAAGCCTCAGCCAGTTTTACTTCCCATTGCAAACCCCTAGCCGGTTTGCCTGCGAACTCCCAAGCCAGCTGCAGAAAAGACACAGGACACAACCACGGCCCAGTGGCTCAGGGAGAAGACCCGGGCTTGCATGATGTACACCAGGGAGCCCACAGGAGCAGAGTGGCCCCTCGTTCTGGTGGCCACGCAGGCCTAGGCTGGGAACAGGGAGACCCTCACCGTGAGCCTCATCCACCCAGAGGGTGCCCCCACCCTGACTCCTCACCCCACGGTGGCCCCTGCCAGAACCCAGCATCATCCCCCATGCCGGGTGCTGGGGACCCTCTTCCTGAATGGTCCTCAGCCACCACCATCCCCACCTTGATGGCCTCATGGAAGCCAGAGGCTTAGCACTGACATAGCAAAGCCAGCTGGCTCAGCACTGGGGGTGGAGGGAATGAGCAGACAGAACCCCACAGGAGTTCCAACCCCACCCTGCCCACCAGCTCCTCTATGGGACCCTCCTGGGCACAGAGGGGGATGAAGGGGTAACAGGTAAGGATCTCAAGATGAGGCCACCCAGGATCAGGGTGGACCCCAGATTCAATGACCAGTGTCTTCTGAAGGCAGGAGGGAGATGCAGGGAAGCCCCATCTTCTAGGAGGGCCTGGACTTGAGCTCCACACTCAAGTTGGCCAGCAGAGTCCAGCCATGCCCACAAGCAGCTCTCAAAGTGGCAGTCCCCTGTCAGCTGGGGTAACCAAGGTAGGCTTTCTATCCAGAGGCAGAGGGGTGCGGGTGTCCCTGCAGAGAGGAGCTGGTGGGAGGAGCTGGGTCCTCCCTACTCCCCTGGGTCTTGAGGGGCTGCTCATCCCCCAGCCCAGGGCACCTGGGCTGCTGCGGGGGTCCTGCAGATCAGGGTACCCTGGGACGCCCACCCAGGCCTGGCTCCAGCTCTCCAAGCACAGTTAGCAGAAGCCCCTCCCCGCCCCACCCCCCACAAAGCTCCCGGTGCTGGGACTCGGGGGGCTGTGAACACCAACATTTTAGTGATAATTTCATCAACATTAAGGAAATTGAAAGCACCATTTGATTTGAGCTCTACCGAGTGCATTAATTCCTTGAATGGTTTTCGAGATATCATTGTTTGATTTTGCAGGTTTCAACTTTCCCTTTTATGTTATTAAGAGTATCTTTTCTGCTTCAAAACCACATTGAGCGCTTGGCTCCATTCCTAGGTTTTCCCCAGACCTCTGACCTTCCTCCCTCCTGAGGTTCTTTCATGGCTGCTAAAAGTCTTCTTTTTCCAGAGCAAATTTTGCAAATCTCAATTTCGCCAAGAGGTTTGACTTTTCATCCACTTTAGTCAATAATGTGATTGGGTACAGCTTTATTAACAGTCACTTTTATTTTGGACTGATTATTTCTACCAATAAGCATCTTAGAACTTAATTAAAGGTGGTCATTATGTCTTGGAGCAAAGGCCCTTTGCACGGAAACTGGGATGGTGCCCGGCAGAACTCGGGGTCGAAGCTACAAGAGCTTCCCCAGGACCCAGCACCAGGAGGCTCTGTGAAGACAGTATTCCTCTAGTAAGTATCAATTAATGATCAGTCAATCAGGGATCGGAGCCCTCAGCAGAGTCAGCAGCCCAGGATTACTAGCACGGTCAGGAAGACCCAGGAAACGCCACTGACCAGAACCAAGGGAGAGAGGGCACGGAGGCCATCAAGCAGGGAGGGCTGGGGGCACCCAGGGTGGGCAGAGACGGTGCAGCCTGTCCTCATAAGCTGGCTCGCTAAGGGTGTGTGTCAACAGAGAGCCTGCACGTGAGCTCCACACTCCAAGTCGGCCAGCAGGGTCCAGTCGTGCCGACAGGCAGCTCTCAGGGTGGCTATCCCTGTGTTGGGGGTAACCAAGGTAGGCTTTCTACACAGCAGGGCTGTGGGCATCCAATCAAAAGGGCTTGGTCTGGTCAACTCCAGAACTTCCAAGCACCAGAAAGCCATTGAAACAAGAATATAAAACGCCACGTTGTATCACATCCAAGGACTGTCACACGTGAAACATGGCATGATTTTATGTATCGCCAGGGGAAAAAATGCCTGTGAAACTCTAATTATGCCTCTGATTACAAGGCTTCCATGACCCACTCTGGCTTCAGAGATGTCAGAACATGCAAGGAAAACTATGTCATCTTGGAATCAATGAAATAAAGTACATGGAAAACCATTTAGGATAGGCAAGGATATGAGAAAAGCTGAGTCCTAAATGGAAAGTATAGCACAGCCCAGTTCTGTAAATCAAACAGGAGTGACCACAATTAAATGTAAATAGCTCTCCTCTAGGTGATAAGAAGACTAGTAAACTTTAAAAAAAATTATTCATTCATATATATATATATATATATATATATACATATATATACATATATATAAATGAATAGGCCAGGTATGTTGGCTCATGCCTGTAGTCCCAGCACTTTGGGAGTCCAAGGTGCAGATTATGTGAGCCCAGGAGTTCAAGACCAGTCTGAGCAACATGGCAAAACCCTGTCTCTACAAAACATACAAAAATTGGCCAGGCGCAGTGGCACACGCCTGTAGTCCCAGCTACTAAGGAGGCTGAGGCAGGAAAATGGCTTGAGCCTGGGAGTTCAAGGCTGCAGTGAGCCCTGATATATATATATATACACATATGTATATACACACACACACAAATACATGTATTTACATTTGTACAAATATATACACACAAATATATGTATTTACATTTGCATAAATATATATAATACACATATTTATGTATATAACATATATAATTTTGCATGCGTATGCTTTTTATAATGGATGTCATATATGTATAATGAAAAATACATTTTAGCACAACATAAAAATTATAGGCCAATACCCTAACGAACATAGATGCAAAAATCATCCACAAAATCCTAGCAAACCAAATCCAACAACACAATATAAAGACCCCTTACCATGATCAAATGGGATTTATCCCAGGAATGCAAGGATGGCTCAACATACAGAAATCAATAAACATGATATATCACATCAACAGAAGGAAGAACAAAAACCATATGATCATCTCAACAGATGCAGAAAAAGCATTTGATAAAATTCAATATCATTTTGGGATAAAAACCCTCAAAAATCTAGGTACAGAAGGAGCACTCCTCTACACAATAAAGGTCATACATGAGAAACCCATAGCTAACATTATACTGAATGGGGAGAACCTGAAAGCTTTTTCTCTAAGAACTGGAACAAAATAAGGGTGCCCACTTTCACCACTCTTATTCAACGTAGTACTAGAAGTGCTAGCCAGACCAATTAAACACAGGAAAGAAATAGAGGGCCTCCAAATTGGAAAGCAGGAAGTCAAACTGTCCCTGTTTGCAGACATGATCTTAGATATAGAAAACCCTAAAAGCTCCACCAAAAAAACCTAGAACTGATAACAAATTCAGTAACATTGCAGGATACAAAATTAACATATAGAAAACAGTAGCATTTCCATACACCAACAATGGACTAGCAGAATAAAAAAAAAATCAAGAAAGGCCAGGCACAGTGGCTCATGCCTCTAATCACCGCACATTGGGAGGCCAAGGTGGGCAGATCACCTGAGGTCAGAAGTTTGAGACCAGCCTGGCCAACATGGTGAAACCCCATCTCTAAAAAAAAAAAATAATAATAACAAAAGTTAGGCAGGCATGATGATGGGAACCTATAGTCCCAGCTACTAGGGAGGCTGAGACAGGAGAATCATTTGAACCCACGAGATGAAGGTTGCAATGAGCCAAGATCATGCCACTGCACTCCAGCCTGGATGACAGAGCGAGACTGTCAAAAAAAAAAAAAAAAGTCAAGAAAGCAATACCATTTATAACAGCTACAAAATAATTAAAATTTCTAGGAATAAATTTAACCAAGGAGGTGAAAGATCCCTACAAGAGAAACTGTAAAACACTGATTAAAAAAATTCAAGCAGTCACCAAAAATGGAAGACATCCCATGTTCATGCATTCGAAGAATTAATAATTTGAAAATGACCACACTACCAAAATATCTATAGATTAAATGCAATTCCTATCAAAATACCAATGACATTCTTCAAAGAAATAGAAAAAACAATCCCAAAATACATATTGAAAACACAGAAGACCCTGAAGTGCCAAAGCAATCCTGAACAAAAACAACAAAGCTGGAGGCATCACACTACCTGACTTCAAAACACACTACAAAGCTACAGCAACAAAAGCAGCATGATACTGGCATAAAAACAAAACACATACCTAGACCAATGGAATAAAACAACCCAGAAATGAATCCACACATTTACAGTCAACTCATTTTCAACAAAGGCACCAAGAACATTCAGTGGGGAAAGAACAATCTCTAATAAATGGTGATAGGTAAACTGCATATCCATATGCAGAAAAATGAAACTAGACTTCCATGTCTCCCCATATGCAAGAATCAAATCAAATGGGATTAAAGACTTACCCATAAGACCCAAAACCATAAAACTACTGAAAGAAAACATTGGGGAAATGCTTCCGGACATTGGTCTGGGCAAAGATTTTTTGGGTAAAACCTCAAAAGCGGACAGAACAAAACGAAAAATAGACAAATGGGATTACATCAAGCTAAACGCCTCCACACAGCAAAGCAAACAATCAACAGAGTGAAGAGAAAACCTACAGGATAGGGGAACAAATCTGCAAACTATTCATCCGACAAGGGATTTTTAATAACCAGAATACATAAAGAACTCGGTCCAGCGAGGTGGCTCATGCCTATAATCCCAACACTTTGAGAGGCCGAGGCGGGAAGATGGCTTGAGGCCAGGAGTTCGAGACTGGCCTGTGCAATATGGCGAGACCCCGTCTCTACAAAACATACAAAAATTAGCCAGGCGTGGTGGCACGCACCTATTGTCCCAGCTACTTGGGGGCTGAGGTGAATCACTTGAGCCTAGGAGGTAGAGGCTGCAGTGAGCTGTGATCACACCACTGCACTCCAGCCAGGTGACAGAGCAAGATCCTGACTCAAAAAACATAAAAAATTTAAAACTTTAAAAAAAAAAAGTCAACTTAATAGCAGGGCCGAGCACGATGGCTCATGCCTGTAATCCCAGCACTCTGGGAGGCCGTGGCGGGCAGATCACTTGAGGTCAAGAGTTTGAGACCAGCCTGGCCAACACCGTAAACCCTGTCTCTACTAAAAATACAAAAAATCAGTTGGGCTTGGTGGCGGGCGCCTGCAATCCCAGCTACTTGGGAGGCTGAGGCAGGAGAATTGCTTGAACCCAGGAGGCAGAGGTGGCAGTAAGCCAAGATTGCACCACTGCACTCCAGCCTAGGTGACTGAGCAAGACTTTGTCTCAAAAAAAAAAAAAAAAAGCAAATAGTAATGATAATAATAATAATCTGATTTTTAAACGGGTAAATAATCTGTTATTAAGACATTTCTCAAAAGACATACAAATGGCCAACGGGCATGTGAAAAAATGCTCAACATCACTAATCATCACAGGAATGCAAGCCAAAACCACAACGAGATACCATCTCACCCCAGTTATAATAGCTATTATCAACAAGAAATCAACAGATGCTGGCAAGGATGTGGAGAAAGGGGAACACTAGTACACTGCTGGTCAGAACGTAGACTAATACAGCCACTATAGGAAACAGTACAGAGGGTCCTCAAAAAACTAAAAAGAGATCTGCCTGATCCAGCAATCCTACCACCAGGCATGTAAACAAAAGAAAGGAAATCAGTGTTTGAGATATATCTGCACTCCCACCTTTACCGTAGCACTATTCACAATCAACCTAAATATCAGTGAATGAATGGATAAAGAAAATGTGACATATATACACAATAGAATACTATTCAGCCATGAAAAAGAATAAAATCCTGTCATTGCAGCAATGTGGATGGAACTAGAGGTCATTGTTAAGTGAAAAAAGCCAGACACAGAAAGCTAAATATCATATGGGCCGGGTGCAGTGGCTCACACCTATAATCCCAGCACTTTAGGAGGCCTAGGCTGGTGGATCACTTGAGGCCAGGAGTTTGAGACCAGCCCGCCCAACGTGGTGAAACCCCATCTCCTACTAAAAATACAAAAATTAGCCGGATGTGGTGGTGTGCACCTGTAGTACCAGCTACTCAGGAGGCTGAGGCAGGAGAATGGCTTGAACCCACGAGGTGGAGGTCGCAGTGAGCCAAGATCACACCACTGCACTCCAGCCTGGGCAACAGAGGAAGACTCTATAACCAAAAAAAAAAAAAAAAAAAAAAAACCTAAATATCATATGATGTCTCTCTCATATGTTAAAGCTAAAAAAGTTGACCTCATGGAGGGACAGAGTGGAATGATGGACATCAGAGACTGGGTGGGGCGACAGGAAAGTGAAGAGAGATTGGTTAATGGGGGCAAACATGCAATTAGACAGGAACGAGTCCTAGTGCTCAGAAGCACGGCAGGAGGATTACAGTTAACGATAACTTCTTGCATATTTCAAAATAACTAGAAGAGAGGACGTGAAATGTTCCCAACACAAAGAAATGCCACATGTTTGGGATCATGGGCATCCTAATGACCCTCATTTCATCATTACACACGGTATATGTGTATTAAAGTGTCACACATACCCCATAAACAATGGCATATGTGTATCAAAGTGTCACACATACCCCATAAACAACGTACAATTATTATGTACCAATTAAATAAATAAATAATACATTTGAAAAGGTTGTGGGGGGGAAAAACACCACCAAAAGGCAAGAGAGGCTCAGAGATGCAGTTGTCAAAGCTCTGGTACCACCCATGCACCAGGCAACATGAAGAGGAAGAGAAACGCGCTCGGGGCCAGTCCCATGGTCCCCAGGGTCCCTACCCATGGGGCCATCCCCGGGGGCCTGGACAGAGCTGCCGGTCCTCTAGAGCCTACACGACCCGGGCTCTGGGGCTGCCTGGGGACATCCTCCAGCCACACACTGACCCATCACAGAGCCTTGTAGCCGGGAGAGAGAGCCACCATCGGCCTCTGCCTCTCGTGCAGCTTCAGACCATGGCACTGTCCTCTGTCAGCCCTGGGCTCACTCCTGGGACCTGCCGGGGTAGGGCCCTGTCCCCAGCTCAGATCTGGAGGGTGTCTCGAGACCCCCGGCTGGCTGGCTCAGCGGCTCGCGACAGCACAGCCACCCTCGGTTGCAGCAAATGTGCCTCACTGAGAACCACCACGAGGCTATTTCCCGATTAAAGCTTTAACAGATCAATAGCAATAAGTGAGTCCCCCAAAAATCAATCTAAGGCAGTGCCCTTTTCTAAGAAAAACCACTCTTTCCACAGGCAAAAACCACTTAAAAATAAGAGACAACTGTTTTGGGTTTTGAGGCAGTTTGGCCGGGTGTCGGTGAAAGCCGTCTAGTTGCCTGAGATGAATCCCACATGCCGGGATTCACACTTCCCCCGAGAGCTGGATTCCACCGTGCCCGCCGGGCCTGCGAGGACGAGAGCTGGATTCCACCGTGCCCGCCGGGCCTGCGAGGACGAGCCTCTGCACCTGCTTCCCTCCTGCCGGATGAACTGCGGCTTCTCACGGCTGCGCTGCTGGCATGGTAGAGAATACAACGAACAGGGAAGGAGGGAGGATCTGGAATTCAGTCTGTGCCAATCAGACGTCTCTCTCCAGGGATCTGACAGTGCCAGAGGCTGCTAAGTTTGGTCACTCCCAGGCTGGGGCCAGACCCACCAAGACCACTGACCTCCCACCTTCAAGTCCAGCAAACCTGGACACCAACCAGCATCAGCACCACTGAGACAAGAAGCCTGAGGCCAACCAGGGAACCTCAGGGGTGGAGCTGAAACACCCCAACCCTGACCAGAGCGGATTCCAGGAAGGCTGCTGGGAGAACCCAGACATCCCTGCAACCTTGGCCAGTGGGGGACTTGAACCCCTAGGGCCAACTCCAGATGAGCCCCACTGTCCATCGCACTGCTCAAGCCTGACCCCAGAGCACCCTCTTCATCACCCAAGTCCAATCCACCCCAAGCCCACCCACTCCTCCTGCGCTCCAGCGGGGCCGTCCATCTCTCTCCATTCCCACTTCTCTCCCCACCCCCCAGCCTGGACACCCCCATCTGCCTCTGCCCCAGCCTCTGGGGCTCCAGGCCTCCCTCTCCAGGTGTCCCTGTAGTGCAGACACAGTGGAGCTTTCCAAAGCCAAATCTGAGCACGCCACATCTGCACCAACCCTGCCCAGGGTTCCC
The DNA here is from genome assembly GCF_000001405.40 of Homo sapiens. NCBI lineage: Eukaryota > Metazoa > Chordata > Mammalia > Primates > Hominidae > Homo > Homo sapiens. The sequence goes on from NC_000009.12 coordinate 133,969,934, forward strand.
TGGCACACCCAGGATGAAGCCGGCCCTGCCTCCCTGCAGCCTTCAAGGCAGTGACTCAGAGTTCCTGCCACCCCCCAGACGTGCAGGGTGGTCTGCACCCCCTGGCCTCAGCACCCGCTGCTCCTGCCATCCTGGTCCTCCACCCTCCCTGCCCACTCAACAGCTCCCACAATGGCCACACTCCTCCCGCTCCCCTCAGACTCTGCAGGACTCCTTGAAGGAGAGACCGAGTCTCAACCATCTCTCCCTTGCCCCAAGGGCCAATCACTCACAAGTGCCAGGTCCTCAGCTCCCTGGGCACAGGAAGGCCTGGGGAAGGGCCCCACCCGATGACCCCACACAGCAAGCGATGTGAGGAAAACCCCCGCCCGCCATGTCTTGAAAATACAAGTCTCGTAAAAAGGCAGTTTCCCAAGCGGAGGCTGGGGGATGGCACCACGTTCGGTGCTTGCTGGGAGCCAGGGACCTTGGCCCACACGAGGCCACCGAGGCTCACGGGACCTCACCAGACCTCACCTGACCACCCCCACAGCCCGTTCTACAGAGGAGCCCACAGAGGCGTGGCAGTGGCGATCACGAGGCTGTCCACGGCACCCACAGCCCTGTGGTTGGTGTACCTGGTCCCTTTGACAGACACATGTGGGGCTGCAGAGATGGAGGTGGCTCCTTCCCTGGGCCCAGCCTTGCTGGCCCAGCACCTCCAACTTCGAAGCCCAGCCCCAGCCTCTGGCCTAGCTACCAACAAGAAAGCTGCCTCTCCTCAGGCCCCAGGGGCAGGCAGCAGAAAGCCTCGGGCCTGTCACCTGCCCCACAGCCTCTCGTGTCAAATGGTCTCGTCTGTCCATCTGCAGGGCAGCCCTGAACTAGCAGGCCACTCCTCAATCACAGTAAATGCAAACGGCTTCTGTACTCTTGCTTTAATCTACAGCCTGGCTCTCCCTGGTTAACAGATGTTTCGTTTAAGCAGCTAAATTACCACAAAATACACCCAAAGAGATGACAGGCCAATTTCTCCCAAGGTTCATTTGCATGAGAAGGGAATGGTGTGTGAAAATTCTATCTTTTCCTTTTTGAAATAAAAAATATATATATATTACAGGTGCAAGTCACAGTATCTCAGGAGCCCGCGGTGCCTCCTGCGGGGAGTGGGGACACCAAGGTCTGGACCGGGAAGCCCCGGGTTCCACTCCCACCATCGCTTCCCCCAACGAAGTCAGGCAGAGTCCGTGTGCCCTCTGACCCTCAGTCTCCAAAGCTTGCAGATGGAACAGTCGTAACTGCTGCTGTGAGGCCTGTCGGGGGCAGGGAAAGCCCTCTGGGGGTCAGACCCACTTGGCCCCTCGGTGTTTAACTGATCCTGATCGTCACCATCTGGGTCGCCACGGCAGCCCAGGGGCAGCCGCAAGCAGGCACCGTGGGACCGGTGACTCCACTGTGCCCCAGGAACCCAGGAGGGGGCCACATGTTCTACGCCAATGACTCTCTAGCCTAGAAACTGTCCTGGCCAGGCCCACGGCCCACACACACACAGAGGGGCAGCCCAGGAGCCAGCCCACCCCTCCCAGGCCACCAGACGGCAACACCAGAGAAAGGCTGGGGGGCCTGAGCTGCTCCACTGGGGAGGTGAGTCGTGACTGTGACACTGGCCTCCTGCCCAGGCCACCCATTTCATACTGCAAAGGACAACCATGGCCAGCATGTGGAGGCTGCTGACATGAAGGGTCAAGGCCAGCGTGGGAAGGAGCAGGGCAGGACAGGGGCCCCAGGAGCTGGTCCAGGGTGTGGGCTGAGCCAGTCACGGGTCCCCAGCTGTCAACAAAACCCACAGCCTGGGGCCACCTGCACCACCCGGGTCCTGAATCACAATGGGGAGGCGGCCAGGGCTTCCCCCAACAGAAAGGGCAACTCCTGGTCCAACAGCATCCCCGTAGAGTGCACAGACCTCTGCAGGCAAAAAAGGCCCCTGGGGCTGCAGATCCCCGAGCCCTTGGTCACTTCAAAGGGCAGAAAACAACCTCAAGGAAGTGGACGGCATGGCCCGGATTCACCAGAGATGCAGATAGGCACAGAAGGGAAGTCTTCTGCCCCAGGTCACACAGCGCGGATGCAGACCAAGCCCCAATTCCTGTCCCCAAAGGCCATTCTGATTCATCCATAGCCACACACACCCACACACACCCCAAAGTCCCAAGAATTCATGCTGCCAAGAATTCGGGCCGCACAGATCAGCCAACCCATAAAACACACACATGACTGCTTCGAAAGGTGAGGTTTATGGCCTGGATTTATTGACGTGGTTTTTCACTCCCAGATAAGGCACCTGTCCTCAGCGGGCACGCCCCTCAGCTCCCGCTAACTAAACAGTCAGGAATTGCTGGGCACCCGTCCGTCCGACCCTTCTCTAAGAACATCTCCAGGCTTGCAGCCCAGGCGCTGCGATGCTGGGGCAGGGCAGGGGTGGGGGAGGCTCCAGGAACACACTGCGTCATTAGCTAATGCAGAAAAATGGAGATTCACCCAAAGAAAGCAGCGGAGAGCCCATGTCATTATTAAAGGCAAACACTCTTTGCCGCTGGCTCCCGCAGACACATGTAGCCGAGGGGCGGCCCGCCTCCTGCAAGCCTGAGCCCCCCTGAGAAACATCTCCTTAAGAAACAGAAGAGGGAACTTGTCACCCAGAGCATGGAGCACAGACAGTCAGAGTCATCGGCAGGGCCTCCCGCAAGAGTCCTCACAAAGCAGATCCGAAGGCAGCGGAGGCTCTTGCCACTCACTCCAGCGAGGGGAACCTGACTGCAGACACCCGCCCAAGCCCTCCTCCCACCCACTCCTGGAGGCGTCAGGCAGAAATGATGGCCCCACTTTACAGATGAGGCAACCAAGGCCCAGGCATGATGCAGGTGGCCCGAGATCTCACGTGCCCACTGGACCCATCTTCCTTCATCACTTAACCTGAGTTAGGCACTGGCTACTCCCATGATGAGGGGTGTCTCACAAGTCCATGGAGAAGCTCCCCATCACCACTTTGAAGATGCTAAGGGAAGGGTGGGAGGCGGAGGAGGAGGGCACTGGGGAAGCCGTTGCCTGGAACACCAACCAGCCTCCCTCCTGGAGAGAGATGGGAACGGTAAGGAATCCCCAGGGAGCCCTGCCTTGGTACCAAGGCAGCGGGCAGTGAAGACCCAGTGCCACGGAGGGCCCAAGGAAGGTCCATGGGCACAGGGGATCTGCAAGCCCCCCTGTCTGCACACAGTTGAAGAGACCTCAATGCCACCATCTGTCTGGCATCTGGCCCGCCTGGCCCAGCGCTCAGCCCGCCCAGAGCGTCAACCCCCTGCATCCTCACACCCACTCTGCACAGGAAAAACTGGCGCTGTACCGCGAAACTCGGAGTTCAGAAACGTGCCAAAGTCCCACAACCAGGAAAGAACAGGCTTCTTCTGGTGTATGGTAACATCAGCCTCCCTCCCATGACCCCCGGGCAGGACTGGAGAGTTATCCTGTCACCCCGGCATCCCTATGCCGCTGGCCTCTGGTCCTGACCCTGGAGGTGGGCTCTCCCCGGAAGGCCATCTGCAAAGGGCAGCGGTGCAGAAAACCACTCCCAGAGAGGAAGGAGACCCAAAGAAGCTGGCGCAGACGAGCTGACAGTGCCCAACCCACGCACGCCCTACAGAGAAGGAAGATGACTTCAAAATAACACGACACTCTCCCTCCCAATTCCAGTGATCAAGGTGGCAGGTGAGGAACCCTAGATACCCCGCACAAGGGTGACGCCCTCGCCCTTTGTCCCTGGGACATTGCCAGTGTGTGGCTACCCACGCCTACCCACCCATCAACACCCCCATCATGAGAAAGGACACCTGCGTGTCCCTAAAGAGGAAGACAAAATGCAGGGCCCCCCCAGGCCTTGGGATAAGCATCAAATTCCCACTCAGCTGACTGCTGGGAAAGAACCTCGGGGCAGAAAAACAACATGGCAATTCAGGAGGAAAATGAGGACGTGGAAGCAGGATCCAGCAGGTCAGAGTCCTGACCCCAGATTACCAGGCCAGGAAGGTGGGGGCTGGGGTGTTGTGAACCTGTTCCAGAACGCTCCCTTCACGCTCACCTGGCGCACTGTCACGCAGGGCTCAGCTAAAAGGTCACTTCCTCCAGGAAGCCCCAGACCCTGCCCCACCCACCCGCTGCCACATTCCTGGCAGGGCCCAGCGTCTCCTCACACTCCCTCCACACTGCCTGTGTGGTATCTGCCTGTGTCCTCCTGGGCCGCAAGCAGGGCTGCCTGTCTGCCCGGAGCCAGGCACGGGGTAGCGGTCAGTAACGCTTGCTGGGTGAGTGAATACCCAGGCCCACCACAACTCCAGCTCCCTTGCACAAGGGCCTAGACAGGGAGGTGGTCCCAGAACGGCCCACAGTGCCCCTCCAACCTCCAGCCTCCCCTTGAGGCAGCCACTCGCCGGGTGGGAGTGGACGTCAGGTGAGGTGACCAGGGCACAAAGCAGCACAGTCACATCAGCAGTGGTCTCCGTTTGCTACCTGCTTTTGCGCTGGGCCAAACACACACCTGCACCCTGTGTCAGGTGTGACCACTCCACATCCACCCGGGGGACGGGGAGTGCACCACCTTCCTACTGTGGAAATGGGTAAACTGAGGCTCAGAAAGGTGGAGCAAGTTGCCCAAAGGCATGAGCAAGCTACAGTTTCCAAGCTGGACTTGGAAACAGCTCCCTTAACGTGGTCCTCTTCCTCACTGTGCCATTCACCCACTCAGAAAATCCACACACTCCCTGCGCCCTGCACCCAGCAGTGCGCCGCGGACAGATAGGTCACGCCCTGCACCCAGCACTGCACCATGGACAGACAGGTCAGCACACAAGGCTTCTGCTTCCAGGACTTCCAGACAGGACACTCACTTTTCTGACTGGCCCCCGAAGTCTTCCAAGAACCTCCAATCTCTCAGGCCAACAGTTTCCCTCAAGGTCTGTACCTTGTGGTACCGTGGGGAGCGGGCCTCACCCACCCTCCTGCAGGGCCTTCCACGTGATTCATGCCCCTGGCAGAACCCAGCGTGCGTCATGGCCCAGAGCGAGTGTGGTCCATCTCAAGGCCCTTTTTACGGCCTTTTCCTGCTGACGCCAACCAAGGCAGGTGAAAGCACCAACAGGCCGTTTCACAGAATGAAGGGAATGAAGGCCTCATTTCATCAACTCCTACCCCGAGGCAGAACCCATCCCCTTACTAGGAAAGGCAGGCACCCCAGCCTGCCCCGGCACCCCCGCCATGTCCATGGCCTCCCCCACCAGGAGCTAGGAGGGCTGGACACAAACCCATATCCTCGCTCAGTGCTCAGTGGGCCAAGCCTGTCACCCACAGCAGGAACTTGCTGGGTCAATGTTATCTGCCTCTCTCCCTCCCTACCTGGCCTCCCACACTTGGCTTACCTCCCATCTTGGGGTCTGTTTCTGGGGGGCCCAGCCTCAGAGCCTTACAAAACAGGATTAAATAAAACTTGCCAGCCCTGGGCAGAGACTGTCACTCACACAAACCCCTCAATTTTCAAAACACGACATGTATTGCGGAAAGTATTAGCAGCAGCAACAGCCCCAGTTTACAGATAAGGAAACTGAGGCTCAGAAGTGATGTGGCCAAAATCACACAACTGAGAAATGACAAAGGACACAAAGTCTAGCTCCCTCCAAAGTCTCTGAGCCCCCAGCCTGCCTGGCATGGCCAAGGGAAGCCCACACGGGGCTGCTCACCCAAGAACACAGAGGCACAGTGCCCTGGGTCCAAGAGAGTGTTGAGCTCTAAGAGAATATTTAAATATCTCATACCTGTATGTTCACCTTTATACCTATGCAGTCACAGAATAGAACTTTCAATATTTGTCAGGAGAGAGGGACCCAGGAAGGCAGACGGGTCTCCTCCAACCCTCCCACACTTCTTCTCTTGTCAGGGGACTTTTAAAAATGCTATGTTGGCCAGGCGCCATGGCTCACACCTGTAATCCCAGCACTTTGGGAGGCTGAGGCGGGTGGATCACGAGGTCAGTAGTTCAAGACCAGCCTGGACAAGATGGTAAAACCCCATCTCTACTAAAAAAAAAAAGAAAATACAAAAATTAGCCAGGCGTGGTGGTGGGCACCTGTAATCCCAGCTACTCGGGAGGCAGAGGCAGAGAATTGCTTGAACCCAGGAGGCGGAGGTTGCAGTGAGCGGAGATCGCACCACTGCACTCCAGACTGGGTGACAGAGCGAGATTCCATTTCAAAAAAAAAAAATGCTATGTTGGCCGCCTCTAGGGTCATCCTCCCACAAGGGGATCCTTTCTGCAGCAGCTAGGTTAGGATGGGGTCCCTCAACCCCTGATGGAGGAGGCGACAGTGAGATCCTGAGTGGACTCTGGGACCAGCATCCTCTGGCCAGCAGTCCAGGGGGGCAGTCCCCCCAGCCCCGCCCAGCCCTGCCTCTCCTGGCCTCACCCTCGATGGAGGAGGAGACAGTGAGACCCTAGATTGGAGCCCTAGTAAGAAGATGGGCTCTGCCTCGGGGTTGCAGTTGATGAAACGAGGCCTTCATTCCCCACAAGGGAGAGGCTATTTATTTTAATTGTGGTAAAGTACACACAATGCCACAAACCTTCCGCACTATGGAGTTGTGGAACTTTTTCATGCCTGGCAAACAGACCCCCAAGCCCCTGAGAACTCTCTCCCCAGCGCCTTCTCCCGGCAGCTACGCATCTGGCTTTCTGTCCTGCGACGGAGCTGCTATTCTGGACGTTTTAAGAGAATCACGTGGGACTTGTCTTTCAGGCCTGGCTTCCCCGCCTTAGCATTCCATTTTCCAGGTTCATCCACAGATATTCTACTGCATGGACGGACTCTGTGTGGATCCCCCATTCATCCACTGAGGAAGCCACTCCTTTTATCCCCATCCTACAGAGAAGGAAACTGAGGCTCCAGGAAGGTCAAGCTCAAAAGCACACAGTGTGAGCAGCTCCAGGACTCCAGCCTAGGTCCTAACCACACTGCCCTGTGCCTGGACACCCCAAGGCTGAAGGGGGTGCCTCTCCTACAGCCAGGGACTGCGGCCAGAGGGGAGCGACCACGCAGCGAGGCTGAGGTGCTGGGAGTTGCGGAGCCCAGCTCCAGGCCCAGGCCACGCCCAGCCGCCCTGCCCCAAGCCTGCCTCCTTCCAGCTCTGGAATGAAAACAAATAAAACCAAGAGGGACTTCAGGCAGAGTGAGGCCCCCCCAGCATCCCACGAGGACCTCCGGCATCCAATGGGTGCCTGGTGTCCATTTGAGGAGCAGCCCAGCAGCTGTAGATGGAACAGCTCAGATCTGAAGGGGGTCTTGGCTTTCACCAAAATGACTGCGGGATCATTTCTCTCTCCCGTCCCAGCAGAAAGATGAGCTGGGGCCTAGGGGAGGGAGGCACAGATGGCCCAGTCACAGAGGGCAGGAGGGTCTCAGGATGCGGCGCTCATGAGCATGAAGGACTAGAACCTTCCGCCACCCCAGGGGGCCTGGGACACAGAATGTTGCCAGACAAGGATTGTCTAGGCACCTTGTGCACCGGGGACACGTGGCAATGGCCCTGGGGCCAGTCACCCTCCACGCATGACAGCTGTCACTTACCCAGGCAAATGACATGACAGGCGGTCCATCCCCATCCACGACAGCTGTCACTCACCTGGCACCTCTGGTTCCTGACAACAGTCAGAGGTGGGACATTGGAGCTGCAGGCAAGTGTCCAGAGCCTGCCCCTCAACACGCAGCCTGCAGCCCCTGCCGGACGCCAACCACAGACACGCCAGAGAACAGAACAAGGCAGAAAAACCAAAACATAGGCCTCAAAACTCGGGGGAGCAGCCGAGGTCAAGGGGGCAGCACCTGAGTCAGGAAGGCCACGCCAAGTCCAGGTGGCTCAGTACCTCAGGCCTCTGCCCCTCAGCTGGCAAAGGGGATGGGGCGTCCACCTGCCCTGGGGCACGCAGCTCCCACGCCCCCTGCCTCTGGAGATGTCCTACGTGTATGCGTCCACCTGCCCTAGGGCACGCAGCTCCCACGCCCCCTGCCTCTGGAGATGTCCTACGTGTATGAGACAAATGTGATGATCCCAGAAATGTGGCTGAAAACTGGACACACATTCAAGACCAGGAGCGGGGAGGCACACGGTGTTCGAGGGTGAGGCCAGGACAGGCAGGGCTGGGCAGGGCTGGGGAAACTGCCCTCCCTGGCCCGCCGGCCAGAGGATGCTGGTCCCAGGGTCCACTAGGAGGATCTCACTGCCACCTCCTCCATTGCAGGCTGGGGGACCCTCTCCTACTCCAGCCACTGCAGAAAGGATCCCCCTGTGGAAGGATGACCCTGGAGGCAGCCAACACAGCATTTTTTAAAGTCCTTAACAACAGAAGACAGGCAGGCACCCCCTCCCCACCCCTATGCAGATTTCAAAGAACACAGGGCTGGGAGGCCTTGAGGAAACTTGGAGACGGGCTCCCCAATCCTGGGAAGGCCACAGCCCGCAAGCACCTGGCGGGTCACGGAAAGATACCGCGTGTTCGCGCTGCCTTTGAACCCAAAAGTACAAAACAAACCAACAGAAATACTGATGACTTCAGGGCCAAGCTGGCCTAGGGGACAAGGAGTAGGTCTGTGAGAATGATTTGTCTTCATCCTTACACAAACTCTGTAAAGACTGACAGATGAACCCCACAAAACAGAAACACTGTTTCCAGCAGCATCAGGATTGCAAAACCTGCAGCTGCCAGGCAGCAGGAGACCTAACTCAGGGGCGCAGCCGCTCAGTCTGGCCCAAAGTTCAAGCTCCCACTGCCCAGTCCTGTCCCCTCCACGGTCCTGTATTTGTCATTCTTGTTTATCTTTTGGATTCAGAAGCCAAACAGCGTCCCCAGCTCCAGGCAAAGAGTCCTTCAGAACACGAAGCTTCAGGGGACCAAAAACCGGGCACCTGAGCCTGGGGCTGGCCCCGGTGAAGAAGGGGGCTCATCAGAGCTGAGGGGGTCAGGGCAGGGGAGTTCGCTGGGTTTAGGGTCTCCTCCAGCCAGCTCCTGACCCCAGTGTGAGAGCAGGTCTGCAGGTCCCGGAGCGCCCACCCCAGCCGCGTCAAGTGGGCACATGGGGAGGGGCACTGAGGCTTCGGAAGAGCTTTCGTGCCAGGGGTGGTGGTGTCGGAGAGGCGAGCTCATGGCTCCACCCTGCAGGGGCTGGGAGACATGTCCGCCGAGCACTTCCCACTTGCCAGGCACCGGGCTGACAGCCGGGTCCTCGGCCAACCCTTGGGAGGGGCTCCTAAAATACCCCCTTTGACAGCGGAGAATGCAGGGTCCAGAGAGGCGCCACGGGTCTGCCACGAGGTGCTGAGCCAGGATCTGAACGCGGCTGTCAGAGGCTCAACGCTGTGTGTGCGGTCTCCACCCTAGGAATGTGTCGGCCGCTCAGTGCCCAACCACACACGAAGCCAGGCCCAGAGGAGATGGGTCCCCAGGCAGGGGCTGCATGAGGACGGCTCGGCTCCCAGGGCAGCAGGAAGGAGCGGACGCCGCAGCCGTCCGGAACTCGGACAGAGGATGTTGACAGGGAGGGAGGACAAGCAAATGAAGACTTCCTGCAGCAGAGACACAGAGCCCGGAGCCACGGCCGCCGGCAGGACAGGCAGCCAGGCACTAATCCGGGCCCGGCCCCGCCTCCGGCCATGTCCCAGAGCCCCACCACTGACCTCTGGCCCACGAGGACCTCCTGCTGTCAGCCTGCTGACTTTGCCAGGGCCCCGAGCTCCCCAACAGGCCCCAGCTGAACTCACTCAGCTGAAACGGCATTCGGGGAGCACAGGTGCTAGTGGTGAGGGGAAGGCGGCGCCAGCTGCGCACCCCACCGCCCTGTCACCTCATCAGGGAGCCTGCCGGCGTCACCTGAAGGCAGCCCTGCCTTCTGCCTGCCTTCTCTCTCTCATCTGAAAGTGCCATCTTCCTCTCTCCATTCATCCTTATTCTGTGCCCCCTCCAGAAAGCCAGCAACACCAAGCACAGGGTTTCTGCCTCTGCGGCTCAATGCCACGAGCCAGTGCGCGACACACAGAGTAGGGTGGAGAACAGGCTGGGCCACCAGCCACCCGGGAGCAGGAGGCCCAGGACCGGAAGCCATGTGGCCAGAGGGCAGAGCTGGTCAGCCCTGGGGCCATCTCTGGACTCAGGCACCTGGTTCTCTGTCTCCCAACCTCCCACCAACCCAAGGGGCCATTTTGCCGGTGGAGGGGGGAAGTGAATGGCGCTCCAGAGGCAAGAGACCTGCACGGGCTGGCACGAGGCCTCAACCCCCACACAGCTGCATGACCTCAGACTGGCCCGTCACCTGTCCCTCCTTCATCCATTAACCAGGGCAGAGCCGCCCCCACCTGGTGCTGCCCAGAGTCTTCCAAGGACCAGGGGAGGTGCCAGTGCTGGGCGGTCCTGAAACAAACCCACCCAGAATAGAGAAAGGGCATGTGTCAGGGCAGAGGGGCCCTGGCAACAAGATCTTTCCCCAGGGCACTGGGGTGCTGCCCCCGACCCTGACACCGCAGAGGCTGATCATCACCCAGCTGCCCGACCAGCCATGGGGCATGGCCACCTCTCTGGAACCTTCTATCACGCATCTCCCTGGGTCTCAGACTCATCATCTGCTGCAGGGAAACACCATCCCCTGCAAGGCAGAGGGAAGAACACCAAGCAGGTGGCCCAGTGCCAGCCAGGTCGAGCTCTGCAGTGAGCGGCAGCCGCTGCCTTATGTCTCTACTCATCAGAGCTGGTGGCATGCAGCTTCCTCTGCCCCAACTGCTGCTGGAACGCAGATTTCAAAAACTGCAACACCCCTTCCAGCAATGATCCAGGATGAAGCACTGTGGCAGCGCCTCCAGTCTGTGGCCACACAGAGCCCTCTCTGTAGAACAACCACCTGTCTCCAACCCTTAGCTACCAAAAGCCATCTACTTTTCAGGGCATCTCAAGTACCACCTCCTCCGGGAAGCTCTCCGCCATCACCCTGCCCCCAGGGATCTAAATACCTCATTTGCTGAGGACTAGCACAGCTTGCTGTTGACCCTGCCAACAGCAAAGCCTGCACGTGCCCCATCTTCGCCCAGTCAAACCCAGGAGGCCCTGGGGAGAAGCAGGAGACGGGGTGAGGCCCCTTCTTCAGCGTCCCGTGTTGCCAGCAGGTTTTCCTCACTCATGGTCCTCATGTGAGTATTAACAGCTCCCTTCCCCATCTCAGACTTAGGTGTTGTAGGACCATCTGGCTCACCTGATTCTGCTTGCCCCAGAATGCCTCCTTCTGCAGACAGGCACTAGTGACCACGACCACACCCCCCACTATACCCGTGCAGTGTCCAGGTGCGCCCAGCAGCGCGCCCAGGGCTTCACCTTCCACTTGGCGGCGAGAGGGGAGGGGAAGAGAGGTGGGTAGTGAGGCGGCAGTCTCAGGAAGAGAGCCACTCCCTCAGGCCGCCCGCTGCACTCTGCTCTGATGCTGAGGGAGGGCAGGCGGCGGGTGAGGGCCGGTGCCCTTCACTGGGAGTGAGCCGCCGGGCTCGGGGTGAGGGTGCCGAGTCCTGAGGCTCAGTGGGCCCTGCTGTGGGGTAGAAACTGCGCTGGGCGCCAGACACACACTTTTTGCACCAAATCTTTCCAAGAGTCTGCAAGGTGGCCACCGTCATCCCATTTCAGACAAGGAGGTTGAGCTCGAGGGACACGGCCACCAAGAAGATGCTATGTGTGGCCAAGCGAGTGTGGTCCCCACTGCCGCCCCTGCGGGCCACTCATCGTGTTTCCAAGCATTTCCAAGGATCTCTTTCTGGCAGTGTCATTCCAGACACGAGGAGCCCGGCCTCTGTCAGGAAAATGGGGCTGAGAGCAAAGCCCCCTCTAGACTGCCCCAAGGGCGGGGGTGGGGGTCATGGAGGCGCTCAGCCCGCTTCCTGGCACGAAGAGGGCCTGGGAGAAAGCTTTGCTCTTACTGAGCACTTGCTGTTGGACCAGCCCCTGCCAAAGGCTTTAGATACAAATGGAACAGTAAATGCAACAAACTGTGCGACCCGGAAGGGGAAAGCCCGGGGGACCAAGAGCCCTTGTCAGGGGACTCGAGCAGGCCTGGGGGCAGGAAAGGCTTCCCAGGACAGGCCTCTAAGCAGATGGCAGCAGTGAGCCAGGCAAGAAGGTTCCCCTCCAGGGAACTGCAGGGGAAAGGCCCTGAACTGGGAGGCACAGGAAGGTGGCCAGTGTGCCTGAGGCTGGGGCACCGAAGGCCAGGGAGACTCGGCAGGGGCGACGGCCGGCCGGCAGGAGGGTGCCTCCAGGGCAGGAGCACCAAACTGTGCATGGCTGCAGCACACGTGGCCGCAGACTAGGCTTGTGGGGCAGGAGGCCGCAAGAGGGGCACCTGGGACGGGGCACGGCCAACCAGGCTGGCAGGGCAGGAGGCCACAAGAGGGGACCTAGGACGGGGCATGGCAGACTCTGGCTGGCAGGGCAGGAGGCCCCAAGAGGGGGCCTAGGATGGGGCGCGGCAGACTGGCTGGAGGGGCAGGAGGCCACAAGAGGGGACCTAGGACAGGGCGCAGGAGTCTCTGGCTGGCGGGGCAGGAGGGCGCGGCAGACTCCGGCTGCCGCCTGGTTTTGGAGGGCTGGCCGCTGTGCTTTGCAGGGCCCACCACCTGGTTTTGCAGGGCGCGCCGCCTGGTTTTGGAGGCCCCACTGCCTGGTTTCATAGGGCCCGCCGCCTGGTTTTGTACATCCTGCAAGCTAAGAAAGGTTTTTACGTTTTTAAATGGTTGAGCAGGGTGGTGGGGGAAGCGTAAGAGTAATATTTCATGATATGTGAAAATGATAACACATTTCAAATTTCATTCTACAAAAATAAATTTCATGGGAGCATTGCCACGCTCCTCCGTTTACAGACCACCCAGGGCTGCTGTCGTGCTGCAAGGGGAGAGTTGCGTAGTCGTGACAGAGACCGTCTGGCTCAAGAAACCTAAAATATTTACCATCCAGGCCTGCGCTGGAACATCTGCCGCCACCTGCTCTAGGAGAGAGACGGCAGTGGCCGGGCTGGGACACCGGCAGAGAAGGAAGTGACTTCAGGGGCAGTCAGGAGGGAGACCTGCTGGGGCCTCAGCTAGGGGCTCGGGTCTGGGCATCTGCATAAAGCCAGGGTCTTCCACACTGGCCCCACCAGGTTGCCAACGCTGTCCCTGTCCTGGGAGTCCCACCCCTCAAACTGGGAAGCCACAGCCCACAGACATGGCCTGGACACAGGGACAAACATGTGTCCCTACAAGTCTCCTCAAAAGAGGGCATCACGCTGCCCACCACCCAGGCCAGAGCCCAGCGTCCTTCCAGGAAGACAAGGAAGATTTCCTCCAGGAGGAGACATCCTCATGACCTGCGCCCCATAGCAAGAAAGGGCTCAACAGAGGCACAGGGGGTGGGGCGGATGCTCACCCACGCCAGGCCCCCACCAAGGTCCTGCCTCCATGAGTCCACCGCCCTGAGGCCAGGGCCCCGACCCATCTCCAAGTCCCAAACCGCAGGCAGACACGGGTCACTCTCACGGCGGCCCCCACACCTCACACCCAGCATTCCTCCCGGTCTCATCCTGCCCCACACCAACGCCAGGATTTTTGCAATCACAACGCTCGGCAGAGAACTCTCTCTCTTCGCCAACGCCAGGCTATGCTGTCCTTGCAGCCCCGGGTCCTTCCTACTGACCCCAGGCCTGAGCCTGGAATCCCACTCAACACAGCCCTCAAGTCCCACTCCCGGTCAGTCCCTGTCACTAACAGCCAGGGCTCCCACCCCACCCCACCCCACCCCACGCTCCCCGGCTCCTGCCCAGCAGGAACGCCAGTGCTCGCAAGATGAGTGTTTCTCACCCTCATTTTCGTTACTGTCCCTCCAAGGAGGCTTTTCAGATATTTTTCCTAATCTCCCTCCCTGCATGAAATTTTCATACTGCAGGTGCACTGTTTCTGTGAGTTTTTTGTTTTTTCTTTTGAGATGGAGTCTCACTCTGCCACCCAGGCTGGAGTGCAATGGCGTGATCTCAGCTCACTGCAACCTCTGCCTTCTGGGTTCAAGCCATTCTCCTGCCTCAGCCTCCCAAGTAGCTGGAATTACAAGTGTGCACCACCACACCCAGCTAATTTTTTGTATTTTTAGCAGATACGGGGGTTTCACCATGTTGGCCAAGCTGGTCTCAAAATCCTGACCTCAGGTGATCTGCCTGCCTCAGCATCCCAAAGTGCTGGGATTACAGGCGTGAGCCACTGTACCTAGTCTGTCTCTGTGTTTTGTGTGGCATGCACATCTGTAGTTTATTTGTGAAAATAAGATTTCTTCTGACTGCAGTGGCTCATGCCTGTAATCCCAACACTTTGGGAAGCCAAGACATGAGGATCACGTGAGCCCAGGAGTTCAAGACCAGCCTGGGCAACATGCAAGCTCTCATCTGTACAAGAAATTAAAACATTAGCTGGGCGCGGTGGCACACACCTGTAGTCCCAGCTACTTGGGAGGCTGTAGTGAAAGGATCCCTTGAGCCCAGGAGTTTAAGGCTGCAGTGAGCCATGATCACACCACTGCTCTTCAGTCTGGGCAACAGAGTGAGACCCTGTCTCTAAAAATAATTCATAATAAGAATATTTCTTCATCCCCAAAGATTTGATTTTTGCCCCCTCAAGAGCAGTAATGCCCCTGTTGAAAATGCATAGGCTACCAGCATGGCCAACGTGTCGAAGCCTTATCTCTCCTAAAAATACAAACATTAGCCAAGCGTGGTGGCAAAAGCCTATAGTCCCAGCTACTCAGGAGGCTGAGATGCGATAATTACTTGAACCGGGCAGGCAAAGGTTGTAGTGAGCCAAGATTGTGCCACTGCATTCCAGCCTGAAGGACAGAGGGAGGCCCTATCTCAAAAAAAAAAAAAAGCATAGGTTAAGTAAAATATATTATTATAATCAGTGCTACCTATTTCTTTTTGCTTTTTTATTGCAGCCACCAAAATTCTGAAAATACAGATGTGGCTTACATTATATTTCTATCTGGCAGCACTGATATAGACAGAAAACAAATACCCATGTCAACATGTATAGACACATATGGATACAGAGACACATACATAAATAAATACATACACACACATACACCAATTCCCCAGGTGTGAACACTGAGAGTGCCTGGAAGCAGGAACACCCCAGCAGCACTGAGCACACCTCATCCTATCTTGCCTTATTGTGTGTGTGTGTGTGTGTGTGTGTGTGTGTGTGTGTGTGTGTGTGTGTTTTGTTTTTGTTTTTGTTTTTTCTGAGATGGAGTCTCACTCTGTCACCCAGGCTGGAGTGCAGTGGCACAATCTCCGCTCACTGCAACCTCCGCCTTCCGGGTTCAAGCGATTCTCCTACCTCAGCCTCCCGAGTAGCTGGAACTACAGGCGTGTGCCACCACCCCCGGCTAATTTTTGCATTTTTAGTAGAGACGAGGTTTCGCCATATTGGCCAGACTGGTCTCAAACTCCTGACCTCAAATGATCTGCCCACCTAGGCCTCCCAAAGTGCTGGGACTGCAGGCATGAGCCATCGCGCCCGGCCCTGATCTTGCCTTCTAAATACCCCTCTCCACTACCAAGGAACCAGAGCTCCTTGGACAAACAGCTGGTTCTTAAGCTGGGACAATGGAAATGCAAGGTAAGCCTGGAACATCTTGTTGACCAGCCTGGGTTACCAGCCAGAAAGTCAGGCACGGTATTCACATGTCCTCTGCAGCTCGAAGAATGATGAGGACGAATCAAAAGACACAGGGAAGCAAGCCGGTGTAACACAGTTCCCACTGGTCAAACCTGAGACTATGTGAGCATCAATATAAATAATGATGGTAACAGGTTATATGCATGGAATAAAATAGGAAACCATAATCCAAACTGGAGACATGGCAGCAAGGGACAGAATGAGGGAGGGAGAGAGGGAAAAGAAAAGCAGAGATGGATGAGAAGAAAAGGAAGAAAAGACTGAGAGAGATGAGCAGAGAAGGACAAGAGAGGAAGGAAAGGAGGGAGAAAAGGAGAAGCAAATATCAAGATATTTATATTGACTCAAAGTATCTTCTTTAAGTACGTGTTAACAGCAAACGGAAACCAAGTAACTTTACAGTGAAATCAAGCAAACTCCACCTTCACCAAGTAACTAAACAGAACATCACCAGCAATGGGGCACAGCCAAGCCCTGGACCACCTGCTAGGAGGCAAGAAGGATGCAGCGTGGAGGCGGAGCTAGACCCCTACAGTTGCGTGACCTGACGCTGCTGATGGGGGAGCATTCTGTAACCAAAGGAGGCTGTAACCTTCCAAAGAGTCAAGGTCATGAACATCAAAGAAAGGCTGAGGAGCAGCCCCAGGTTGACAGAGGGGGACACAGCCACAGGCAGCCCAGGGTCCTGAGGCTGCTCTATGCTATGAAGGGCATTTGCTGGGACAATTGTGGAGAAGTGGACGGGTCACGGATTGCTGCTGTTGGCTGGATGGAGACGGATTGATGCTGTTGGCTGGATGGAGACAGCAGTGCTGTGGTTACAGAGGAGAATGCCCTTGTTTGCAGTAAACGCACTGATGCCCCATACTTACCCTCAAATGGTTCAAGAAAAAGTTACCTGTGTTGTACTCATAACTTTTCCAATGACTGAGATATTTTCAAATTTTTTTAGACAATAAAATCTATCCCCCCCAAAAAAAGAAAAGACGCCCTTGTCTTCTTTGCAACCAGCATTCCCTCCTCTGCTCCCGGCAGCCCTGTGTTGTGGACCTCGGCTACACCAGCCCAGCCCCTTCTGCTGGCACCAGGGGCCCTTCGGGCACTTCCATGTCGCTTTTCAGTCACCAAGCACCTCATCAACATCCACTGGGGTCCTTGCGTGACCAGAAGCCTCATGAGAGCAGGGACAGCCCCGGCCTGTTCTCCTCCCTCCCCTTGGAGGCACAAAGCCTGCGTGGCACACAGCAGGGTTTTATTATTATTATATTTATTTATTTTATTATTATTTATTTATTATATATTTATTTATTTATTATTTCTCGAATGAAGGCACAAGGTTCTGAGGGACCCAGAGAGGAGGAAGCCCAGCCGTGGCCCTGCCTTGGAGGGGCTCAGACCTGGAAGGGGGGCAGCCACACAAAGGTGCTCCAGACACACTGGGTCTGTCATTAGGATCATCCTTCACACTCTCCAGCTGTCCAGCTGCTGAGTTTTGCAGAAGGAGCAGCAAGGGTATCGTGTGATGAAACAAAGAGTTTCATTACACGAGGCCAGAGAGAAACCTGGAACAGTGGAGGAGTGAGATCGAGGTTCAAAGCGCGTGGAGGACAGGGTGGGGAGAGGGTGAAACCCAAGGAGGCTGCCAAGGGGAGGGAGCCCCTATACCAGCTCCTACAGGAAGAACCAGGCTAGAAGGAGAGAAGGTCTTCCAGCAATGGCACAGCTCACGATGGCACACATCAAAAAGGCCCGGAGGGGGGGATGCCAAAACCATCGCCAGGCTGGCGTGTCCGGGAAGAGGCAGGGAGCACAGGGAGTTGAGGTGGAGGTGGGGGACAGACTCTGGCAGGCCCAGGGCCAAGCCTTTGCGTGGTGTCCAGCAATGGCTGCCTGATGTGTTTTACGAGGAGGAGGCCACCAGGACGATGTGGGCAAGTCAGAGGCTGGGCGGCGGGTGGTACCTTAAGGGTGCAAACTGCTGATGCTGGCACAGGCAACCTCGGGACCTCCCAACCGAAGCTGCTCCAGACACACCCGATTTCTCGTTAGGGTCAGCAGATTGTGGCCATACCCAATTAGTTTAATTAAACCCACGGGGCTTCCAGGCACTTCAGATAAAAAACAAAATAAAATAAAGTAGATCCTGCCAGCTTCAGAAGAAATGACCAGGTGGGCAACTGGGATCTCTGTGACCACCTCCTAGCACCCGGCTCTGCACACAGCAGGTGCTGCATAAATGCACGTTGCTATGATGCTCCATTAGGGCAAATAACCCAGCCCAGATTAAACTCAAAGTGGGAGGGGCGCTCCAAGTCCTCTGAAAATAGGATGTCACCATGAGAAGCCAGGGGAAATTCTGGAAGGAGGGAACATCATAGAGGCCTCCGGGCTAGACGGCCTCATATGCCATGACTGGCAGGGAGGTGGGCAACTCCCCGCCGTGTGCGCTCGAGGGGCCCTGCAACTCACCAGCCAGGGATCACAGGCACCCACCCCCCACCCCTGCCACCCCATGAAAAGAGACACACACCGTGACAACCCAAAACCCAAGAATGAGGCCAGGGACATCCCTCAGAAAGTCCACAAGAGAGTAAGCCAGCTTAGGAAGGCCTGCAGTCATCATTTATTTAAACAGTCCTGGGAGGGAGACTGCAATCCCTATGTTGGTTTTGCCACTTACTCCTCTGGGCAGGAGTGGTGGGGTGATGGGGAGTCACTCAAGCTCTCCGGAACCTTGACGGCCTCACCTATTAAACACAGGCAGCAACCCCCACCTAGGCTTGTGCTTAGGCCACAGCAGGGCAGGTAAGAAAGGGCAGATGTGATTTTTCTATGACCCAACCACCAAGGGTGGAGATGACTTCTTCCCTCTCCCATCCCCACCCCTTAAGAAACGTGAGTTTCAGCCGGACGCGGGGGCTCACGTCTGTAATCCCAGCACTTTGGGAGGCTGAGGCGAGCAGATCATGAGGTCAGGAGTTCGAGACCACCCTGGCCAACATAGTGAAACCCCGTCTCTACTAAAAATACAAAAAAGAGCTGGGTGTGGGTGGGGCACTGTGGCTCACGCCTGTAATCCCACCACTTTGGGAGGCCGAGGCGGGCAGATCACAAGGTCAGGAGTTTGAGATCAGCCTGGCCAACATAGTGAAACGCCGCCTCTACTAAAAATACAAAAAATAGCTGGGCGTGGGCCAGGCACGGTGGCTCAAGCCTGTAATCCCAACACTTAGGGAGGCCTAGGCGGGTGGATCACAAGGACAGGAGTTCGAGCCCAGCCTGGCCAACACGGTAAAACCCCGTCTCTACTAAAAATATAGGCTGGGTGCAGTGGCTCACGCCTGCAATCCCAACACTTTGGGAGGCCGAGGTGGGTGGATCACCTGAGGTCAGGAGTTCAAGACCAGCCTGACCAACATAGAGAAACCCCGTCTCTACTAAAAATACAAAATTAGCTGGGCATGGTGGCGCATGCCTGTCATCCCAGCCGACTTGGGAGGCTGACGCAGGAGAATCGCTTGAACCCGGGAGGTGGATGTTGTGGTGAGCTGAGATAGCGCCATTGCACTCCAGCCTGGGCAACAAGAGCAAAACTCCATCTCAAAAAAAAAAAAAAACAAAAAATACAAAAAATTAGCCGGGCATGGTGGCAGGCGCCTGTAATCCCAGCTACTCGGGAGGATGAGGCAGGAGAATTGCTTGAACCCAGGAAGTGGAGGTTGCAGTGAGCCGGGACCGTGCCACCGCACTCCAGCCTGGGCAATAGAGCGAGACTCTATCTCAAAAAAAAAAAAAAAAAAAGCTGGGCGTGGTGGAGCGTGCCGGTAGTCCCAGCTACTCAGGAGGCTGAGGCAGCAGAATCGCCTGAACCCAGGAGGTGGAGGTTGCAGTGAGCTGAGATTGCGCCACCGCACTCCAGCCTGGGCGACAGAGCAAGACTCCATCTCCAAAAAGAAAAAAAAAAGTGAGTTTCCCAGAAAACAAACACCAGCCACACAGAGAAACGAAGTCTTTCTCCCAACCCCTGTGTGCAGCCAGATGCAGTAAAGTGGTTTCTCCACGTTGAATGAACAGGCGGGGCTGTCACAGCCAATGTGAGGGTTAAGGGAGCATCTGCAGCCGTCCCCGTGCAGGCAACAGCCGTACAAAGGTGGCCCACCCTCCACGGGACAGAGGAGTGGATGGCAAGATCAGCCTCAGCGACACAGGGCACTACGTGCCACAGTCCAGGTGACGGTCATTTCCTGGGCACTGTGCGAAGGGTGTGCCTTCTGTGCCTGCCCTTAGCAAATCCTCACAGCATGGCTACGAGGGGACTGCTATGACTGTTCTCATGACAGAGATGGGGAAACTGAGGCTCTGGAGGTCGTTGCCTACCTGGGAGGGGACAGTGCCAGGATTCAATCAGAGCGGAGAGCCACACAGACACACACCCATCTGGTCCTCCTACCATCCAGGCCCCTACACGCCCTCCACGAGTCCGGCAGCAGGGCCCCTAAACACCCCTCTACCGGCCCAGCAGCGGGACCCCTAGACACCCGTCCACCCCCCAGCAGCAGGGCTCAAGGGGCCTCTGTCAGGGTTCGTATTGCTGCCTGGCCAATGGCTCCAGAGACCCCAGGAAGTCTCTGGCTTGAACTTCCAGTGCAGGAGCTGAGCCAAGCCACCTGCCACAGCCACGGCCCCCTCCTCTTCCCATCTTCCCAAACCACAGCTGGGGAGGGGCAGCCCCCGGACCCAGCGAGTCCACCAGGCAAGGCTGGGCTCCTCCCAAGCCTCCTCTGTGCGGACCCAGCTGCCCTGCCTCTGCCCTGAGCCCCAGCCTGCAAGCAGCAGGGAATCCTGCCCGAGCAAGTCAGCCTGGGCAGCCCCTGGAACTCATATCAAAGGCAGCCACCTTGGTTCGAGGCCCAGCCCTGCTCCCCAACAGCTACCCTTCTCCTCAGTTTCTCCAGCCATAAAATGGAGTCCAGACTTCCCAGTCCCCGTGGGGCTCTGAGAACAGATCCGGGGAAGCCCTCTGCAGCAGTGACCGCCACCCCCGCCACCTGCACCTGACCACTGACATCCTGCGGGAAGAGGCGCTGGCTCCCAGGGAGGCCTCTGAGGGCTCCTGCTAAGCCGGTCCAGGCAGTGCTGGGTAATCATTACCCAGTGGGAAGGCGGCCCCTTCCCCTCTGGGCTTGCCTTTGTCAGCGCCCCCCAACCCGGCAGAGAAAGGCCCGGTCTCCTAGGAAACGCAGTCACCGCCAAAGGGCAGAGGCCTCGCTGCCCAGCCTGGAATCGCTGGTGACTCACTCTCCCTCCTTCCCAGGAACCACGTCCTAAGTCCCACTGGTGAATGGTCCCTCTCCACATGGAGTTGCCACTGCGCGCGGTGAGGGGCTGCTGAGCTGGCTGGAAGACCGCACCTCCTCGGCGCTGGGTGGACCCGGCTGCCACCCGCTCTGCCTCCCCCGACCTCTTCTAAGCTGCTCCCGGTAAGGATTCCGCGACCCCCGGAGAACAGGACGGAAGCCTCGATTCTCTCAAGTCTTAGCCAAGTTCCCTCTTAAGAGGCCAAGAAAAGCAGCTTCGTTCGGCTGGGCAGGCATTTTCCTGCCTGGCCCTGCGGCCGCACGCGTGCCTCCGCCGCGACAAAGGCCACACTCAGCGCCCGAAGGAGGGGTGGGGGTGTTGGGAAAGCGATGGGGGCCAGGACTGGGGCCAAGTGGCCCTGGGGATCCTCGAGGCGGCTCGACCCGGGAGCCAGGACTGGCGCCAAGTGGCCCGGGTCCGGGTCCGGGAAGAGGCGGAGGCCGGCGAGGGGGCGGTGCCCGGGGCCAACCCAGCTCCCTCCGGCCCCGAGGGCTCCCGCCCCGCGCCCCTCCCGGGCCCTCCAGCCGCGCCCCGGGCCGGCGCAGCGACCGCGCCCGCTCTTCCACCGGCGTCCGGCCAGGAGGCGCGAGGCCCAAGGATGCGACCCACGACGCGCACACCCGGCTCGGCAGGCTCCCTGGGAAATGAGGGGCCACTCGCAGGGCCCCGCAGAGCGAGCGCAGCGCCGGAGCCTCCCCCATCCCAGGCCGCGCAGACCGCGGAACCGGCGCACCAGAGCAGTGCCCGCGGGCGGCGGCGGCGCGACCCAGGCTGAGGGGACTTTGGCCAACTTCGCGCCTCCTGAGGTCGCGTCTCGGAGGCCCGGGGCGCACCCTCCAGCCGCCCGCCCGCGTCCCGGAGCCCGGCCGCCCCAGCCAGGGCGCCTGGGCCGCCGCCGCTGCGACCTCCGCGTTCAGTCCGCGCGTCGGGCAGCGCGAACGCCGCCTCCCCGGGGCCCTCCCGCCCGCCGGGCGCTCACCTGGGACATCTGCGGCCGGAAGTTGATGTCCTTGAGGTCGATGGAGCCGGGGGAGAGGTTGTGCAGCAGCTGGCACAGAAGGACCCCGTCGCGCAGCGCCTGCGCCAGGTCGAAGACCACGGCCGAGGGCCACACCACCCGGTGGTTGGGCGGCAGGACCTTGCAATCGATGAGCCAGCGGCCGCACTGCCGCCACTGCTCCATGGCGCCCGCGGGCCCGACCGGCTCAGGGCAGTGCTCGAGCCAAAGTGCAGCGGCCGCGGGGCATCCCGCCCGCGCGCGCGCGGGGCTCAGGGCCGGGGCGGGGCTTCGCGCGGGCTGCCCCAGGTCCCCCGCTGCGCCGCCGTGCGTCCCCTCCTCTTCCTCCTCCTACTCCTCGGGCTCCTCTCGGGCCGCCGCTCCCGCCCACGTGCGGCCGCGGGGCGGGCAACGGGCAGCGCGCCGGATCTCCCCGCTTCACACACGCAAGTGCCTGCGGGCCCCGGGCCGGGCTCCACGCAGCCAGTCGCCGCAGCGCTCCCCAATCCGCGCCGCCGGGCGCCGCATTCTGCGCTCGGGGCGCCCCGCGGCCGCCGCGGCTCCTGCCCCGCCCGAGACAAAGGCCCGGCGGGGTCGCTCGCTCCGCGCGTCCCGGGCCTGGGCCGCCCGCGTCGCCGCCGCTTTGTTCGCCCCACCCGCAGTCCCCACGCCCGGCGCTGCGACTCGACGACTCGGCGGCTCGGCGGCTCCACGGCTCCGGGGCGCTGGGGGCGCAGGGGGCGCGGCCACGGCCGGGCGGGGCAGGGGCGGGGCCGGAGCACTCGCCTGGCACCTCCCCGTGTCCCAAGCGCCGCCCCCGCCCCCCCACTTCCTGCCCCGCTACCGCCCGCGAAAGTTGCGGTGGGCGGGGGTTGCGGCGCAGGCCCAGGTCCGGCCGACTTTCTCCAAGGGCGCTCGGACTTTGGGGAGCCCTTCTCCCTGGGGGAGCGACCTCGCCCGTGGAGTGATGGCCGGGCGTCCCCCCGGGTGCCTTTGGTCCTCCGTGGAGGTCAGGAGGTGGTCCCTGTCGCGCTGGGCGCCCTCGCATGGCCGTTCGGTAACGACAGACTCGGGAGAGGGCACCGGGCTGGGCCGAAGCTTACTGAGCCCCCTTGGCCCATCAAGCCGCCCCGGCGGGATACCCGAGGCTGAGGCTGAAGGCACACGGGCCCAGGACTCCCAGAGCCCTCTTCCTGTCCTCCGCCCTGGCCGGGGGCCCATAGGAAGACCCCCGACCCTGCATAAAGGCCAGGATTCCCCAGCTTTTGGCCAAAGTCCTGGCCACTCGCAGCTGCCCAGCGGGCAGTTCCTGGCGTCCAGGGCGGAATGCGTGACATGAGTGAGGGCAGGAAGGTGCTCTCCGGCCCAGGGTCGCAGCCGGCCCCGGTGCTGATCCGCCCTGATCTCCCTTCTAGGCCACACCCTGGGTGGTGGGGGCGCGGTCTGTCCAGCTGGCAACGTGTGACGGTAGGAGGGGCTTCAAGGACAAACAGATTCTGCAACTGAAATTATATGGATCCTGGCTCAGCTGCCGGGAACCGCGGGTTTTCACTGCTGATTCACTGGGGGACACCAGGCAAGTCCAAGCCCTTCTCTGAGACTGGCTCAGCCCGGAGGCTGGGGTGCGGTGTCTGAGGGCTCCCACCCTGGACTCCGGTGGAATCCTGGGCCTGTATGAGCTGGGGCTGCACTGCAGCCCCCGGACCCCTTACCCCGTGGCTTCCCTGCGCAGGGGCCGGAACGGGGATGCGAGCGCAGAGAGGGTCCCCTGGGCCCAGGGCCTCCGATGGGGGTCCTGTCCTGGAAATTGGTCTCTGCAGAGTCAGACTCACCCCTTCTCCACTGAGGTGGAAGCAGGGGGTCCCAGCTTAGGGTCTGGCCCGTAGAGAGAGGTCAGGAAGGAGCTGGCCCCTGCAGCAGTAAACTCAGGCCAGGTGGCTGGTGAGGCGGGGGCTCAGGTCTCTTGCCCTTCCCCGAGGAAGCAGCAGTGGGCACCTTTAGGGCAAGGGGGAGAGCTTTCCTCACCGAAGCAAGATGGGGCAGCAGGTGGACCCATCAGCATCTCCCTAAGAAATCAGAAAGCCAGGAGTGAAACCTGAGCGGGGCCCTCCAGCCCCATCTGAGAGCCTACACTGATCCCTCCTCCTGCAAAGCCTCATCCCCTCCTCTCTAGAGCGGGGAGACCCGGCTCCCACTGGACTTGCTTGTGAAGAATGGACGGATAAATTACCCAGAGGCTTCCCACTGTGCTGGGACAGAAAGGGCTCAGAGAGGAAGAAGAGCTACCCACTCTCCCAACCCCTCGCCTGGACCGCCGGCGCATTGATGCACTAAATGTCTCTTTCCCCAGGTGGCTCCCTCAGCAAGAAGGGGGCCTCTGTCCTCACGGTCCTGGGCCTGCCTGCTCTGGCCAAGAGGACCAGCCAGGTCTGGGACCCAGGCAGCCGCCCGCCAACAATGCCATGGGTACCTGCTGCCCCCTGGTGGTGCTGTCACCACGGGGCACCTGGCTGCACCCAGGAGGGGCTGCACAGAAAATCTGGGGTTGACCGTTGAGAAGACCCAACTCAGGAGACACAGACTTCACCACAGTGGCCCTGAGCCACTCAGGCCTCCCTGGTTCCCAGGTCCTGATCGGCATAGGACATTCACCGGCCCTGTGCACCTCCCAGAATCCTTGGAGGCTCTGAGGGCAGGATGGATGTGAATCAAAGAACAAAAGTTTGGTGGGGCCAGGTACAGCAGCTCAAGCCTGTAGTCCCAGCACTTTGGGAGGCTCAGGCAGGCAGATGGCTTGAGTCCAGGAGTTCAAGACCAGCCTGGGCAACACAGTGGGTCCCTGTCTCAAAAATAAAATAAAAGGTAAAGAAAATGGGGCAGGAGCTCCCTTTGTAACCTTTAGTGTGAGTGTAATGATGAACAGGTTGAGACTGTGGACTCAAGGCACATGCCAGGAAGACTAATAGAGAGGACGCTGTTTGGGAAAATCCTACCACCATCCATGTCCACTTGGACTCAGGGCTGTCTGCCAGGACTGCCTGCTGCACACCTCCAGGGGGCGAGAGTCCCATCACACCTTGGAGATGGGCTCCAGGGGGAGCTGCTTACACAGACTGCCAGTGAGCAGCTGCCAGTCCAGCCGAGCAGATTAAACCAGGGAGCAAGAAGTGCCAGCATGGGCCACATACCCCAAGTATGGGGGAGGGTCACAGGTGGCGGAGGAGGGCACCAGGCAGGGCACACCCGGGGAGGGAGCAGCAAGGCTTCCAGGAGAAACTGAGGTTTGAGTTGACAACCAGAGATTGATCATGGTTGCAGTGACTAGGAGAGGGTGACATGGAGGATGGAGAGCTTGGACAGGAGTTGATTTTTAAACCACAAAGGAATTCAGTGTTGCCATGATCTCAGGCATTGAACAATAAACCGCAGTGTCCTCCTGAGCTCCTGTCTCATTCTCCCCGGCAGCCATGTGGGCAGCGAGTCCCAGCAGTCCACCTTCCTGTTCTGTCCAGCATCTGCCCCCTCCTGGCCCACCCCCACCAAGCCCCAGGCCCCCTCTCCTTGGACCCGCTTCCACCCTTCCACCTGTCCTCCGCAGCCAGCAAGGACCCAGTCGGCCCTCAGTGACACCCTGTCTCTCTTCTGCGCGGATGGGCACCTCGGGGCTCCCGCCTCACTGGAGGTAAAATCTAGCAAATCACTGTAATTGTAATTTTTAAATCCAATATATTCTTTCATGGAAGCCACAGATGCGTTAAACTGATCCAAAGACAGCTTATAAAAGGCAATGTAATCGGAGGCTGGACGTGGTGGCTCATGCCTGTAATCCCAGCACTTTGGGAGGCTGAGGCGGGTGGATCCCTTGAGTCCAGGAGTTCAAGACCAGCCTAGGCAACAAGGTGAAACGCTGTCTCCACCAAAATACAAAAATTAGCCTGGCATGGTGGTGCACGCCTATAGTCCCAGCTACTTGGGAGGCTGAGGTGGGAGGATCACTTGAGCCCAGGAGGCAGAGGTTGCATCGAGTCGAGATCGTACCACTGCACTCCAGCCTGGGTGACAAAGTGAGACCCCATCTCAAAAAAAATAAAAAATAAAAGGCAATATAATCTTATTTATTGACTTGTGGCATATTTTAACACTATCGCTATGTGAATTAACGTTACACTACGTAAGATTGCAGTTACGTCGCACATTGTCACTTTCAAGCCGTTATATTTTAACAGCATTCATAGTTGCAGTAACCAATCCTGTGTCTTGAGTCTGAGTGGCCGGCCTAGGTGATGGTCACCTCCTTTAAACCACAAGCCACTCCATCACTTCTAGTCACTGTTATTGTACTGAGTGGTCCAACATAAAAACCAGCTCACCAAGCACATTGGTGAGCTGCCCAAGGTCACCCAGCAACACAGGAAAAAGCCAAGTCCAAACGCCAGGCCTTATTGACACCTGTGTGCACCCCTAAATAGAGGCTGCTGCTGAAAGGGCTTTCCACGCCTAGAACTTTCTGCTTTCCCTTAATGCACTGATGTGGGTGGGGAGGTGACGAGGGAGGGAAAATGATCTGATGTCTAGAACACGTGGATACGGAGTCAGCAACAGAGCGCAGTGCCTGGAGCCCACAGGCACACCCCCCCGCCCCGCCACTGTGGTACCGAAATGAGCCCTTAGTACAGGCAGGAGTAGCAAGGCTAAGAAACGGGAGCCGAAGGGTCCGACACTGACTTAAAGGAGGGAAGGGCAGCTGGAAGTATATCCACGCATCCTGGAGGTCCTGGAAACCTGGTGACTCTTGGATCCTCGGGGTCCCAGAGAGGAGACCTTTGGAGGAAGGAGTGGGTAGACAGGTGGCTGCCCTTATGTGGGCAGCATGGCTGGGCTTCCCCTCTGGCTTCTCTGCCCAGTCACTCACACCACGAGTGATGCTCCACCTACAACTCAGCACGTCCTTCCTGCACCCAGGCCCTGAGCCAGGACCACCCACACCCTAGGAGGCGAGGACTGTCATCGTACTGTGCTACAGATGAGGTCGGCTCACATAGCTTGAGTGACTTGGCCAAGGTTATGCAACTGGCAGAGTTCAGATTCGAACTCAGGTCCACCTTCTCCTATGCCTCCAGCTGAGAGGTTTGCTTTTGTTTTCTACTGATAAATAATGATTTCAAGGGCAGTGGCACAGGACAATCTGAGTCCACGACCGGCCCAGCGCCCCTCCCCTGGGTTTCTGCAGAGCTGCCCTCATCAAATTGGTGTCCTCATTCTCTGGGCAGCCCCAGGGTCTGGTTTCTGAACAGGAATACATGTGTCCCTTAGCGCGTTACATGCCACAGTGGAAGGGCTTGAGAGTTTACCTCTCACTCAAGACTGTTTCTTTCCATACAGGCCCTCCCAGAGAACCTCCATACAGCCAGAGTGGGCACTGTCTCAGTCCAGTATTCCCCCAAAAAACACCAAGACCTGCTGCAAGGTCTCAGTACTTTTCATCAAAAGGTCCAAGGCTCAGGGGACCCTCATTCCACAGCCAGCATCCCAGGGATAGACTGAAGCTTCTTCAAAGGAGCTCCGCCCAAGGCTGGAGTCTGTCCATCATCCCTCCACCTGCCCCTCCATCCATCCCTCCTATATCTTGCTACCCACTCTTCCATCCATCCGTCTCTCAACCCATCCTTCCATCCATGCCACATTCCTCCACTCATCCCTCCATCCATCCCTCCTTCCATCCATCCCTCCCACATTCCTCCACCCATCCCTCCATCCATCCCTCTCACATTCCTCCACCCATCCCACATCCCTCCACCCATCCCTCCCTCCATCCATCCCACATCCCTCCACCCATCCCTCCCTCCATCCATCCCTCCCTCCATCCCTCCATCCATCCCTCCCTCCATCCATCTCTCCCTCCATCCATCCCACATCCCTCCACCCATCCCTCCACCCATCCCTCCACCCATCCCTCCACCCATCCCTCCTTCCATCCATCCCTCCATCCATCCATCTCTCCCTCCATCCATCCCACATCCCTCCACCCATCCCTCCTTCCAACCATCCCACATCCCTCCAGCCATCCCTCCACTCATCCCTCCCTCTACCCATCCCACATCCCTCCACCCATCCCACATCCCTCCACCCATCCCTCCACCCATCCCTCCACCTATCCCTCCACTCATCGCTCCACCCATCCCGCCGTCCTTCCCTCCATTCACCCCTCCATCCATCCCTCCCACATTCCTCCACCCATCCCTCCCTCTATCCATCCCTCCACCCATCCTGGAATCCACTCTTCCACCCATCCCTCCTACATCCTTCCATCCTTCCCCATCTATCCCTCAACCCATCCTTCCATCCATTCTTCCACCCATCCCTCCCTCCATCCATCCCTCTACCCATCCTTCCACCTATCCCTCCATCCTTCCACCAATCCATTCCTCCACTGTTCCCTCCATCTATCCCTCCGTCCACCCATCCCTCCACCCATCCTTCCACCTATCCCTCCATCCTTCCACCAATCCATTCCTCCACTGTTCCCTCCATCTATCCCTCCGTCCACCCATCCCTCCACCCATCCTTCCACCTATCCCTCCATCCTTCCACCAATCCATTCCTCCACTGTTCCCTCCATCTATCCCTCCGTCCACCCATCCCTCCACCCATCCTTCCACCTATCCCTCCATCCTTCCACCAATCCATTCCTCCACTGTTCCCTCCATCTATCCCTCCGTCCACCCATCCCTCCACCCATCCTTCCACCTATCCCTCCATCCTTCCACCAATCCATTCCTCCACTGTTCCCTCCATCTATCCCTCCGTCCACCCATCCCTCCACCCATCCTTCCATTCATTCTTCCACTCACCCCTCCTATGTCCCTCCCTCCTTCTCCCATCCCTCAACCCATCCCTTCACCCATTACTCCCCCATCCATCCCTCAACCCACCCCCACATTCATCCCTCCCTCCATCTATCCCTCCACCCATTCTTCCGCCCATCCATTCCTCCACCCATCTCTCCATCCATCCACCTATCCCTCCATCCATCCACCCATCCCTCCATCCATCCACCCATCCATCTCTCTATTCATCTCTCCATCCATTAAATTCATCTCTCCACCCCTCCCCCACCCATCCCTCCATTCATCCCTGTATTCATCCCTCTGTGTATCCCTCACATCCCTCCACCCATCCTCCATCCTCCACATAGAAAATACTGACTGAGCACTGGCTTTGTTCATGAGGAAGGGCAAGTGAATGTTTTGACTCTTCCCAACATGATGGGATAAAGGAATTATTCTCATGTCCAAACCACATGAACACACACATTGTGCAAATTCCATTTGTAGCTACATCATGCAAATTCAGCTGTCACAATTTCCTGGGAAATTATAGGTGTAGAAAAAGACCATCTGGCCCACCATGCAGTCAGAGTATGCCTGACTGAATTATTGGGTGGGGGCTTTTACATTTTGTTTGAAAGGGCAAAATATAGATTTTTTACTTCTTGTTCAACTTTCAAAATTAAATCAAATGCCATAATCCATGGATCGTACCCTAAACTGAAATCTCTGAAATCTCACTGCCAAGTGGCCATTGTTTGGACACCTTCCAGTGACTATTTAGGAGACCGGGGCAGTTTTCTGTGAGCACTGCCTGGAGTCTTTGAGCTCATGAGTTCAGGGTCACCTAATCAAGGCTTTAAGGAAGGGGGAAACAGTCTTCCCTCCGTGAATGTGAACGGACTTCATGCAAGTGTAGGCCAGAGGCTGGGCAGCGTGTGGAGGTGGACTTGGGATCTCTGCAGGAGCCCTCTCATCACAGCCCAGCAGGCCAACCCAAAGCAGGAGAGGGAGGCGAGGCCCAGACCAGCTAGGAGGATGAGCCAAGACCCACATGGCCAGCTGTGAGTTATGGGAATGGGTTATGAGTTATGCGATACAAGGGGGAGGCTGGGGAGCCTCCTGAATGTGGTCCTTGGCAGACTCAGCCTGCCGAACTCTGGAAACTTTGGCTCTTACTGAAAGGGAGGCAGCACACCCTGGTGCTAGGAAGACACGGCCAAGGGACACTGGGCTCTAAGCCTGTCCATGCCCTTAATGGCATTCAATGCCACCCTGTCCTGGGCCCCTCCAGCTGTCCTCTAGCCACAGCACCTCCTGAGGCGCAGTAAGGGCACTGCCAAGGAGACATACCCACCCCTACCCTGCTAGACAGCACCCCTGCCAGACCACAGCTCACGTACTCCAACTCTGGGACATTTCTGCCACCCCCAAAGGAGACCCCGTATCCCTTAGCTGCCCTCCTCAACCCTGCCCATCCTCAGCCATGGCAACCACTAAGCTGCTTCCTGTCTCTATGGATTTGCCTGTTCCGGACACTTCATCTAAATGAAATCAGCCAACGTGTGGCCTTTTGTGCCTGACTTCTTCCCTCCAGCATGATGCCAAGTTCCATTCACCATGAACGTGCACCAGGAAGGGCTTCATTCCTTTTTATGGCTGACAAATAATTAATAGTAAGTGGAATCAACTTTAGTAATACACTGTACTTGATCCAGTATATTTGAAATATTATCATTTCAATATGTAATCAATGTACAAATCTATTAGAGAGACATTTGACATTCTTTTTTCTCGCCAAGTTTCAAAATCCAGCATGTGGTTTGCACTGATAGCGGACTTCAGTTTGAACCCTAAATTTTCATCAGACGCATTTGATATGTGTTTAGGTTTCACAGAATTCACAGTTGAAAAAGTAGATTTGCATACCCAAATTGTTTCCCGTAAACTTAGAAGTTTGCCAAAAATGAAATTGAGTATCAATTTTTAAATTAATTAAAATTAGAGGCCGGGCATAGTGGCTCGCACCTGTAATCTCAGCACTTCGGGAGGCCGAGGCAGGAGGATTGCTTGAGGCCAGGAGTTTGAGACCGGCATGGGCAACACAGTGAGACCCCATCTCTACAATTTTTTTTTTTAATTAGCCAAGCATGGTGGCACACACCTGTGGTACCAGCTACTCAGGAGGCTGAGGTGGGAGGATCGCTTGAGCCCGGGAGGTCGAGGCTGCAGCAAGCAATGTTTGCACCACTGCACTTTCACCTGGGAGACAGAGCAAGGCCCTGTCTCAAAAAACAAAAAACAAATTAGATAAAGATTCAGTTCCTCAGTCAGACAAGCCTCATTTCAAGAGCTCAGAAGCCACACATGCCTGGTGGCCACTGATATCTTGAACTTGGACTTGGGTCCACCTGCCTGAAGCCTGGTTCTGCCCCACCAGCATGAGCTTCTGTCTCCTCTCTCATGAGTGGCCATATTGCGATCTGCCCCACCCGTGGCCATAGGGGTTCTGGGAGAGCGGGGATGTAAAGAGTTCCGCGCTGAGGCTGACCCCCCCATATCAATACAAGAATGCAAGGATTGCTACTAAAGAGACTCTTCTCCTCCATCAGCTCAGAACTGGGCCAGCTTTGCCTGTCCCTGGGACACTCAACAATAGCAGGCCTTGGAGACTGCTCAGATGTACACACATACGTGTACGTGTGCATGTGCATATGCTGGGAACTGGGGAGAGAGTGTGGGTGATACTTCCCCAAGGGTTGGCCAAGCCTTTCTGGGCTCTTTTCTCCATCTGACCCCCATCCCCACCTGCAGGAAGAATGACCCCTTTAAATCTGATTGTGCCCCCTGTTGCTCAAAGCCCACCTTTGTGTCTACATAAAACCCTACACACCTATATTTATAGCGGCATTGTTCAAAACAGCCAAAATGCTGAAACAACCCAAAAGTCCAACAAAACAAAACACGGGGCTGGATGCAGTGGCTCTCACCTGTAATTCCAACACTTTGGGAGGCTGAAGCAGGTGGACCACCTGAGGTCAGGAGTTCGAGACCAGCCTGGCCAGCATGGTAAAACCCCATCTCTACTAAAAATACACACAAAAAAAACCCAATGATAACTAGCCAGGTGTGGTGGCAGGCACCTGTAATCCTAGCTACTTGGGAGGCTAAGGCAGAAGAATTGCTTGAACCTGGGAGGCGGAGGTTGCAGTGAGCCGAGATCGTGCCATTGCACTCCAGCCTGGGCAACAAGAGCGAAATGAAAACAAAAACAAAAAACACAGATAAACATATGGTGGAATATTACTCAGCCTTAAAAAGGAATGAAGTTTTCTGATCCATGCTACAACATGGATGCAGCTCGAAATTTTATGTTCAGTGAAAGAAGCCAGACACAAAGGCTACAGGCTACACGTTGTATGATTCCATTTCTATGAAATGTCCAGAACAGGCAAATCCAGAGAAACAGAAAGTAGATTGCGAGGTGCCAGGAGGTGGGGAGGGGGAGTGACTGCTCATGGGTACAGGGGTTTGGGGAGGGATGAAAATGTTATAAAATTGATGGTGGCGATGGCTGCACAACTCTGTGAATATACCAAGAACCGCTGAATTGTGCACTGAATTGTGGGTGGATTGTACAGCATGCAACTTCTATTTCAATAAAGCTGTTTGTTATATTTCAAAACAAAACAACAGTCTTGGGTCCCCCACCCTCTGAGCACATCCAGCCTCCTAAGCATGATTCTCAAGGCCCTCTGCACCCCTCACAGCCCTCTCAGTCTAATTTATGCCACTCTCCAGACCCACCCCAAATCCTACAATACTCATGCTCTTGAAATTCTCTCCACACCAAGCTGTGTCTGGCTTTGTCCAGCAGTGGGCCCATGGGAGGTTGGTCCCCCAGGAAATGTGTATGTCTCCTAAAACCCAGCTCAGCCATCGCTTCCCTCAGGGACCATCTCCTGGCCTCCCCAGTGCCCTCTGTACCTTGCTTAGAGGTCCTGCAATGTCTGCCTGGGTGTGGGGTGGGCTCCTGGGGGCTTGGCCTGGGGGCTTGGCCTGGGGGCTTGGCCTGTGGGCTTACCTCCTTTTTGTCCTCCCAGCACCCAGAACAGGGTCTAGCATGTCTCTGGGCAACAGAGGCTGCCACCGTGGCCCCTTGCCTCCTGGGGAGGTCTCAGGGGTCCCAGAGGGTGCTGTGTTGTTTCTGAGCACAACTGATGAGAGTTAGACACCAGCATGAGTTCATTCTCCCATCCATCCACCCATCCATCCACCCACCCATCCACCCACCCATCCACCCATCCATCCACCCATCCACCCACCAACGCACCCATCCACCCATCCACCCATCCACCCATCCCTCCATCCATCCATCCATCCACCCATCCACCCATCCACCCATCCACCATTCCATCCTCCCACCCATCCATCCACTCAGCCCTCCATCTATCCATCCACCCTCTACCCATCCACTCATCCATCCATCCATCATTCATCCACCCATTTATCCACCCATCTACCCATCCACCCATGTGTCTATCCACCTACCCAACCATCCATCCACCATTCATCTGTACATGTATCCAGCCATCCATCCATCCATCCATCCGTACATTTATCCATCCATCCATCCATCCATCCATCCATCCATCTGTACATTTATCCATCCATCCATCAATCCATCCATCCATCCACCCTGTGCAAGGCCTGGGGAGATGCAGAGCCAGTCTAGGATTGTCACAGTGTCAGGAGGGAGGTGTCAGATGTGTCTGAGAAACAGAGGCTGCTGCCCTGGCCTCTTGTCTGCTAGGGAGGTCCCAGGGGTCCTAGAGGGTGCTGTGTTGTTTCTGAGCAGAGTTAGACACCTGCAGATGCCCTGAGCCCCCTCCCATCCCACCACACACCCCAAGCTTCATGTTGATGCTGTGTGGCAACTGTGCTGAACCTATCAGAGGTCTCCAAGGCAAGTGTTCTCCCAGGGTCACCAGGCTCATCCTGGCTCCAAAGAAGTGGGTTTTGCTGCTAGGGCCATGGTGAATTTCTTGGCTCCATCCCGTGGGAGAATGTGAAGGTCTGATTGCAGCTTCTGTGGGGCCCACGGGTGGGCTCAGGCTGGAGATGTTGATCTCAGACCCCAGTGGTGACTGTGGCACATCCAGGATGGGAGAGGCCGGTAGGAATGGCCTCCTGAGACTGGGAACCCCTTGAGAAGAACCCCAAGGTCTGGCCTCCCCAGCCTCTCACACATGCTCGGGGCTGTCTGTAGGAGAGCCAGGGGCTTCCCCAAGTAGGGGCTCCACCCAGTCACTCTGAGGCCCTGGGCAGGCGAGTCAAAACTCTGGCCTCTGGCCTCTGTGTGAAATGGGCACAGCAGGTACCCAGGGCGCTGAGATGGCCGCATGCCCAGCGCTGAGGACAGCTGACCCTCCCCTGGCTCAGGGCCCATGCAGTCTCCTCCAGGGTCCTAGCTCAGAGCTCCATGCTCGCCTGCCGTGACGCTAGGAAGTCCCTCCCATAGCCATCTTCACTTCCCTGAATGGTCCAAGCTCCCATGGGCTTACTCGGCAGAGGGTGGACCCGCTTCTCTCAAACACCAGTGGGGCCACCCAGGGTCCCAGCGCCCCACGACAAAAAGGGCAGGCAGTGGGGAAGTGGATGCTCAGCCCCCGCAGGTCACGTGCAGCCTGGACAGCTCCCCTCTGTGTCTGTCACCGGGAACCTTTGGCCCAGAGTGTGGCCCAGCTGGCCTGGCTCCTCCCAGGCCCTGGCTGCCTCAGATGTGAGCCTGGAGGTGGCCACTCTGAGGCCCCTGCTCACACCCTCGCCACTGCCACCCGGACATGGGGCCATCCCACGGTGACAGGCACGTGCACCAGCACAGGTGTGTCCTCCTGTGGAACATTTAACTTGAGCTGCACCAGGCACTGCGTTATTATTTCTCCTCCCCCAGCCCACGGCTTCCCTTCTCTGTCCCTCCAGGGCCAAATCGCAGATCACGGTCCTCATGATCTGTCTGCCTTGGCAGCCCGGGGTGTCATGAACCCGGCCAGCTCTGCGCCCAGGTGCTGATCACTGATGTTCTCATTGCGTTTGCAACAGGCCTTTGTCAATGGCCGCCATCCCCACATACCCATGCCCAGCTGTGTCCCCAGCCCTCCTGCTACCACGGCCCGAAAGGGTCAAGCAGTGCTGCCAGCCGTGCCCCAGGAGGGACCTGCTGGCTTCCTGGCCCTGCCGCCTCTTCTCCAGGTGAAATGGACCCTGCTATGCCCCAGTAGCCAGTGGCGTCCTGCCCCCTCCCCTCCCCTCCGCTCCCACCACTTGGTGCCTGGAGGAGCCCAAGGACGCTAACCCCTGCATGCTATTATGGGCTGGCTCACCTTAAGGAACCCCATTGCTGAGGGCAGGTGGGCACGGAGAGTCCCTAGCACAAGGGAGCAATCGCTAAAACCTCCCCCAGTGGTGAGCTGGGATGAGACGCCCATGGGAGGGAACATACTGGTGGGTGCGATGCCTCAGACTTTTGAGCGGCTGGGGGCTCATCGTTAGATGGGTGGCCATGGATGGCTGTTGCAGGGAGGCCTGAATGCGCTGAGGAAAGCCAGCGAGCAGCTGAGGGCCATTGATCACCCTTTCCAGTGAGGCAGGAAAGCCAGAGGACCTCTTTGGCAGCTTCTCTAAAGAGGCTTTCAGCTCTGGTGGCTGTCGGGGAGAAAAAGCTGAGATCTGGCCCAGCCCAAGCTGAGGAGCTCCAGAGAAGGGCAGATTCACAAGCTTAGCAAGTATTTTTGGTCAACAGCAGGACCCTGACTGGGACCCAGTGTGGCCACAGACTCAGGTCGGGGACACCTAGGGCAACACACCCGAAAGTCATACTCCTTGTGACCCCTCTGAAACCTCTGGGCCTGGCCCGGTGTAGTGGCTCATGCCTGTAATCCCAGCACTTTAGAGAGCCAAGACAGGCGGATCACCTGAGGTCAGGAGTTCGAGACCAGCCTGGCCAACATGGTGAAACCCCGTCTCTACTAAAAATGCAAAAAAATAGTCAGGCTGTAATCCCAGCTACTTGGGAAGCTGAGGCAGGAGAATCACTGGAACCTGGAGGCAGAAGCTGCATGAGCCAAGATCGCACCACTGCACTCTAGCTTAGGCAACAGAGTGAGACTCTGTCTCAAAAAAAAGAAAAGAAAAAAGAAACCTCTGGGCCTGTTAGAGGCTGGTATGGGCCCCTTCCTGGATGCGCTGCCACAGGTCAGCTTCAGTCAGACGGCACCTTGGGCTATTGGTCTGTTCTTTGAACTAAAATTTAGGAATCTTAGCTTTTCTTTTTCTTTTCTTTTTTTTTTTTTTTTTGAGACGGAGTCTCGCTCTGTTGCCCAAGCTGGAGTGCAGTAGCATGATCTCGGCTCATTGCAACCTCCGCCTCCCGGGTTCAAGCGATTCTCCTGCCTCAGCCTCCCGAGTAGCTGGGATTACAGGCACCCATCACCACACCTGGCTAATTTTTGTATTTTTAGTATAGATGGGGTTTCACCATGTTGGCCAGGCTGGCCTCGATCTCCCGACCTTGTGATCCGTGCACCTCGGCCTCCCAAAGTGCTGGGATTACAGGCATGAGCCACCACGCCCGGCCTCTTTTTTTTTTTTTTTTTTTTTTTTTTAAGACAGGCACTCACTCTGTTGCTCAGGCTGGAGTGCAGTGGCATGATCACAACTCACTGCAGCCTTGACCTCCTGGGCTCAAGTGATCCTCCTACCTCAGCCTCCCTAGTAGCTGGGACTACCGGCACACACAGCTATTTTTTTCGGTTTTGTTTTCAGTTTTGGTTTTTGGTTTTTGTAAAGATAGGGTTTTGCCATGTTCCCAGGCTGGTCTTGAAGTTCTGGGCTCAAGCCATATGCTCACCGTAGCTTCCCAAAATGCTGGGATTACAGGCATGAGCCACGGCACCTGGCCTTATTCTCATTCTTGAAGAGCTATTTTAAACGTATCCCACACCATAGACATAGCCATTGAATTCTTTTGGGGGCACCACCCCGAAACCCCAGAGACTTTCACTGGGCTCCTCCTCCCAGGGACGCCCAGGGGACAACCCTTTGTCCCGTTCCCTAAGACAAGCAGTATCTTCATTGCTTTTTGCCACAGCCTGGCCAGATAGCCAATCCCAGATTCTCCCCATTTTTTTCTGCACCAATTTCTGCATTAGGGTTTACACTGGGTTGAATGGTGGGCTCCCAAAAGATACATCCACATCACATCCCTGACACCTGTTCGTGTGACCTTGTTTGGAAAAAGGGTCCTTGCAGATGTAATTAACTACGGATATCATCCCAGATTATCTGAGCAGTCCCTAAATGCAATGATGTGGCCTTGTTGGAGATAAACAGAGGAGAGACAGACGGAAGAGGGGGATGCTCAGTGACCACAGAGGCAGAGACTGGAGTGATGCCAAGGAAGGCCAAACATTGCTGGCAGCCTCCCAAAGCCAGGAGAGAGGCACGGAACAAAATGCCCCCAGAGCCTCTGGAGTGGGGGAGCCCTGCCGACCTCTTAGTTCCAGACTTCTGACTGCCAGAACGAGAGAATAAATATGTCATTGGAAGTCACCAAGTTTGTGAAATTTGTTACAGTAGCCCCAGGAAGCCAATACGGAGCTCTCACCTGTAAGTCAGAGAATCCAACACCCCACGAACGGATCAGGAAAGAATATCAGTAGCTCACAGTATCTCTAGGAAGCTCACAAGCCCAGGCTTGGAAATGGGCAGGAGCCGTGCAGTGCAGAGAGCAACAAGGAACACAAGCTAGTCCAGGAGAAGCCCCTGCAAGCGTCCCAAGGCCAAGACAGCCAGATGGAGGCCACCATCCAGCCACGCGGTGTTGCTGTTGCCACATACTACTCCTTAGAAAGGACTCACTAAGGGGCCAGGTGCAGGGGTGCACACCTGTTACCCAAGCACTTTGGGAGGCTGAAGCAGGAGGCTCACTCGAGCCCAGGAGGTTGAGGCTGCAGTGAGCTGTGATCGCACCACTGCACTCCAGTCTGGGTGACAGAACGAGACCCTGTCCCCTAAAAAAGAAAAGAAAAAAAGAAAAGAGTCACTCAGAATAGCACACATTCAAGGGGAGAAGGCTTAGGCTGCAATTTTATTTATTTATTTATTTATTTATTTATTTAGACAGTGTCTCGCTCTGTCGCCCAGGCTGGAGTGTAGTGGCGCAATCTTGGCTCACTGCAACCTCTGCCTCCCGGGTTCAAGCAATTCTCCTGCCTCAGCCTCCTGAGTAGCTGGGACTACAGGCGTTCGCCACCACATCCGGCTAATTTTTGTAATTTTAGTAGAGGCGGGGTTTCACCGTGTTGACCAGGCTGGTCTCAAACTCCTGACCTCAGTGATCCACCCGCCTTGACCTCCCAAGCCACCGCACCCAGCCTGTTTTTTGTTTGTTTGTTTGTTTTGAGATAAGGTCTCACTCTGTCCCCCAGGCTGGAGTACGGTGGTGTCATCATAGCTCCCTGAAGCCTTGACCCCCCAGGCCTTGCCCTCCAGGTGGTCCTCCTGCCTCAGCCTCTTGAGTAGCCAGGACTACAGGTGTGCAATACTGCCCTTGGCTTATGCTGCAATTTTGATGAGAGAAGTGTCAAGGCATTTGACATGTTTAAATCCAAAGCAGTCCATCCTCTAGCCATGAATTACTTATATTCCTTGCACATGCAGAATACACCCACCCCTCCCTGCAAAGCCACGTCTGTCCTGGCCTCCTGCTCTTGTGATATAATTAGGTCCAGGTGCAAATGAGAGGCCTCAGGTGCAGCTTACCTGTTACAGTTCCTCTCCAATGTGGACGGAAGACTAAGAGGCCGATTGTCTGCCCCACACCCAATGACTGCACACCCAGTGGACACAGGACAAGCTGCTGTAGACCCTCCAGTTCGAAGAGCGGCAACACAGTCTTTGGGGAGCACATAGCAGCCCCAAGTCCATCATTTCTCAAAGCCAGTGGGGCACTTTGCCACTTCCTTCGTGGAGCCCCCAGGAATGATTCCTCATGGTTCTTGGCACAAATTCTTTTTCCTTCCTGTAACTGCGACATGGTGTCCCGCACAACATGGCGTCTGTGTTGGGTGTCAAATGGTATTGGAGGGCTGTGTTGTGTTTGTTGTTGAGCCTAACTTCATTCCTGCCTTAGAAGCTTGGGGGCAAAAGGTCTCTTTTCATTCTGTACCTTCTCTGTCCCATCGGGGCCAAGCTAGCTGTGTTGATCCTAGTCCAATTCTCTTAAAATCTTTGTAGGAAGTGGGGTATGTGACTGGGATAAATGAAAAAGCCACCAAGTTCACCGTTCCTAATGAACATCAGCCGTTCTCTTTGAATCACTCTTCCTTCGGTGGCTGCAAGCTGCCTGTGAATTTCCTGAGCTGCAAAACAATTTTACTGTGATGATTTTTGCAGATTTTTTCATTTGCCTTTATGAAGGGGCAGAATTGGGAGTTCCTTGCTCCACAATTTTTGCTGATATCCTTGAGCAAGTCAGGATTAACTTTTTAAAAACTGCTTTATTGGCTGGGCGCGCAGTGGCTCATGCCTGTAATCCCAGCACTTTGGGAGGCCGAGGTGGGTGGGTCACGGGAGGTCAGGAGTTCAAGACCAGCCTGGCCAACATGGTGAAACCCAATCTCTACTAAAAATACAAAAATTTGCTGGGCGTGCTGGCACACACCTGTAATCCCAGCTACTCAGGAGGCTGAGGCAGGGGAATTGCTTGAACCTGGGAGGTGAAGGCTGCAGTGAGCTGATATTGCACCATTGCACTCCAACCTGGGCAACAAAGGCGAAACTCAAAACAAAAAAAAAAAACCCCAAAAACTGCGTTATTGAGATATAATTCACATACCATAAGATTCCTTTATTTAAAGTGTATAATTCAAAGCTTCCTAGTATATTCACAGACCTGTGCAACCATCACCCAACTGAAGTTTAGAAAATTTTCATCTCTCTAAAAGAAACCCCGTTCCTATTAGCCATGACTCTCCAGCCCACCCCACCCAACCCCAGCCTCTGGCAACCGCAAATCCACTGGCTGTCTCTCCGAATGTGCCTGCTCCAGACAGTTCACAGAAAGGGAGTCATATAATCCGTGTACTTTGTGTACACTGTTCTCAGGTTTACCGCCATGTTCCAGCCCTTCACTTCTTCCTAATCCCTGGATAGTATTGCATACATGCATCCACACTGACTCCTGAGCAGTTGTGAATGTCTG
Source organism: Homo sapiens (assembly GCF_000001405.40). Taxonomy (NCBI): domain Eukaryota; kingdom Metazoa; phylum Chordata; class Mammalia; order Primates; family Hominidae; genus Homo; species Homo sapiens. The sequence continues at coordinate 134,010,183 of NC_000009.12, forward strand.
GCTGGATGGTTAGGATGGTTAAGGACTTGGAAATGAATGGATTGGGAGCAAGGTGTCTGGGAGTTCTGGGACCAAGTACCAGATGGACAGCTGTGGGGATAGCTGTGCCGGGCGGGTGTCTCTGAGGTCTGTTCGCTTCAGAGGGGCTCTCGGTGCTCAGATCTCCACAGCTGCCCCCTCTGCAGGCATCATCAGCCTCTTTTCCCAGCTCTCCCGTGCATGTTTGATGGGCTCCAAGTGTGGAGTGGGGGAAGGGTGGAGGCTGGGCATGGACGGCAGCATGGACCTCCCCCTCCAGAGCTGACCTGTGCACTGCCACTGCTGGGCACCTGACCTGCTGATTAAAAAAAAAAAAAAAGAACCTGGCCCTGAGCTCCCAGTAGGACACCATCACCTGGGGAAGCAGCCAGCCAAGTGGCAGCAGGTTGATGCCATTGGACTTCGTTCCCCATGGAGGAGAAGGGGGCTCGGCCTCATTGGAATAGACACGGTTGCTTTTCCTGCACACAGTCCTTCTGCCAGCCCTGTCATCCATGCCAAGATGCTTTGCCAGCTGCCATGGTGTCCCGCACAACATGGCTTCCAAGCAAGAAACTCACTCCTGAGCAAAAGAAGTTACCGGACTGACTACAGGCCCCTTTCCCGAAGTGCCGCCTGATAAAAGGAATGGACAGGCCACGTGGTTAGCGTGCTGTTACCAAGTGAGGACAGTGACGGCACCTCTGGAAAAACGCCATCATGGAAGTTCGAGGGCCTCATCTGCAGATTAAAGTGTATGCTTTGAACCAGAGACAAACAGATCACGCTGTCTTCCCAGCAGCTGGACGACATGTGTCCAGGAACCAGGGCTCAGAAGGGCAGTGGCTCCTGTGACTGGTACTTCTGATAAGCCTTTAACTTGGCAGCCTGCCCACCCACAGTGGCGGGCTCTGATGGCTCAGAAGTCTTGGTTCTCAAGCAAGGAATGTTTCGACCAAGGAATTCAATGATGGTTCCTCTGATTTGGAAAATGAGACTACCACTTGGCAATTTGGTGTCCTCATTCCACTGCATCAAAACACCGAGAAGCAGGGCCAGGCACGGTGGCTCACGCCTATAATCCCAACACTTTGGGAGGCCAAGGCAGGAAGATTGCTTGAGTCAAGGAGTTCGAGACCAGCCTGGGCAACATGGAAAAACCCTGTATCTACAAAAACAAAATTAAATACAAAATTAGCTGGGCATGGTGGCGCATGCCTGCAGTCCCAGCTACTAGGGAGGCTGAGGCAGGAGGATCGTCTGAACCCAGGAGGTGGAAGCTGCAGTGAGTCATGATTGAACCACTGTACTCCAGCCTGGGCATCAAAGCAAGACCCTGTCTCAAAAACAAAACAAAACCAAGAAGCACGTGACTTTACCAGCTGGGATGATTGATGCCTAATGCCAAGTAGAAAGTGAGTCATGGCTCTACACTGAGGCTCAGTGTATGTGGGAGCCCAGGGGATTTTCTGAGGTGCGTTTTAGTATTTCTACCCAACAGTAGAGGCTAATAGAAAGCTATAGCAACATGAACATAAACATATAAAGGGCAGGGTAATCTCGGGTTCATGCCCCTGGGGAGCGAAAGCATAAGTCAGCCTGCTGGCTAAAGAACCCCAAGCAGATGAGATGCTGCTGGCTGGTGGAGGAACCCTGGAAATGCCCACTGCGGGATACACTGTGGCCTCGGGACTGTGATACACCGCGGCCTCCGGACAGCGAAACACCGCGGCCCCGGGACTGCGAAACACCGCGGCCCCGGGACTGCGATACACCGCGGCCCCGGGACTGCGAAACACCGCGGCCCCGGGACTGCGATACACCGCGGCCCCGGGACTGCGAAACACCGCGGCCCCGGGACTGCGATACACCGCGGCCCCGGGACTGCGAAACACCGCGGCCCCGGGACTGCGATACACCGCGGCCCCGGGACTGCGAAACACCGCGGCCCCGGGACTGCGAAACACCGCGGCCCCGGGACTGCGATACACCGCGGCCCCGGGACTGCGATACACCGCGGCCCCGGGACTGCGATACACCGCGGCCCCGGGACTGCGATACACCGCGGCCCCGGGACTGCGATACACCGCGGCCCCGGGACTGCGATACACCGCGGCCCCGGGACTGTGAAACACCGCGGCCCCGGGACTGTGAAACACCGCGGCCCCGGGACTGTGAAACACCGCGGCCTCGGGACTGTGATACACCGCGGCCTCGGGACTGTGAAACACCGAGGCCTCGGGACTGTGATACACCGCGGCCTCGGGACTGTGATACACCGCGGCCTCGGGACAGTGAAACACCGCGGCCTCGGGACTGCGATACACCGCGGCCTCGGGACTGCGATACACCGCGGCCTCGGGACTGCGAAACACCGCGGCCTCGCGACTGCGATACACCGCGGCCCCGGGACTGCGATACACCGCGGCCCCGCGACTGCGATACACCGCGGCCCCGCGACTGCGATACACCGCGGCCCCGCGACTGCGATACACCGCGGCCCCGGGACTGCGATACACCGCGGCCCCGGGACTGCGATACACCGCGGCCCCGGGACTGCGATACACCGCGGCCCCGGGACTGCGAAACACCGCGGCCCCGGGACTGCGATACACCGCGGCCCCGGGACTGCGATACACCGCGGCCCCGGGACTGCGATACACCGCGGCCCCGGGACTGCGAAACACCGCGGCCCCGGGACTGCGATACACCGCGGCCCCGGGACTGCGAAACACCGCGGCCCCGGGACTGCGATACACCGCGGCCCCGGGACTGCGATACACCGCGGCCCCGGGACTGCGATACACCGCGGCCCCGGGACTGCGATACACCGCGGCCCCGGGACTGCGATACACCGCGGCCCCGGGACTGCGATACACCGCGGCCCCGGGACTGCGATACACCGCGGCCCCGGGACTGCGAAACACCGCGGCCCCGGGACTGCGATACACCGCGGCCCCGGGACTGCGAAACACCGCGGCCCCGGGACTGCGATACACCGCGGCCCCGGGACTGCGAAACACCGCGGCCCCGGGACTGCGATACACCGCGGCCCCGGGACTGTGAAACACCGCGGCCCCGGGACTGTGATACACCGCGGCCCCGGGACTGTGAAACACCGCGGCCCCGGGACTGTGATACACCGCGGCCCCGGGACTGTGAAACACCGCGGCCCCGGGACTGTGATACACCGCGGCCCCGGGACTGTGATACACCGCGGCCCCGGGACTGTGAAACACCGCGGCCCCGGGACTGTGATACACCGCGGCCCCGGGACTGTGAAACACCGCGGCCCCGGGACTGTGAAACACCGAGGCCTCGGGACTGTGATACACTGCGGCCTCGGGACTGTGATACACTGCGGCCTCGGGACAGTGAAACACTGCGGCCTCGGGACTGCGATACACTGCGGCCTCGGGACTGCGATACACTGCGGCCTCGGGACTGCGAAACACCGCGGCCTCGGGACTGCGATACACCGCGGCCCCGGGACTGCGAAACACCGCGGCCCCGGGACTGCGAAACACCGCGGCCCCGGGACTGTGATACACCGCGGCCCCGGGACTGTGATACACCGCGGCCCCGGGACTGTGAAACACCGCGGCCCCGGGACTGTGAAACACCGCGGCCCCGGGACTGTGAAACACCGCGGCCCCGGGACTGTGAAACACCGCGGCCCCGGGACTGTGATACACCGCGGCCCCGGGACTGTGATACACCGCGGCCCCGGGACTGTGATACACCGCGGCCCCGGGACTGTGAAACACCGCGGCCCCGGGACTGTGAAACACCGAGGCCTCGGGACTGTGATACACTGCGGCCTCGGGACTGTGATACACTGCGGCCTCGGGACAGTGAAACACTGCGGCCTCGGGACTGCGATACACTGCGGCCTCGGGACTGCGATACACTGCGGCCTCGGGACAGTGAAACACTGCGGCCTCGGGACTGTGAAACACTGCGGCCTCGGGACTGCGATACACTGCGGCCTCGGGACTGCGATACACTGCGGCCTCGGGACTGCGAAACACTGCGGCCTCGGGACTGCGATACACTGCGGCCTCGGGACTGCGAAACACTGCGGCCTCGGGACTGCGATACACTGCGGCCTCGGGACTGCGAAACACTGCGGCCTCGGGACTGCGATACACTGCGGCCTCGGGACTGTGAAACACTGCGGCCTCGGGACTGTGAAACACTGCGGCCTCGGGACTGTGATACACTGCGGCCTCGGGACTGTGAAACACTGCGGCCTCGGGACTGTGATACACTGCGGCCTCGGGACTGTGATACACTGCGGCCTCGGGACTGTGAAACACTGCGGCCTCGGGACTGTGATACACTGCGGCCTCGGGACTGTGATACACTGTGGCCTCGGGACTGTGATACACTGCGGCCTCGGGACTGTGAAACACTGCGGCCTCGGGACTGGTTGCAGGAACAAGGCTTGTATCAACTCCGTAGATTCCCTTGCCTATTAAGTATGTGTATGTTTGTATCTAGCTATTCCTTTTTTTTTTTCAATTAAGATGGCGGTCTTACTCCCCTCCCCCAAGCTGGAGTGCAGTGGCGCGATCATGGATCACTGCAGCCTCAAACTCCCAGGCTCAATGATCCTCCCACCTCAGCCTCCCAAATAGCTGGGACCACAGGTGTGTGCCACAACACCTGGCTAATTTTGGTTTTTGGTAGAGATGGCACCATGTTGCCCAAGCTGGTCTCAACCTCCTGGATTCAGGTGATGCCCACGTCTTGGCCTCCCAAAGTGCTGGGATTACAGGCCTGAGCCACTGCGCCCAGCCAAAACCTATTCTTAAATTAAGAAAGTTTTTTTCCTTAAGATATCAGGACATCAGGGCATTTCCAGAAGTACTGGGTCTGTTTAGTTAGTAAGCATCATTAACTTGCTCCCTCAACCATAAGAGTGCTTCACCTCCTGGGAATGTGACCCAGCAGGTCTCACTATATTTTTCTCTCATTCAAGATGGAGTCACTCTGGTTTGGACACTTCTGGCAGCTTCATGGGTCCCTCCTCTAAGCATCTAGGTTTTCATCATTCCAACCTCTTCCCTTTGTTCCTTATCCCTAGGGGTGGTGGTAGTTGCTTCCTGCAGGTGCTACTTTAGGATATTTTAGAGTTATTTTTTTTCTTCTGAACTTAACAACTTTGTACTTAGCGAACAATTCCTTGTATTTATTTCTCCCAGTTCAAATGATTGGTGTGGTTTCTCTCTTCCAAACAGACTCTGACTAATATAAGTTCCATATCAATCATATGTATTGCAAATTTCTTCTCACGTTCTGTGGCTTTCCTTTTCACTCTTAAAAGGTATATTTTAATAAGCTTTAAAAATTTTAGAAGAGTTTGTTTTACAGAAAAATTGCAAACATGGTACGGCGTCCATATAAGCCCAATACCAATTTTCTCTATTGTTGATGTCTTACTTTCGTGTGGTCTGTGACAATTAATGAACCAATATTGATACATTATTATTAATTCAAGTGCATACTTTAGTCAGATGTCTATAGTTGGTATCTTTTTTAAATTTAAATAGTGAGGTTTCCATTCATAAAATTTCTCCATTTAAAGTTTTTGTGCCAGCCGGGCACGGTGGCTCATGCCTGTAATCCCAGCACTTTGGGAGGCTGAGGTGGGCGGATCACCTGAGGTTGGGAGTTTGAGACCAGCCTGACCAACGTGGAGAAACCCCGTCTCTACTAAAAATCCAAAATTAGCCGGGCATGGTGGCACATGCCTGTAATCCCAGCTACTCAGGCGGCTGACGCAGGAGAATCACTTGAACCTGGGAGGCGGAGGTTGCAGTGAGCCGAGATCGCACCATTGCACTCCAGCCTGGGCAACAAGAGCAAAACTCTGTCTCAAAAAAATAATAATAGTAAAATAAAATAAAGTATTTGTGAAGTCCTGAATATTCCTAGGTATTTTTTAATTTTTCATTTGTGGGGGTACATAGTAGATACATATACTTATGGGGTATATGAGATGTTTTGACGCAGGCAATGTGGAATAACCACATCGTGGAGAATGGGGCATCCATCCCCATTTCCAGGTATTTGATATATTTTGAAATTATTGTAAATGGTATCTTTTTTTTTTTTGAGACAGAATTTCACTCTTGTTGCCCAGGCTGGAGTGCAATGGTGCAATCTCGGCTCACTGCAACCTCCACCTCCTGGGTTGAAGCGATTCTCCTGCCTCAGCCTCCCAACCAGCAGCGATTACAGGCATGCACCACCATGCCCAGCTAACTTTTTATATTTAGTAGAAACAGGGTTTCACCATGTTGGTCAGGCTGGTCTCAAACTGCCGACCTCAGGTGATCTGCCTGCCTTGGCCTCCCAAAGTACTGGGATTACAGGCGTGAGCCACCACGCCTGGCCTGTAAATGGTATCTTTTAAACACTTGTTTTCTGCTTTTTGCTGTCATTTAGAACAGTAGTTGACTCTGTAGATTAATTTTCCATCAAGCAACCTTGTGTCAACCTTGTTGATGGAAAAAAAAAAAGCTGTGAAATATTTAAAGAAGTTTATTCTGAGCCAATGAGTGACCATGGTCCAGAAAACAGTCTCAAGAGGTCTGGAGAAAGTGCAGTCGAGGTGGTTGGGTTACAGTTTGGTTTTATACATTTTAGAGAGACAGGATATATAGGTAAAATTATAAATCAATACATGGAAGTTTACATTGGTTCAGCCTAAAGAGGTGGGAGGTCTTGAAGCTGAGGGGGGCTTACAGATCATAAGCAGATTCAAAGAATTTCTGATTGACAACTGGTTGAAAGAGTTAAGCTTTGTCTAAAGACTTGAAGTCAGTAGAAAGAAATGCTTGAGTTGGCTGGGTGTGGTGGCTCAAGTCTATAATCCCAGCACTTTGTGAGGTGGAGGTGGGCGATCACCTGAGGTCAGGAGTTCGAGACCAGCCTTGCCAACATGGTGAAACCCCATCTCTACTAAAAATACAAAAATATGCTGGGCATGGTGGCACACGCCTGTGATCCCAGCTACTTGGGAGGCTGAGGCAGGACAATAGCTTGAACCCGGGAGGCAGAGGTTGCAGTGAGCCGAAATCACGCTACTGCACTCCAGCCTGAGCAACAGAGTGAAACTCTATCTCAAAAAAAAAAAAAAAAAAAAAATGCTTGAGTTAAGATAAGGGGATTATGGACACCGAGGTTCTTATTATGTAGATGAAGCCTCCAAGTAGCAGCCTTAGAGATAATAGAGGGTGAATGTCTCTTCTCAGACCCTAAAGGTGTTAGACCAAGCTTGTCCAACCTGTGGTCCATGGGTCACAAGAGGCCCAGCACAGCTTTGAATGTGGCCCAACACAAATTCACAAATTTTCTTAAAATATAATGAGATTTTTTTGTGATTTTTTTTAAGCTCATCAGCTATTGTTAGTGTTAGTGTATTTTATGCATGGCCCAAGATAATTCTTCTTCTTCCAACGTGGCCTAGGGATTCCACAAGATAGGACCCCCCTGGCCGGGCGTGGTGGCTCACGCCTGCAATCCCAGCACTTTGGGAGGCCGAGGCGGGCAGATCACAAAGTCAGGAGATCGAGACCATCCTGGCTAACACAGTGAAACCCCGTCTCTACTAAAAATACAAAAAATTAGCCGGGCATGGTGGTGGGCGCCTGCAGTCCCAGCTACTTGGGAGGCTGAGGCAGGAGAATGGCGTGAACCCAGGAGGCAGAGTTTGCAGTGAGCAGAGATCACGTCACTGCACTCCAGCCTGGGCGACAGAGACTCTGTCTCAAAAAAAAAAAAAAAAAAAAGATCAGACCCACCTGTATTAGACTCTCATTTAATTTCTCCTAAATCCGGGAAACGCCTAGAAAGGAAAGGCCAGGCTCCTAATAGAGATTCTTTACAGATGCAAATTTCCCCCACAGAAGACGGCTTTGCAGGGCCATTCCAAAATATGTCAAAGAAATGTATTTGGGGGCTGGGCACGGTGGCTCATGTCTGTAACCCCAGCACTTTGGGAGGCCGAAGCCAGTGGATCACCTGAAGTCAGGAGTTCGAGATCAGCCTGACCAATATGGTGAAACCCCGTCTGTACTAAAAATACAAAAATTAGCTGGGCGTGGTGGCGGGCGCCTGTAATCCCAGCTACTCAGGAGGCTGAGGCAGGGGAACTGCTTGAACCTGGTGGTGGAGATTGCAGTGAGCCAAGATCGTGGCACTGCACTCCAGCCTGGGCGACAGAGCGAGACTCCATCTCAAAAAAATAAAGAAATATATTTTGAGGTAAAATATTTTCCTTTCCTTCAGGGTCTGCTATCTGTCATGTGGTGCTATACAAGGGTCTGGTTGGAATTTGGTATCTTGTTGCCATAAAGAGTCTGTTTTGGCAGGGCGCGGGGGCTCACGCCTGTAATCCCAGTACTTTGGGAGGCCAAGGCAGGTGGATCACGAGGTCAAGAGATCGAGACCATCCTGGCCAACATGTTGAAACCCCATCTCTAGTAAAAATACAAAAATTATCTGGGCATGGTGGCGCACGCCTGTAGTCCCAGCTACTCGGGAGGCTGAGGCAGAAGAATCGCTTGAACCCAGGAGGCAGAGGTTGCAGTGAGCTGAGATCACGCCACTGCACTCCAGCCTGGCAACAGAGACTCTGTCTCAAAAAAAAAAAAAAAGTCTGTTTTGTCAGTCTCACGACCTCTATTTTAATGATGCTGGCCAGTGGTGCCTAAACTCCAAAAGGGAGAGGGGAGAACGAGACATGTCCAGCCTCCCTTCTTGTCATGGCCAGGAATGCTGTTTTTCAGGTTTCTCTGGGGTCCCCTTAGCCAAGAAGGGGTCTGTTCAGTCCACCAGGGGCTTAGGATTTTTATTTATTTATTTATTTTTTTAAAGCTTTTTTTTTTTTTTTTTTTTGAGACGGAGTTTCACTCGTCTCCCAGGCTGGAGTGCAATGGTGTGATCTCGGCTCATTGCAACCTCCACCTCCCGGGTTCAAGCAATTCTCCTGTCCCAGCCTCCCAAGTAGCTGGGATTACAGGTGCCCGCCACCACACCCAGCTAATTTTTGTATTTTTAGTAGAGACAGGGTTTCATCATATTGGTCAGGCTGGTCTCAAACTCCTGACCTCAGGTGACCTGCCCACCTTGGCCTCCCAAAGTACTGAGATTACAGGCGTGAGCCACCGTGCCTGGCCCTTAAAACTTTTTTGAGATAGGGTCTCACTCTGTCGCCAAGGCTGGAGTACAGTGGTGCAACCACAGCTCACTGCAGCCTTGACCTCTCGGGCTCAAGCATTGCTCCCACTTTAGCCTCCCAAGTAACTGGGACTTCAGGTACACACCATCATGCCTGGCTAATTTTTTGTATTTTTATTTAAAAAGGGGTTTTACCATGCTGCCCAGGCTGATCTTGAACTCCTGGGCTCAAGCAATCCACCCGCCTTGGCCTCCCAAAATGTTGGGATTACAGGCATGAGCCAACATGGCTGGCCAGGATTTTATTTTTGGTTTGCAACCTAAAAGGAAGAAGCTGAGGAAAAATTAATGTAAGTAGAGAGTTTATTTGGGCCAAGCTTGAGGGCTGCAACCCGGAGCATGCAAGTTGCCCTGAACATCCACTCCAGTTAGTAGCGGTTACTAGAGGATTTTTAAAGGAAAAGAAGGGGAGTTCCTGAATTGTTTACCAAAAATTTACATTAAAATAACAAGCTATTGATTGGCTATCCATTGTTTTTTATACACATATTCCAGGAACATGAAGACAATGGGTGGGGCAGCTAGACAGGAACAAAAAGACTTTTTTTTTTCCTTTGAGACGCAGTCTGTCTCTGTTGCCCAGGCTGGAGTGCAGTGGCGCAATCTCAGCTCACTGCAACCTCCGCCTCCCGGGCTCAAGCGATTCTCCTGCCTCAGCCTCCCCAGTAGCTGGGATTACAGGCACCCACCACTACGCCTGGTTAATTCTTTGTATTTTTAGTAGAGACAGGGTTTCACTATGTTGGCCAGGCTGGTCTCCAACTCCTGACCTCGTGATCCACCCGCCTCAGCCTCCCAAAGTGCTAGGATTACAGGTGTGAGCCACCTCGCCCAGCCCTGTCTTATTAATTTTAATAATTTGTCTGAGATTCTCCTGAATTTGTACTGTTAATTGAAAAAAGAACCCCACAATATCCATAAATACTCTGTTGCCCAGGCTGGAGTACAGTGATGCAATCATGACTCGCTGCGACCGCTGCCTCCTGGGCTCAAGCAACCCTCCTGCCTCAGCCTCCCAGGTAGCTGGGACTATAGGTGCCTTTCACCATGCCCAGGTACTTTTTGTAGAAATGGGGTTTTGCCATGTTGGCCAGGCTGGTCTTGAACTCCTGAGTTTAAGTGATCTGCCCGCCTTGGCCTCCCAAATTGCTGGGACTACAGGTGTGAGCCACTGCGCCTGGGTGACTTTCTTTCTCATAAAGGGTTACAGCCAGCAAGGTGGCCATCCCACAGGCTGGAAAATGTGCCTCTGAAGGAGGAGGGGTTGGGGCAGGAGCTCCATGCTGAACAGGTTGGCTAAACATACACATTCAACAGGTTATAGGAGGAGCTATGAATATTCATGAAGGTCCTGACAACATGCATACTGAACAAACATGCATGTAACATACAACTCATGTTCACCTTGGGGTGGAGACTTAGCATCAAAATGTACTAAAATTAGGCCTTATAGGCTGGGTGCAGTGGCTCGCGCCTGTAATCCCAGCACTTTGGGAGGCTGAGGTCTGGCCAATACGGTGAAACCCAGTCTCTACTAAAAATAAAAAAAAAACTAGCTGGGCACCGTGGTGCACACCTGTAGTCTTAGCTACTTGGGAGGCTGAGGCAGGAGAATCACTTGAACCCAGGAGGCGGAGGTTGCAGTGAGCCGAGATGGCACCACAGCACTCCAGCCTGGGCAATAGTGGGAGACTCCGTCTCAAATAAATAAAAATATATACATACATAAAATAAAATTAGGCCTTATAGTAAAAAGGTCTTTCCAGGACACAAAAGCACACAAGTATGCAGCCTCTCTGAACCAGCCGGAACCAATCCATAGTCAGTGGTCTTACCTGGAGAAAGTTGCTGAAATCAGTCTCTTGTTCAATGAAAGCTGTAGTTGGCTGGGCATAGTGGCTCACACCTGTAGTCCCAGCACTTTGGGAGGCCACGATGGGAGGATTGTTTAAGCCCAGGAATTTGAGATCAGCCTAGGCAACATGGCAAAACCCCATCTCTACCAAAAATACAAAAAGTAGCTGGGTGCAAACTCCACCTCCCGGGTGGACCTACTGGTACACCTAGTGGTGCACACCTGTAGGCCCAGCTACTTGGGAGGCTGAGGTGGGAGGATTGCTTGAGGCTGGGAGGTTGAAGCTGCACTCAGCCAGGATTGCACCACTGCACTCTAGCCTGGAGGACAGAGTGAGACGCTGTTTCAAAAGAAGAGAAAGCTAGTTATGGTGGGTGAATGGGGTCAGTTAGCATCTGGAGCTGGATGAGCTGCAAATCGTTTTAACATTGTTTATCTTGAGGTCAGTACTTACTTAGCTGCTAGAGAAAAGGAACAACCTCGTGGCAGTGAGAATAGAGTTTATTCTTTAATTGTAGAGGTGTAGGACTTAACTTGTGCCTGGCATGGCCCTAAATCTTATTAATTAATTAATTTATTTATTTTTGGAATCAGAGTCTCACTTTGTCACCCAGACTGGAGTGCAGTTGTGCCATCTTGGCTCACTGCAACCTCCACCTCCTGGGTTCAAGTGGTTTTCCTGCCTCAGCCTCCCAAGTAGCTGGGATTACAGGCATGCGCCACTATGTCCAGCTAATTTTTGTATTTTTTGTAGAGATGGGGGTTCACCATGTTGGCCAGGCTGGTCTCGAACTCTCAGCCTCAAGTGATCTGCCCGCCTTGGACTCTCAAAGTGCTGGGATTACAGATGTGAGTCACCATGCCCAGCCACAGGTCTTATTTATAATTTGGTATGTTATCGCCATAAAGAGTCTGTTTTTCAGTCTTCTATGTTTTCAGTCTTACATATTTTAACGCAAATGCTAGTGCCTTGTCTCTAAGTCACCAAAGGGAGGAGTTATAACGACATGAGTGGGCTCTCCTATCCCATCGTGGCTGGGAACTCAGTTTTAAGTTTTTTCTGAGGTCCCCTTGGCCAAGAGGGGATCCGTTCAGTCAGTGAGGAGTTTAGGATTTTATTTTTAGTTTATATTCCCTTCTTTTGGCCAAGATTTGCCAGAGATGGCATTGATGACCAAACTTTTATTTTGTCCTATATCGTTGCTGGGGCTGTGTGCTACCTGCACTGGGTCCATCTTGTCCCTTGGTGGGATCCCTATGGCCAAGAGACTTAGAGCCAAAAGACTGAAAGACAGCTAATTAAATGTTTTAGGACAGATAGGAAAGGAGATGGGCAGGCACTCATTCACCCTTAAAAACCTTTTGTGCAGCCAGGTGCGGTGGCTTATGCCTGTAATCCTAGCACTTTGGGAGTCTGAGGCGGGTGGATCACGAGGTCAGGAGTTTGAGACCAGCCTGATCAACATAGTGAAACCCTGTCTCCACTAAAAATACAAAATGAGCCAGGCATGGTGGCACATGCCTGTAACCCTAGCTACTCGGGAGGCTGAGGCAGGAGAATCACTTGAACCTGGGAGGCGGAGGTTGCAGTGAGCTGAGATTGCACCATTGTACTCCGGTCTGGGCGACAGAGCGAGATTCCATCTCAAAAAAATCAAAATAAAACAAACAACAACAACAACAAAAAACAACCTTTTGTGCAACATAAGAGGCAAAAACCAAAATCCAAAACGTGAGGTTACAAAATTGACTTATCTCTAAGTTTTATGTATTGAGCTATCAGCTATTTAGGTATTTGTGAACCATCTTTGATTCAGAGGGTCTGAACAAATTTTATCCCTCGAAACCAGCCCTTACAATCTCATGCGTTTACCTCTTCTGCAATTGTCCCTGGGCCTAGAGGGAGGGTGTTTGATATCAAATCAGATTGGAGCCAATGGGATTTTAAATCATTTTCAGATTCTGGAGATATCAGGTAGAAAAAGAGAGGTAATCTTCATTTTTTACTTAATTGTTGTAGCTATAAAATAGCTTAAAAGGAAAAACAGCTTTTTGACTCTGGAAAACAAAACATAAGTAAATGTTTCGAACAGAAATATAAGTCCTATTTGGTTTTGACAACGACAGGAAAAGGAAGCTTACAGGTAACTAAATATTCAAATTATTTAGTTCAAGGCATAGAACAAATTATATTAGCTTAGAGGCAATTTTTTTTTTTTTTTTTTGAGATGGGGTCTCACTCTGTCACCCAAGCTGGAGTGCAATGGTGCAATCTCAGCTCACTGCAACCTCCGCCTCCTGGGTTCAAGAGATTCTCCTGCCTCAGCCTCCTGAGTAGCTGGGATTACAGGCGCCTGCCACCACACTGGGCTAATTTTTTATATTTTTGGTAGAGACAGGGTTTCATCATGTTGGCTAGGCTGGTCTCGAACTCCTGACCTCAAGTGATGTGACCGCCTAGGCCTCCCAAAGTGCTGGGATTACAGGCGTGAAAACCGCACCCAGCCAGATAGAGGTAAAAGTGTTAAATGGGTCTTTGAATACAGGCCTGTTCTTGTGTCTCTTGAAAGCAGTATAACTTCGGTTGCTGTCTTTTCCCAGGTCGGAAGACTGGGAGATCATGTAAGATTTAAACGTTTTCAAATTTGTTGAAACTGATTTATGGTCCAGCATGTGATCAGTTTTGCTAAACGTCCTGTGTAGGTACTTGTGAAGAAAGTGCGAGGCAGGCGGATCACAAGGTCAGGAGTTCGAGACCAGCCTGGCCAATATGGTGAAACCCTGTCTCTACTAAAAATACAAAAATTAGCTGGGCGTGGTTGCCGGCGCCTGTAGTCCCAGCTACTCAGGAGGCTGAGGCAGGAGAATCGCTTGAACCTGGGGGGCGGAGGTTGCAGTGAGCTGAGATCGTGCCACCACACTCCACCCTGGGTGACAGAGTGAGATTCCCTTTCAAAAAAAAAAAAAAAAAGAATGTGCGTTCCACAGCTGTGGGCTTAGTGCTCACACTAAGCATCTTCCTTGGATGTCTGTTATGCTTATTTTCTTTTTTTTTAGAGATGGGGTTTTGCTGTTTCGTCCCAGCTGAAGTGCAGTGGCATGATTATGGCTCACTGCAGCCTCGAACTCCTGGCTCAAGGGATCCTCCTGCCTCAGCCTCCCAAGTAGGTGGGACTCAGAGGTGAGCCACCACACCAGGTTCCATTATGCTAGTTTTCTTAATTGGCATTGGAGAAAACCATAAAATTAGGGGAAAAGGGTAGATACTAAAAGAGTGCTATTGGAGTATGATTGGAGGTGGAGTGAGAAAAGGAAATAGACCTTGCTTTCATGGGGCTGTTGAGGAGTCCAAATGAGCAGTATAGAGGCCTGGCTTGGTTGGATGAGATGGAGAAATTCAAGACCTATTTTTGAGATAGTAAGCCCGGACATTTAATTAATTAAAAATAATTGTATCAATTACTGAGAGTAAGAATACTAATAAAAGCAGTAACAGCAGTGGCAAAAGTAACCACACAAGCAGAAATACGAAAACCAAGATGATAAGACCATACAGTCCGGCAGTGTCTTACTAACAGGGTTGTGGGCGTCCCACTCCTTCTCTTCATCCTCCTCCAGCTCCTCCTCCACGTCTTCCTCCAGCTCCTGCTCCTCTTTCTTTTCCAGTACCTCCTCAGCCCCTTCTCCTCTGCCAGCCCCTCCTCCCACCTCCGCTCCCAGCCCCTCCTCCTTTCCCAGCCCCTCACCATCCAGCCCCTCCTCCTCCATCTCCTCCTCCTCTCTCAGCTCCTCCTCCTCCCCCAGCTCCTCCTCCTGCTCCTCCTTCTCCTCCACTCCTCCTTCTGCTCCTCCTTCTCGTTCAGCTCCTCCTCTCCCAGCCCCTCCTCCTCCTCCAGCCCCTCCTCCTCATCCAGCCCTTTCTCCTCTCCCAGCCCCTCCTCTCCCAGCTCCTCCTCCTCCTCCCTCCTCCTCCTCCAGCCCCTCCTCCTCCAGCCCCTCCTCCTCCAGCCCCTCCTCCTCCTCTTCCAGTTCCTATTCGGGGCGGGCCCAGCCCCTCCTCGCGGAGCGATCGATGGCTTGGGCTCGTCGCACACGCCTGCCCAGCCTCTGCGCTCGGCTCGCCAGGCCTGCGGCGCTGCCATGGAGACACGGCCCAGCGGCCGCCGGCCCCGCCCTGGGAGCCCCGCAGTGCGTCGCGCCGCTGCCCGCATCTCCGAGGCCCGCGACGAGCGGTGACTGGGGCGGGCGACGTGGGGGACCCGGGGATGCGGGCAGACGATAGGGGGCTGGAGGATGGGGCGACCCAGAGCGCGCGGGGTCTGGGGCGCGGGGATGGGGGCCGCGGGCCACGCGACGGGGACCCCAGGGTGCGCGCAGGTGGCGGGGACGCGCGATGGGGGCCCGGGAAGCTGAGGCTGACCTAGCGCAGGCATCCCAGGAGGGGAGGTCCCTGACGCTGCGCAGCTGGGAAGGCGTTCGGGAGTGGGTTGCGATGCTTCCCTGTTTGTTTTCTCCTGACATCGTTTTTGTTTGGGTCCAGGGGCCTCACGGGAGCTGGATGCTCGGAGCAGCAAGGCGGCCCTGGGGGCCCCTTCCGGTCCCGGGGCTGACGCCTGGCGGCGTCTCCGGGAACCCGCGCCCTTTCAAGCGCCGCTGGCTCCTGTTTCACAGATGGAGACCCTGAAGCCCCAACAAGCAGCCTCCCCAGCACCTCCCAGTGACTGAAAAAGCTGGCACTGGGCGCCCGTCTCACTCTCCACCCAGCTCCCAGGCTGCCCCACGGGACGTAAGTAGCTCGATCTAGGCCGCTGACCCCCAGAGACTTGATGCTGCGCTGCAGACTGCCGCCGCTGCCGGGGCGCTTGACTTCCCCTCTCCTGACAGCACGTTCGTTCCTTTGCAGCAGCACCTTTGGGGAGAGACGAGACCTGAACAAACGCTGGGGCTGGATCCCCAGGGTGGGTCAGAACAGCCGTTGCCCTGAAAGCTGGCCCGGACAGATGCGTGCGGGGCGTGCCACCGGAGCTCCTTCCAGCTTGCGTCTGGGGCCACCATGTCCCTTCCTCAGGGCACTGGATCCATCTCTTCAAGCTCAGTGGTCCAGGCCATGGTGGCAGAATCACCCCCCAGGGTGTGACGCCTCGTCCCTGTCAATTCCACACAGCTGCACCCGGAAGAGCTGTGGCCGGGCGCCGCTCTGACCTGTGTGCGGTCCCCTGAATGGGTCTCAGGTGTCTTCAGAATGGTGAGGCCGCCTCATTTCCTCACCACACAACCCTCCTGAGGACGTTGCCTGCAAATGGGCGGAATTCCTAATTTCTACCATTCAGTTAAACGAGGGATCCTTAAGCCCCAAAGCTGGGAAAGCTGTCCGTTAATTTAGTGCGCGTGGGCCGTCTCAGAACAGCAGGGTTCCCAGGAGTCCAGCGGGACGGGGGAGGGGATGAGTGGCCGTGTCCCCCTGGCAGAGAAGGCCTTGTCTGAAGGCTACGCCCGCCTCCGGTACAGGGACACCTCCTTGCTCATCTGGCAGCAGCAACAGCAGAAGTTGGAGTCGGTGCCACCTGGGACGTACCTGAGCAGGAGCCGAAGCATGTGGTACTCACAGTATGGAAATGAGGCCATCTTGGTCCGAGACAAAAACAAGCTCGAGGTCTCTAGGGACACAGGGCAGTCCAAGTTTTGCACAATTATGTAATTCCGATGTGAGCACCTGAACCCAGGACCACACTTTGAGGAAAACAGACCTGAGTTTCATTCAGTTGTCTTGTTGATTTCCAATCCTTGCTGGAAGATTTTGAATAATGAACGTGAAGATCAAACTGTGGTGTAAGAACCCAAGAAGCGCAGAATTGGCCCCCGAACCCCTCAGCACAGCCGCGGTGTGACTGGTGCACAGGACACTTCCCCTCTAGAGTCCCCTCCGTGGTCAGCTGTTGTGACATTTGAATTCTCCAGGTGCTGCTAGGGACAGCATAGGCCCGGGCACTGCTAGATGCTTGGTTTAAACCAGGCCAAGAGTAACCCTCCCATCCCCATTACAAACCACCTTTTCAAGTTTTTTAGGTTTTAGTTTTTTGTTTTTAGCATAAATGGCGGAGTAGCAGCAGCATCTCACCAGGAGCTTTGTCGCATTACATTTTGTATTTTGCTTTTTTGAGACGGGGTCTCACTCTGTTACCCAGGCTGGAATACAGTGGCACAATCACAGCTCACTGTAGGCTCTATCTCCTGGGCTCAGGTGATCCTCCCAAACTCAGCCTCCCAGGTAGCTGTGGCTCCAGGCGAACTACTGTATATAGAGACAGGGTTTCCCTATGTTGCCCAGGCTGGTCTGGTCTTATAGTCCTGGGCTCAAGCCTCCCAGAGTGCTGGGATTACAGGCATGGGTCACCGCACCAAGCCCGCATTTATATTTTGAGTTACCAAAATGATCATCATCTGTGAAGCATCATGGTAGCTTCCAAGCATTTGCGGCCCACTGGCCAGTGCATCCAAAACACATTCAGGAAACCCGAGAGTTGTAAGTTGCACATGTGTGGCCTACAGTGACTTCCATGTAGTAACAGGGCTGAGCAAGGCAGGCTCTCCACCAGACTTAAAGCATTCAACCACTCTGCCCCCAGGCCGACACTGACATGTGTTCACTGTCGCTGCCACAGCTGGCCACCTGTGTTCAGTCTCCATGAAGGATTCACCTTCTGCTCTCACTGACATCTCCTTGGCTACACAAATGTGCAGGTGTCTCTTGTCAAAGCTAATTTTTCTTTTCTAAATAAACATCCTTTAATACACTCCTCCCCTTCCTCACACTTATTTTTATCCTTGTTCGTAATATCCTACTTGGCTTCCCATTTTTTATAGCAGTAATATGTAATTGATTGCTAAAGACTGCAATACACAAAGGCATAAAGCAAAGCACAAGTGCTCTCCGTGGGGAGAACCCGGCCGGCAGCTGGGGATGCGTCCCACAGCTCCTCAGCATGCACACACGGTCACGTGATTCTGACGGCCTCATCCTGCACCATGCCTCTTGTATCCGCCATTTTCTTTCTTGCTCAACTGTACAGACTGGGCATTCACTTAATGCTTTTCTTTTTTTTTAAGAGAGTCTCACTCTGTTGCCCAGGCTGGAGTGCAATGGCACAATCTCAGCTCACTGCAACCTCTGCCTCCTGGGTTCAGGCGATTCTCCTGCCTCAGCCTCCTGAGTAGCTGGAATTACAGGTGCCTGCCACCACGCCTGGCTAATTTTTCTATTTTTAATAGAGACAAGGTTTCACCATGTTGGCCAGGCTGGTCTCGAACTGCCAATCTCAGGTGATCTGCCCACCTCGGCCTCCCAAAGTACTGGGATTACAGGCGTGAGCCACCGCACCCGGCCCACTTCATGCTTTTAACCTCTGACTCGCAGCTCTCCCGTGAGCCCACAGACGGGCACAGTGACAGCATCCAGGTTGTCATCTGTGCAAACAGCATGTTCTGAATGTGCCTGTACTCTGTTCGTGCTTCTCTTTGCAGCTGTGCAAGTTCATTCGCAAACGTCCTAGAAGTGGAACTGCTGGGTCAAAGTGCATTCCCCAAATGTCCTGCCAGAGGCCTGGTCGGCAGCAGCCTCCTGCACAGCCCGAGTCCCTTCTGCGAGAGTCCTGGCTTGTTTGCAGCCTGCAGCTGGGAGATTTGAAGTCAGACTTCCAGGATTGCCGCATGGAGCTGCAGAGGGAGTGAGCATGGGGCTGGAGGACCTGCCCCGCCGGCTGACACTCCCACAGCAAGGCGGGCCCGCCAAGGAAGCACTCCACATCCGCTAGGTAGGGTTTGTCTGCATCTTTTCAGTTCTTCAGTTTAAGTCCTGCCTGGGAAGAAAGCAAACTCCAGAGGCAAATCTGGAATGCCTGTGTGCCACCTTCTCACCGCACCACAGACTCCCCTGAGGACGGGTTGTGGCGGGGTTGGCCCCAAGCATGGGAGGCAGCGCAGACATGCAGAATGGGGTCTGAGGTCACGTTGCAACGCTGGCAGGATGTGTGCTCAAGGGCCAGTCTCTGCAGGGGTCAGGGCGTGTGGGCCACGCACAAGGAGCTGGCACTAAGCCGCTTAGGCTGCAGGAAGACACCATCTGCCTGGGGCGGACAAGGCCCCATGTCCGTCCTCAAGGAGGCTGGTCTGGATGAGAAGGGTCACAGTCTGGCCAGGAGTGTCACCGTGCCCCCTGACCCCATCTGGGGTCGGGCTGGACAGGTCCTCAGGCCTAGACGTGGGCCCAGCCAGAACCTTCTCCCCTGGCATGTCTCTTCCAGGCCTAGTTCCAGAGCTGTCATTCTTCGGCGAGCCGCGCTGCACGCCAGCCTCCAGTCTGGCAGTTAAACCTCACTATGAAAATCTGCTTTTGGGATTTTATTTGCATTTCCATTAGACTGAGCGCATCACAAGCCACTTCAGGATAGACTGAGGTGCAGAGGGAGGGGACAAGCGGCCAGGTTGACTAGAAGAGCACAGAACCTGGCTGTCTCGAAGAGGGCAGCTTGTTCCAGGGAACCAATGAACTGTCAGTAAAGGGGATTGTGGCTTCCTAGTGAGGCAAGAAATGATGCTCCCTTCATCCTGCCAGGGCTCAGGACAAGAGCTACTTAATGGTTTGATTATTATTATTTTTTAAGAGATGTTGTCCAGGCTGGAGTGCAGTGATGCAATCATGGCTTACTGCAGCCTCAAACTCCTGGCCTCAGGCCATCCTCCTGCCTCAGCCTCCCAAAGTGCTGTGATCACAGGCACGAGCCACTGCATCCTGCCTTTAAATGGTTTTTTGGGGCCCCTTTTGGATGCTCTGGGTGTTTTTGCCAAGAGTTACAGGATGTCAAGTGTGGGGAGCTCAGCACCCTTGCTGTGGACCAGTGAAGGCTGTTCCAGACCAGGTGCTTCCAGACATTTCCAGGCTCCAGGAGAGAGGCTGGGAGCCCCCACAGAAAGCACAGGAAAATGCAAAAAAAAAAAACAGTCTTTTTTTTTTTTTTTTTTTTTGCTTTTTATTATGAAAACAAAACAAATGCCCCAGGAGAAGGGTCCATGATTACCAGAAACATCAAAGAGTACTTTCTACCATTTTTATTCTGTTGTGTTGAGGCCAGCATTGCAATAAACAAGCTAAACTACTTACATTGGACTCATTTTCAGTAACTGACATTTACAGGAATATACTAGAAACGGCACTAAAAAGTTTAAGAAAAGTTACGGTAAACTTGCATGCACATCATACAGAAAAGTAACATTTTAAATATAAAAAAGAAAAACTTCCTGGAAGCATTATGCCAGTATTAAGGAACAGTGCTACTCTGGATGTGACAAATTCTGTATGTGGGTGTTACTCTTTCCCAAAAGACTGTCAGAGGCGTGAGTGCTGCAAAAGAACAACAACAAAAACAAACACACAAAAAAATGTGTCTTACAGTTTGTAAGCAAGATGACACTGCCCAACACAAAGAGGGGTCTGGAGTTCAGTTCACGCCCGAAGCCTGCCCCCTCGGCCTCCAGGGGTCATTCAGAGTGTTCTCAAATCCAATTCCGACACACGACTTGTCACTACTCCTCTCCCCTTGAAAAAAGCATGTTAGAAGCTGCCCTACAGGTCTCAGCAGTGGGACAATCTAATTGAATCACCGCAGCCTTCTAATACAGAAGAAACGGACGTGACTGTCACCCTCAGCCCGCCAGCAAGGGCGCTGAGGAAGTCATTAATCCTTCGAAACTCTGAAAAGAAACCAGTGTTGAAGTCTGGACAGAAAGCCTTAAAAAAGTGACAGCACCAATGCAGCTGCTCAGTGTACCCGCCGTGGGCTGTCAGGGTCAGTGGCTTCTTTCTAGATGAAAGGAGCAGAGGCGAGCCGACGCCACCGTCACAGAGAACCAGCCGAGAAGGAAAGGCCCCACGATGCTCCTGCTGCGCTGCCCCCACAGCCGGCCGCTCCCCCGACGGCTCACACAGGCAGCACCTCACTGCCCTGTGGCTGGAGGGGCATTGCAAGGAGCGCCCCCCAGCCCCAGGCACCCCCGGCTTAGGGTGTACGTATCACCCAGCCCTGTGCTGGCAGCACGTTACCAACCAGCCTGCGTGAAGACCTGTCAACTGTCGTGTGTGAATTCCTTAAATTCGGTTTAAATAGTCCATTAAAGATCTGTTTAGAAAATACCTTTGAAAACGAGGGTAACTTTAAAAAATGGAAACTTTCAAATCCATTTATATTTTTATTATAAACAAAACTTAATTAAAAGTTTAACAAACTGGCTGAAAACTCACCAAGTGTCAGACTCACCAGCAATTTAAAAAATGATAATTTACCAGCATCTCCTCATCAGAGTTCCCTCTCCAGTAAGGGTATACCTACATCTGTAAGGGTCAGTGGACTCTGAATCAATTTTATGGTTGTTTTAAAATCACCGTGTATTAGGATACTAATGATAGTCCCTATATCCATCCAGAAATGCTGGCAGAAAGCACTGGCCACCATACAGGACAGACCACACCACAGCTCCATACCCAGCGTCTGCCTGGAGGCTCCCCCACGCTGAGGTCCGGGAGAATGCCTGGTTTCAGTCATTTCCGGACTAACTGTGACAACGCGTGAGCAGGGAGCACCGTGCGAGTCTCCGGGAGGGAATCCTCCTGGGGCCCAGAGACTCCTCCACCCCTGGGGAGGGCAGACAGGCTCGGGAGGGCCTGGCCAGGCCACTGGAGGCTGGCAGGGAGCAGGCATGTCCACCCGCAAGCCTGGGAGGCTAACTCTGGCATTCCTGGCCGGAGCCGCCATGCTCATTGGTGGGCCAGTTTGGGACATCCCCGTACTCAAAGACCATATGGCAGCCTCTGGGAAAACAAAACCAAAACATCACCTTCTATTAAACTCTGTATATTATTATTTTTTACAATAGAAAGTTAAAAATCAAGACTTAGATTTACTATACATTTTTTCTCTCAGATTACAAAGTTTATATTATATAACTGGGGTTCCCTAAATTGATTTCTTTTAAAACAGTCTTAAAGAGACCAGAAGTGAATACAAAAGAACTAAACAAAATAAAAAATTAGAATGTGCTGTAGCTGAAAGCTGTCTATACCTGTAAGCCTCCAAGTTTCATACAAAAAAAAAAAAAAAAAAAAACCACAAAGAAAAAAACCAAAAAACCCAACAAACCCAGGGGCGAGCGCGCGAACAGACGTGGGTGAGCACCGCGCGGTGGCAGGAGTTAGCACCTGGAGACGACAGGCCGCCGCCAGACAGGACCCGCGCCCGGCACACCACTGGCAAGGCCTGCATCTCTGCGACTGTGTGAATGCATTTCTTCTGCGGTTTTTTCTTATTTTCTTTTTTTTAAAAATGACCAATGATGTTAATAAATAACTATTTATATACACATAAGCTCGGGAAGTGGTTCCCAAGGGTGGCGCGGCAGCAGCAGCAGGGGCAGCGCTAGCCAGGCGGGGACTCACAGCGGGCTGGACTTCCGTAGAAAATTGCCGAACCTTACAAAAAAAGTCTCCTTTTTTTTTTTTTTTAAATCTTTTCTTCTTTTTTTTTTTTTAAAGTTGAGGTAAAAGCTTCAGTGTATGGAAACCTGCAGGCTGCATACACAGCCGCTCTGTTCCCTCCGAGGAGCTCCTGACATCACCACGAGCGGAGAACGCACATCCCACCCGACCACCCCCCAAGGGCTCCACGCTCCGGGCTGGGGCTGCGATGACCCTTCGCTTAGGCCCAGCCTGGTCTCCACAAGCAGGCACATCTGTCCTCAGCCCCTCCAGAAAGAGGTGGCCGCGTCAGACACGAGGGTCAGAGCTCGGGGCCCAAATGACAAGGACAATGCGTGTTGACAAAGCTAACAGCTTTCAAATACAGTACCCATATCCGAGACATTTCCTTGGAAAAAATTCTTTCTCGAGCTATCGACCAGGTTGGGCCTAAGCAAAGGGATTCCACAAGGTTCTTCGGTACGAATCTCACACGGTTTTCTGGGGTCATCGGGTTAGCATTTGAAGTTGTCATCTCCAAGTGACTGAATTCAGTGATGAAGAAGAGACTTTCTGCAGAGTTCACACCTTCTCATCAAGTCTAACGCACACACAAGATAGATCTCTGACCTATGAAAGCAAAAACTGGAAGATATCATAACACTGAATTAAGAAGCAGACCTGCACACCATGGAACAGAAGTAGTAATATGAACCACAGAGGGGTACGGCAGAGTCTCGGCGTGTGCGACATCCATCTGTCCTGTTCTGTCCGAAGCCAGTTCATTCTGAGTCACTGCTGTCAGAGCTGGACCCGCTGGAGCTGCTGCTCCCAGACTCGGAGGAGCTGCTGCTGCTGAGCCTGGACGGGCCCCCTGAGGGTGCTGAGCCGGGCTTCTCTGTGGAGACATGGGCAGGGAGATGCGCTCGCACACCCGCTTCTTGACCCGCTTGGCGGCATGTCGTCCATGCCAGCGTGACACCATCACACTGGGTGCCACGACCCACCCACTTCCTGACCCAGTCGTTTAATAAGTATTTATTGAAATTAATCAGGTCAACAAGACTATCTGAATATACTTGAGACAGGAAAAAAATGAATGCAGACTACTAACAGGAAATGATGGATGCGAGAAAGGCTGCCCATCAAAAACATCCACCAGTCACATGGCCACCAGCAGCGACAGGAACACCAGCTGCTGGCGTTTCTGGAGCGCTTACTCTGCCTGGGGCGTCCAAAGAGTGACTACAGGAGACAGACCCCTTCAGCGGGCAGGGTCATGGGCCCTGTCTCGACACTGGGCAAACCATGTCGCAAGGCCATGGCCCCCAGCTAGAACATGCTCCAGTCCAGATAGGACCCTACTGTCCCCCCCATATGTGTGTCCTGGAAGCCAGGAAAAGAGATGTGTGCTCTAACAGGGTCCAGAAAAAGGAGGCAAGGGCTCAAATGCTGGCTCCCCTGAGCAAAGGACCTGGCAAAGCGCAGGGCATGGGGCTGGGCCTCCCGCCTCTGCTACCTCGGCCTGCCATGGAACTGATGCCACTGCCAGGGAACAGTCAGAAAGCTCACGGTGAGCCCAGCTCACTGGCTGGGCTGCCCAGTCCAGCCCCACAAGAGCCCTCTCCTGGGGGGTCCTCTGTCTGTGGTGCCCTGGAATGGGCTGTGTTCACACACACTTGACATGTGCACACCTCCCTGCAGGGTTGGGGTATGACCCCCAGTGACAGACCAGGAAATGGAGGTTTCAGGAGCTCAAGAGCTCGTCTAAGAACATGGAGCTCATCAGGAGGTAAGCCACACTCAGACGTGGGCCTGCTCGATGCTCAAACCCCTACTGCTGACACCCCCCACCCCCCTAAAGAGGGGTGGCACAGCGGCCGCCAGCGGTACCTTTCCGGGCGGGCTTCTTGCTGCTGCTCAGCTGCCCGCTGACATCCTGCAGACGCTTTTCCAGCTCCTTCTTCTTTTCCTGAGCTAGCTCCTCTTTCGACTTGGCTGCCTGTTTCTTCCCGCTTGCTGCTGTCGGGGAACAAATGGGCACTCAGACTGCAGAGCAGACCGATGGGGCAGGAGCCAGGGCTGCATCCAGGTGGCCAAGGCCCCAGCCCTGCACACTGGCATCCATGCCAGCTGCCCAGCTTTCATGAGTCTGGGAGCTGACAGATGCAAAGCTGTCACCAGGGCTTCGAGTGGCAGAAATGACTGGGATGAGACAGACCCACCACCACCCACATCTGCTGAGCCCTCAGGGTGAGCAAAGCCTGGATCCTAAGGTGACAGAGGCCATTCCTATGGCGCAAACAGGTGCACGGACAGGATGCGGTTTGGCCAACGTCCCTCATGTGCAGGGCAGAGCCTCTGATTCATGGACCTGCCTCACCAGGGCCGCTGCTCTCCATCTGCCCGAGCAGGAGGCCCGGTCTCCACTGCCTGACACTCCTGAGTCGCTCCCTCCAAGTTGACCCGGTGACTTACCGTGGGTCAGACGCACCATGACCACACAGACATTCCATCCAGGAAAAGGAGCAAGTGAGGCCCATGCACACCCGAGAGGCCACATGCAAGTTCAAGTGAGCCCTGCACTCACTTGACAGCCTATGGGGGCTGCCACAAGGGCTGCCTCGGGTCTGCCCTCCCTCCTACTCTGCCAGACCTGCAGACCCCAGCAGTGACTCGTTCCTGCCACTGACTTCAGGGAAGCCTGGGCCGGTGCCCCAGGGTCCGTCCTGTGAGGCTTCTGGACTTGTGACCCCAGTCAAAGGGAGGGTGTCCTTGTTATAAGACAAGCTGGTCTGCCCTGCAAGGGACCATGAGAGGTCACCTGCAGCCAAGGCCCCAAATGGAGGGGAGCCTCAGGAAGGCATGCAGTGAGGACCCCAACTGGGCCCTGAATGAATGGGGTTTGGGGCCGGAGCCCAGCCCCAGAGTCGCGCACTCCTTGGACAAGGTTAAGGCCAAGGCACGCAGTGCTGCCCATGTCCCCAAGAACAGGGAAAGAGGGCTCTGGCTGGGTGGGGCTCAGGCCTGGGTTCAGCCCCAAGCCCACTGGCCCTGGGTGAGCACAGATATCCTCAGGGCATCTGTGGTGGGACGAAGGAGCCAAGACAGCGTGGCAGCCCTGTGCCCAAGCTCGCCGCACAGGGTCCGTGAGGAGTGACAGGAGGGGCAGGCCAAGGAGGGGAGAGGAACTTCAAGCACCACGCTCCACGCAGGCAACTTACAGAACGGTTTCCTTTGCTTTTTCTGTAAACAAGACTTGACATATCTCTCCAGTTCCCGCAAAGTGGTGGGTTTCAGAGTCTCAAAGTCAATTTCTATCTCGTCGGGGTTGGAGTCCCTGAGCGAGGGCTCCCGAGATTGGATGATGTGCACTACCCGGCCCAGCTTCTCCCCGGGCAGCCGGTTGATGTCCAGGCTAAGCTGGCGCTTTTCATCGTAGCTCATGGGCAGGCCCTCCTCCTCTTCCTCTGAGTCGTAGGAGGCAGATGCCTGCTTGCCGCCTTTCTTCAGCTGTCTGGGGCAGGAGACAGAGCAACGTGGTGTTGAGTCTCCGTCTACCTGCCGTGGGAGCCCACTGCACACACCCCTTCCTCCCAACAGCAGGCTGCTCTCTGGGACCAAGCTTTCTTCCCAAAGTGGTGCCCCAAGGCAGAAAATCCAAGGTTAGAAAAGTCGCTCCCAGCTGCGGGGTTTCCAGCCCTTGGCCAGGAAACAATTACAGAGGTTCGTTCCTCTCTACACCCCATAGGCGTCTCAAACTCCACAGGTCAAGAAATGATCTCTGTATTCAGGTAATCCAAAAGAAGGCAAAAAAGGGGGAACAAAGGAACAGAAAACACAGAGGAAAAAGAAAATAATAAAATGAGAGACCGAAATCCAATTATATCAATAATTATGTGAAATATAAACGGTCTAGGGCCGGGCGCGGTGGCTCACGCCTGTAATCCCAGCACTTTGGGAGGCCGAGGCGGGTGGATCACGAGGTCAGTAGGTCGAGACCATCCTGGCTACCACGGTGAAACCTCGTCTCTACTACTAAAAATACAAAAAATTAGCCGGGCGTGGTGGCGGGCACCTGTAGTCCCAGCTATGCGGGAGGCTGAGGCAGGAGAATCGCTTGAACCAGGGAGGCGGAGGCTGCAGTGAGCCAAGATCTTGTCCCTGCACTCCAGCCTGGGCGACAGATCGAGACTCTGCCTCAAGAAAAAGAAAAAAAGAAAGAAATATAAATGGTCTAAACACACCAACTAAAAGGAAGAGATGCTCAGGTTGGATTAAAAAAACAAGAAGACCCCACTTACATAGTGTCTACACAAATGCCACTTTAAATATAATGTTCTAAGTAGGTTAAAAGGAAAAAAGTGAGAAAAAAATATACCATGCAAACACTAGTCAAAAGAAAGCTGGTGTGGGTATATTAATTTCAGACAAAGTAAACTTCAGAAAAAGGAGTATGTTCAGGAAAAAAGGACAACGCAGGGCTGGGCGCGGTGGCTCACGCCTATAATCCCAGCACTTTGGGAGGCCAAGGCAGGTGGATCACCTGAGGTCAGGAGTTCAAGACTAGCCTGGCCAAATGGTGAAACCCTGTCTCTACTAAAAATACAAAAATGAGCCAGGCACGGTGGCGGGCACCTGTAATGCCAGCTACTAGGGATGCTGAGGCAGGAGAATCACTTGAACCCTGGAGGCGGAGGTTGCAGTGAGCCGAGATCGTGCCACTGCACTCCAGCCTAGGCAACACAGCCAGACTCCTTCTCAAAAAAATTTAAAAAATAAAAAATTAAAAAAAGGTTTCAAGTCGGTAATCTAATCTTCTACCTTAAAAAGTAAAAAGAAGCCAAGTCTAAACTAAGCAAAGGAAACAGTAAAGATCAGAAATAAATAAAAGTAAAAATTTTTTTTAAAAACATCAATGAAATCTAATTATGTTTCTTTGAAAGATCAATAAAATTGGTATGTCTCTATCCAGATTCACCAAGAAAAAAAGACACAAATTACCAATATCAGGAATGAAAAAGACACATCACTACAGGCCCTACAGACAATAAAAGGCTAATAGAGAAATACTAACCAATAGACTTATGTCCATAAGTTTGACAATCCGAGTGGAATGGATTAACGCCTTAGGCATAAACCTCTAAAACTCACTCAAGAAGAAACTGATAATCTAATAAGCCTATACCTATTAAAATAATTGAATTCATGATTAAAAACCTTCCAACAATCAAAACTCCAGGCCCAGATGGTTCTGCTAGTGAATCCTACCAAACATTTAAGTATTAATATCAATTCTATACATTTACTCCAGAAAACAGAAGAGGGGCAACACCTTTCAAATCTTTTTTTTCTTTTTTTCTCTGAGGCCAAGTCTTGCTCTGTCGCCCAGGCTGGAGTGCAGTGGTGTGATCTCGGCTCACTGCAACCTCTACCTCCCGGGTTCAAGAGATTCTCCTGTCTCAGCCTCCTGAGTAGCTGGGATTACAGGCGCCCGTCACCAAGCCCGGCCAATTTTTTCTGTTCTTAGTAGAGACAGGGTTTCACCATGTTGGCCCAAATTTCTGGGATTACAGGTGTGAGCCACTGCACCTGGCCTCAAATCACTTTTTACTTGCCTCTAATCACTCAAATATTATATCCCAACCAACACTTTTTTTTGTAAAGAGATTGAGACCACTATGGGCAACACAGTAGGATTCTAACTCCTGAGCTCAAGTGATCCTCCTGCCTGGCCCTCCCAAAGTGCTGGGGTTACAGGTGGGAGCCACCACACCAGGCTGCAACTCATTTTTGAGGCCAGCATTATACTGACACTAAAAACAGACAAAGATAGTACAAGCTGGGTATCCCAAATCCAAAAATCCAAAATGCTCCAAAATCTGAAACTGTCTGAGTCTTAACGTGACGCTCAAAGGAAATGCTCACTGGAGCATTTCAGATTTTCAGATTTGAGATGCTTCAGTTTTGAGATGCTTCAGATTTGAGATGCTCAATGGGGAGTATAATGCAAATATTCCAAAATCTGAAAAAATCCAAAATCAGAAGCACCTTTTATTTTGGAAACATCCTTATTTTAGATAAAGGATACTCAACCTGTATAAGAAAAATGGATTTCTGCATCTGCCTCCAAAAAGGAGAGAGGGAGGGAGGGAGAAAATAAGGGAAGGAAAGACCTATCCCGACCATTCCACTCGCTGTCTTCATTAATGGCTGACCCAGCTGTCTAACCCCAAACCCAGGACCCCCATGCTCCTCCCCTCCTCCCTCCAAGCACCAGGGCCTGGCCATGCCGCCTCCCAAAGTAGTCTATCTCCAGAGCCACACCAATTTCTTTTGCCTGCACAACCACCATAACCTCCAAAGGGGTATCCTTTCTTCCATTCCTGATTTCCACTAAGCTATTCTCCATAGTGGCGAGGATCTGATCATGTTGAGCTTAAATCCTAACTCTCCTTCATTTGCTTGAAAAGGAAGCATGAACACCTCAAACAAAGCCGGCTGATCTCAGCAGCCTCAACTCACCTTTTTTCCCAACTTGTTCTTTTTCAGTGGTGCCAACTTTGCCCTCATTCCCAAAAGGAACACGTCCTACTGGCCTCTGTGGCTTTGTACCCGTTGTTCCCTGTTCTTGGAACTCCCTCCCTGGCCCTCTGCTGCCAAGCTTGCTCCCACACAGCTGTTGCCTCCCCCTTGGGAAGCCTCCCTTCCACCTGGCCAGGAGAGCTCCCATCCCGGGCCTGAGCTCCTTCCCTACTAGCTCACACTGCTTTGTGGCTCCTGCATGTCCCTAGCAGACGCTCCTCAGGGTGGTGCCCAGCCACAGCAGGGGCTCCCGAAGGAGGCTGAATGCAGCTGTGCACGATTCCACCATCCCTGCCCCCTGCCTATGGGCAAGTCCAAAACGGGGCGTTCAACTCCCCCTAGTCAAGATCCTTGGCCCAGACCAGAGAAACATCCCAAAAGCTTCATGATGTGGAGACCAGGCCGTGCCAGCGCTTCAATGCCCAGAATCCAGGCCAGCCCCGCAGACAACTGAGCAGCATCACCTGGGCCCCCGGACTTCCCAGCACAGGTCTCATCAGGCCCTCTGTCTCCCTGCCCCCATCACCCTGGTTTCCAGGTGGCCAAGGCACAAAGCCCCCAATCCCAGCACTGCTGCTACATGAGCCCCCATGGCGTGCTGAGCGCTGGGCTCTTGGAGCCCGAGCAGGTCTGGAGCCCACCTGCCGGCCGTGGTCGTGCTGTTGGCCTTCTTGGCAGGAGCCTTCTTCTGCTGAGCCTGCTTGGCAGGCGGAGCCACCTTGGCCTTCTTCTCTTCCTCGGCCTTCACTTTGTGCTTCTCCTTCTCCTTCTCCTTGTCCTTCTTCTTCTTCTCCTTCTCCTTCTTCTCCTTCTTCTTCTTTGGTTTGTTTACTGGGGCCTGAGACAGGGCGGCCAGCTGCTCGTGCACGGCCTTCAGCTGGAAAAGAGCGGGCGGCTGAGCAGGTGCTGGGCACGGCCCACACCACTGGGGCTGCGTGGCGCCCTGGGATTGGAGGGGGCTTGGGGCGATGTCGGAGCTGCCTCAGCTGGGTGAGGAGGTGAACCAGGAGCACCTGGGCCCTGCTCTGCCCCTCACTCCCGTGACCCCCAGTGAGTCATGAGCCCTCTCCGCCTCGGCTTCTTCGCCTGCAGTGGGGAAGAGCTGCCTGGCCACAGGCTCAGCACTGCGCGGGTGGCACAACAGGGACTCGGTGAGGGCAGCTAACTTTTTAAAAAAAATGTATTATACTTTAAGTTCGGGGATACATGTGCAGAATGTGCAGGTTTGTTACATAGGTATACATGTGCCACGGTAGTTTGCTGCACCCATCAACCCGTCATCTACATTAGGTGGGCAGCTAACATTTTTATTATTACCATTGTTCAGATAAGGAAGGACTCTCTAGAAGTTTAAATGCCCACACAAAGGAGATTTTCATCAGTGATTTCTGGGAAGCCATTTGATAACACGCAGGACTCCGGGGTTAAAACAATCCACTGCCAGCAACCAGCATTAATCCAGGGCCTCCCTGCAGCTGGCATTGTGCCAAGCGCCTCGCCCTCCCCACTGCAGCCACCTCCATGGGAGAGGCCCCTTGAGAGGCACTGCCCATGTGAGTCCACGGCCTGTCCCTGCCTCTGGGTGGTCTGTGCAAGGAAGACAGAGGGCGGGTGGAGGAGCTGCCACCTCACAGCCGTCTTCCCTGCTGTGTGTCCTTGCCACTTCAAAATCAAATGTCCAGCCCAACTCTGGGGACTGCAGGGCCATCGCTGTCCTTGCAGCCCTGATTCATGCTGTTCCCCTCCTGACTCGACAGCCCTGCTCTATTTTCTCCCAATCTGGGGTCCCAGAAATCATGCATCTGGCTGGCTGCCAGAGGTCTGGGGAAACAATTCACATCTTTCTCAATCTGACCTCAAGACAGCTCAGAGTGGGTGACATTTGTCCCATACTGCAAACGAGGAAAGCAGAGAAGGGGGAGGAAGCACAGCCTGGCAGCGGGACTGGGGCTGGGCAGCTGCACGGCAGGGCCCTCAGGACCCTGGAGCCTGCACCCCACCCCACTGCAAGTGACTGCTTGGAGCCCAGGCACTACTGTGGCCTCTGCAAGTGCCTCACAGGCCTTTCTGGAGCAGAGCAAGGCACACATAACCACACATGACCCCTGAGCTCCCACCTGAGGCCCGCCAGGTCTCCAGAAACATCCCAGCCACGTGTCCCCGCAGCCACCCACGTGTGCTGTGGGTTAGGCTCGCACCACCCCAGACCTGGGGAGGGCACTCCGAGTGTCTTTACGGGGAAGCACTACCGCGGCTGCTGAGGGACAGGGGCAGAGGAAGGAACCATGCAAAGGGACGGACCTTGGGCTGCTGTGCCAGCAATCCCGCCTCAGCCCCTGAACCCCACCCAAGCATGCCAGTGCCCACCTGCTCCTGCAGCTCCGCCAGCCTGGTGGCCCGCTCCTCCTCCGAGTCCGAGCTGCCTGAGTCCGAAGAGCTCTCCTCACTGCTACGGCTGCTCTCAGCGCCCTTGCTCACCATGGGGGCCGCGGGGGCAGGCAGCGCCGGTGCCTCCACGGGCTCATCTGGCATCTTGGCAAACCTCATCTCAAACACGTCCTGCGGCAGAACAGAGGCTGCCCTGAAGACATGGGTGCCCATGGGGCTGCCCCTTGGTGTGGGCCCTCAGGGTTTCTGAGGTGCCCCTGAGGCAGCACCCACAGCTGTTACGAAGGTGGGGCTAGGAGGAGACAGGGTCCCGCCTGCCTGGGGGGCTGTGGTTGCTTCCAGCTTGCCCACCCTCCCTCCCCAGGCAATTCCTGCGGACAGGCCTGGGAAGAGGGGACACAGGAGCTGGCCCACAGCTCCCTTCAGCAACTCCATGAGCCCTCTCTAGAAGATGCATGCATCCTTGTAGCCTCCTGGCCCAAAGCTCCCTGGGGCTGCCTCTGCTGTGAAACGGGAAACAGTGTCTTCCCTTGAGCTTGGACAGGGTCCTCCACAGCCACAGGAGTCCAAGAGTGTTGACCTCTTCCCATCTCTTCACCCCGGAACTGACTGCAGCATCACATCTCATGAACGGTGAACTCCAAAAGTTGGCTTAAAAGGCCAAAGTCTAGTCCTATCCATACTTTATTTACAAAAAAATATAAAAATTAGCCAGTCATGGCAGCACATGTCTGTGATCCTAGCTGCTCGGGAGGCTGCGATGGGTGGATTGCTTGAACCCAGGAGGTCGAGGCTGCAGTGAGCCGAAATCATGCCACTGCACTCCAGCCTGGGTGACAGAGTGAGACCCTGCCTCAAATATATATACACACACACACACACACACACACATATATATACACACACACACATATACACACACATATATATACACATATATACACATATATATACACACATATATACACATATATACACATATATACACACACACATATATATACACAAATATACACACACACACACACACACACACACATTTTTAAGTTTTACTTTTACTAATTTTCTTTTTCTCTCAAGACAGAGTCTTGCTCTTTTGCCCAGGCTGGAGTGCAATGGCATGATCTCAGCTCACTGCATCCTCCACATCCTGATTTCAAGTGATTCTCCTGCCTCAGCCTCCTGAGTAGCTGGGATCACAGGCATGCGCCACTACTCCCGGCTAACTTTTTGTATTTTTAGTAGAGCCGAAGTTTCACCATGTTGGCCAGGCTGTTCTTGAACTCCTGACCTCGTGATCTGCCTGCCTTGGCCTCCTAAAGTGCTGGGATTATAGATGTGAGCCACCACGCCCGGCCTACTTTATTTTTTGTAGGGACAGGGTCCTGCTCTGTTGCCCAGGCTGGTCTTGAACCCCTGAGCTCAAGTGATCCTCCCACCCTGGCCTCCCAAAGTGCTGAGATTACAGGGGTAAGCCACCACACCCAGACTTCCTATCAAAATTGACTTTGGAAAGCCTTTGGACCAGGACCTAGGCCCTCCGTCACCCCTCTCAGCAAACATCCCCCTCCCTGGGGCAGCCCAGGCTCACTGAAGACAGGGAGGCACAGTGATGTGGAAATGAGGGGAGATTTCTTTTTGCCAAGCTCAGAAACCTGAATCCACACCGTCTGCTCACGTGACATGCCTTCACTGTTCAGGCTGGACCCAGCTCTGGAGAAGCCCACCCCAGGCTCTCATATCCCAGGCTCTCCTCTCAGGAGATGTCCCCAGAGGCAACCCAACCCACAGAGCAGCGGTCCAGGCCCCCGCTCGGCCGACAGCCTTGAAGGCCATGCAGGTCAGGTCGTTTTGCTGTTGGGCTCTAACCCCACAGCTCAACTGATAAAATTGCACAATTGCTAAATAGTGCTCAGTCATGGAAATCCATCAGCCTCAGGGTCTCCTCTGTTGCCCAGGCTGGAGTGCTGTGCAACCACAGCTCACTGCAGTCTCCAACGCCCGGGCTCAGGTGATCCTCCCATCTCACTTTCCTGAATAGCTGGTACTACAGGGACACACCACCACACCTGACTCGTTTTTAAAATCTGTTGTAGAGACAGCTCGTCTCAAACTCTTGGCCTCAAGTGATCCTCCCACCTCCGCCTCCCAAAGTGCTGGAATTACAGGCGTGAGCACCATGTCTATCCAACAGCACCTGTTTCAGGAGCAGGGGCAGAGCTGCCAGCTTCCCTGCTCGGTCTGCAAGCCTGGGTTTCCGTCCTCTATGCTCAGCTCCCTCGTTAAACTCAACCCAGTATTTACCAGGCTCCAGAGGACTGGCCTTTGCAAGGTCTTTTGGGTTCAAGACACAGTAAGCGAGGTCTCAGTATAAAACCAGGGTTCTGACGGCTTCCTCTGGATGTAGTGGGACCTCCAGGACCACCCTGCCATCATCACCCACAGGACCCAGTGCACAGAGAGGGTGGCAATGGCAGCAGTGCCTGGGAGAGGACCTTGGGTAGGCCCTGTGCGCGAGAGGGTGGGAAAGGCAGCAGGACCCACAGGGGGAACGAGTTTCTCTCTCTGCCCCTTTTATGGGTCCTGTGTCATCCACAATAATACCATGGGCTGCTCGGGGATTTCAAAACAGTCTATGCAAGGACTGAGAACATCTTAACATGACATTCTGGGTCCCGTGAAAAGGAAAAGCATGCTGGAAGAGAACACATACCCATAATTCTCCCCTTTCCTCCAAAAATCAAGTCCTTTGATTAACATTTATAACAGTGGTGCTGTTATTTATAAAAGCAAACCACCTGCGATCACAATTAGAGAAGGTAAGAATAGATTCTGGCACATCCACCCACACCAAAATATGTGTGCGGGACCTGGACTTTGGCAGAAAAATGCACACGCAGGCAGGAGCACACACACGCACACACGTCCACACACACACACAAATATCTCTGTGAGGTTTGTGCATGTTCACAAAGTCCCTGCGCTGAGAGCTAGACCAAGACACTCCTGTTTTCCCTGAAGACATCTCACTGCTTCCTGCATTTTCTCCAATCCGCCTTTTACTTCTGTTGTCAGAAAAGCAAAATGCTACACAAGCCACTGTCACCTAATTCATCCACCGGCTGCACTGACAGGCTAGTGTCCAAGCCTCTCCTTGCCACAGAAGACTTGCTGGAAACTACAGTCAGGGAAGCCGCAAGAGAAAGAGCATCTGCCGTCCCACCTGGTACACGCACCAGTCCCTGGAGGGAAAGACTCACTACTGCGACACCCCCACAGAGCCCCAGTGGTCCCACCTGCTCGCTGGCTGCCCTGCCCCAGTGGCAGCTCCTGGAACCCAGCTCAGAGCCTGACAGGGACCTGGTTGGCACTCGGGAAAAAGGTGTTGAGGGAATGAGGCTCTCTAAGGCCTTCCTCGGCTGGACATTCACCTGGGCGCTTACCCCACACTGAGGCCAGGATGCCCACAGCACTGAGCTGAGCAGCCCCACCCGTGCCCAGCCTCGGGTTACCTGGAGCTTCCGGGCCATGGCCACAACCTCGTGGTCTGGGGGATTGTATTTGTAGCAATTCGAGAACATCAGCCGGACATCAGCAGCAAAGCCCTGTGCGTCTGGGTACTCTCGGCCATCCATCTTCCTCTGCAACACACAGTGACAGGGGCCAGTGAGCGTGGCCCGTGGCATCAGGACTCTCTGCCACACCCCACGAGATGAACTCTGGAGCCTCAGGAGCCACTGCCAGCTCCAGGGCAGTGCCTACTGGCCTGGCCGGCAGGACACCCCAGCTCTCTGGGACCTCGTACGAGGAAACCCAAAGTGAGGACATGAGAGGGTGACTTGATGGCTTGGCAGGGAGGGTCTGGGACTCCAGAGACAGATCTCCTGATTGGAAGAAAAATGCACTCAACAAGAAATCCCAGGTTCCCGTAGGCGTCCCTTGGCCCCTTCCTTGTCCAGAGCTTCCCTTCACACAAAGCGGGTAAATCTTCACACGCCGCCACGCCATCAGCAGCCCCAGGGGGCGTGAGGCTGCAGCAAAGTCAGACTCCACCAACAACAGGGGGCCTGCTCAGTCTACACAAGGAAATGTAATTTTTTCCCTCGAGGAAGCCAGTAGCTGTTAGCCAGCTTGCGTCTTACAGAAGCACCCTGGTATCCCAGGGGCCTAGCTGGACCTAAGGGACTCCACGCTGTGTCCAGCGGCAGCTCCTGAACCCCACAGGGGTGGAGGCAACGGGGGCGTGTCGGCTGACACCCACCCACGTTTACTCGGCCACACAGAGACCCTACAGCAAAACCCACCGCAGGTCCCACCTGGCTCTGGCAAGCAGAGAACTGAGGCCAAGGCCTGGGTAGACAGTGCCAGGCGGCAGGGGTAAGGAGGGGCACACAGTCAGTCCCCAGAGCTGGGAGGTGCAGGTGGCTCTGCCAGGGAGTGGCCAGAGGCAGGATCGTCGAGGGACGCTTCAAGGTGGCCACTGGGAACACACTAGTTGGGGCAAAGAGAGGTCACGCTGTGCCCGAGGGAGTGAGTTTCCCATCCTGGGATGGCTTCAAGGAGAGGCACCTTGTCGGGGACCTCGAGGGACGACACACGCAAGGGCAAGGCAAATCTACCCCGACCGCTCTGTGGGGTCCAGGCTGCATTTGTCCAGGTGCCAGTGAGATGGAGGGGCCGGGTCCTAACCCGCAGAGGGCGCCCCCAACTCAGGGCCCGTACCCTATGCACTCAGACATGAGACCCATCCAGAAGGAAGGGCTGGCAGAAAGAACCCGGGGGCACAGTGGGACCTGGAAGCCTCTGATGTTGGGGGAAAAGCTAGTTTTCCGTTTTAGCATGTGCCGGGATAAACCATCCCCAAAAGCTCCATCTGTATAATCTAGAGGTCCTGAGGCCTCTCTCCCTGATTCACTGCCCCTTTTCCGCAGCGTCCGGGCCACAGTCGCGGGCAGCAAGTGCTGCCACTGCACCTGGCTTCTCCCCATGCCATGCCAGGACAGATAGAGGTGGGAAGCTCCGAACAAAGCAGATCATGACTTTAAAGTGAATTGTTTTTCTAGAGCTTCTTTATTATGGTTTCAAGGGCAAATCAGACCCTTTGACCAAAATGGAATTAAGCTGAGCTTGAGTCCAGCCCAAACACTGGAACCCCCCATGATGTTCCAGAAATTCCTGTTAACTGTGCTATGGTAGAGACACACAAACCCCAGCCCTGGAGGCTGCAGCCGAGGCTCCTGGCAGCTTCTGGGCTGCGTGGCTCTGGCCCTCAGCTTCCCCACCCACGGCAGTGGAGCCAGGCGGCCCCGCTCGTCACTTTCACCTGACTGTGCACCGGGCTCTGGGGCCTGGGCCAGCCAGGTCTGTCCTGCCCGAGATCCAGTCAATCAAGGAAGAAAAGGGTTTCATCAGCAGATCCTGCCTCAGGTAGGCAGAATGACTGCGACTGGCTTCCCAGGATGAAAACAACTGCCCAACAGGGCTGCCAGCAGCTCTTCCCAGGGCCGCACGGCAGTTGGCGGAGGAGGCAGGTCACACCTCTGCCAACTGCCTGCACGTCCCTGGGAGCTGGCTTGGAGCTCTCCCAGAGGGAGGGCAGGTGCCAGCCAGGAGTCTGGAAAGGTGCTCAGGGAAGACCCGGTGGAGCTCACCCTGGCTTGGGGCGGTGCAGCTCAAATGCCGCACCCACCACCACCCCCCATAGGGACCAGACTCACTCTGACCTGCTGTGAGGCACACAAGAGCCCAGGCAGAGGCTGCCGCCTTGAGAAGACTGGCATGGGGGAGGCCAGGCTCTCGGTCTCAGCTCTGCCACCCACCCAGGTCCCGCTTCCGTCTTGTGAGGGGGTGGGGCTTGGAGGCACTTAGGGGACAGAAGCCAGGCCATCCCCACTGGCCGCCTCACTCCTGTCTGCTGTGAGGCGCCTGTATCCGGGGCTTGAGGGAAGCAAAGTGCAGCTTTAAAACTTTGCCAACTGTGAGAGTGGCCCAGCTCTAGGGACCCCCTGACCTGATGATACAGAATGGGAGGTAGGAATGAAATCAATGAAATCACTAAACGGGTTCGATGGGAATAAACAACAACAGAGCCACAGACTCCGGGACCCACAGGCAGAGCACGCCTTCCTCGCTGAGCCTTGCCAGCCACAGCCGGCGCTGCGGGGGCCAGCCTGGAGGGTGCGCTTCTCCGGCAAGCGAGACCCTGCTCCCCGACAGCCCCCACTCAGCCGGCACAAGACATCAGCACCCACGGCAGAGCCGCAGGACATGGGCAGAGCAGGGCCTGCCGCGCGGCCACGTACTTTCACGGTGCTGAGGTCCATCGGGTGCTTGATGATGTCGTGGTAGTCGTGCAGCTCCAGGGCCTCGGCATCCACTGGCTTGTAGAAGGGCCAGGCGTAGGCCGCGTGCTTCTTGGATAGCATCTCCCTGAGGATGCTGTCGCAGTAGCGTAGGTGCTCCGACAGCTTGCCCTTCTTGCCTGCGTGCTGGGGCACCTCGCCGTCCTCCAGGTCCTTCTTGGGAGGCTTGATGGGGCGGCCACCACTCTCCCGCCGGGCCACCACTTTGGCCTGCTTGGGGTCTGACAACGGCGGGGGCGACTCACTCCGGCTGGCAGTGATGGCCGACGTCGTGGGAGTGGTTGTGTCTGCTTTCCGCTTCACGCCCTTTTTCTGCGACAGTGAAATAACCAGTGAACCCCGGAAACCAGGGGCCCCGAAGACGCATGTCGCTGCAGCCGCGTTTCTGGGGCACTGTCTGCCTGCCTGGCGCTGGGCTAAGCGGCCACATGCACGGCCCCACAGGAGAGGACACCAAGGCTCAGGGGCCATGTCACTGGCCCAAGGTCACACAGCTGGCAGTGGTGAGGCTGGGACTCTCCCTCAGGATCAACTCTGAAACCCGCCCTCACCTGGGCGAGGGGAGATACCTCTCTCCCTTAGCCCCGAGGGCTCAGGGGTCCCGGGTGGGCTCGCACCTCACACCCCAAGCCATGTGAGGTGCTGCATGCAATTCGCCAGACACCTAACAAGCACCCAGACCAGGACCCGGGGACCTCGGTGCTGCAGAGACCTGGGAGGAACTCCCTGCTTCCAGGAAAGTTCCAGACAAGGGCCTGAGAGCGGGGGCTCCGCGGACAAACACAAGTTTTGCGGGACAAGAGGGAGGCAGGAGAGCATTCCAGACACAGGGCAAGGGGCAGCCCAACCAGGAGGCATGAAGCAGCCACAGCAGCTCTGGGAACAAGGGACCTCAGGGATTGAGTGGGCAAGTCTGGACTCCATCCCAGCAGCAGTGGGAGCCACCGAAGGCCATTTCAAGCAAGGAGAGGAGGGAGATGACCCACAGAACCTTCTGTGGGTGTGTCCTGGGGACGGAGCCAGGCACCAGGCAGACGCGCATGTTTAACGTCCAGGCCTCCTGGGGGTGTGCAGGTCTCTCTGGGCAGCCTGCAAGGGCCTCAGCACCCAGCACCCATGGGCATCACCTCAGCGTTCCAGGGCCAGGGCTCAGTGTGCACCCTGAGACCAGCTCAGCCAGCTTCTAATCTTAGCCCAGCGGGAGAGGAGCCAGCGGGAGCCACGGCTCCCAGCCCACGGCACCTGCCGTCTAGAGAGCCACCCACAGTCACTGCCCAGCCAAGCCGCCGCCCTCAGACTGGCAGGGGCCGGAGCCGGCTATCCACAAACACTTGGCAGGCACCCACGTGCTGCCAAGCGCCAGGCGCGTGCCGCACAGGGCGGATAGGAGCGGGGACAGACTCGTCTGGCCGTGGCAAATGGGACATGCTCCAGAAACAGCCCCCACTGGGGGAGGCGGCTTGACCAGGGGCCACCCATAAGTGCAGGCAGTGAAGGCCACGGGGAGGGGAAGCAACGGAGGTGGCATTTTACCTTGGGCGAGCCATTTAACCCCTCTGAGCGCCCGCTTCCTCATCTGTAAGATGGGGGAAATACTGTCTGCCCCAGAGGGTTGCTGTGAGGATCAAATCGAAGAAGATAATACACATAAGTGCCTGGCACGGGCCCTGCCCAAAGCAGGAGACTCACCAGGCCTCGCCAGCCCCAAATCTTGCAGGGAGCACCCACTCCCTGCCAAGACCAACAGGGCCCACTGAGAAAAGCTCCCAGCCAAGTGGGGAGCAGGACAGGCAGGTCCCCATGCTCCCATGTGGAGCCCACAGGCGGGGCCAGCTTGGGTGCTGGCACCTCACAACGCACCCAGGTAGGTACAGCTGGCACCACTCTCCTGAGTGTGAGCAGGGGAGGACCGGGACCCCTCCCACCCTGGCTTCTCTCCCACAACTTCCCCACCTTGACCAAGCCTTTGGCCAGGGCTTCTGGCCAGAGAAGCTGGGGTTCAAGTTCAGCCAGGCCCTCCCTTACCAGCTGTGTGACCTTCAGCTCCCCAGGCCTAGGTCTCCTCATCTGTGTCAGTAACAACGGCCTGAGCTCCCAGGGCGCAGAGAGAAACACTCCCAAGAGCCAGCACTCAGGGAAAGGTGGGGGCCCCCCGCCTGCTGCTCCTGCCCTGACCTCAGGAACCCTGGCCGGGCTCAGGTGCCCCACCCATCCGGACTCAGGGTGCTCACCTTGACGACAGGCGGCGTAGGAGGGACCACGGGGACGATGGGTGTGGCAGGAGGAGGTGGGGCGGCAGCTGGGGGGACTGGGACCGACGTGACGTTTGCAGTGATGGTTGGTACAGGGGTGGCAGCGATGACGGGCGTCTGGGAGACGGTGGGGGGCACGCTCTGAAAGGGGGTCGCTGGGGAGACAGAGGACACGGCCGCCACTTGCTGTGTACCTTCAAGACAAGGAAGGGATGTTCAACACACCAGGCTCCACTAGTATTTCCAGAAGCTTCCAGTGCCACCCCTCCAGCCAGAACACGGGTACCAGCTCTGTGCTGCCAAGACCGCCGGCCAGAAGAACCCTCCATGCTGAGATGCCCCCCATCCTGCATCTTGGGGGCAGGGTTGGTCTGGCTCATCTTGGCTGAGGGCTCCCTGCATGAAGTGGAGGCCCCCCACCACAGACCATAGGAGGCGGAACGAGGAAGCCAAGGCAGTCCCATGGCCTGGCAGTCAAGGGCCACCCTGGAGTCATGGAAAGCTGGTACTGAACTCGGTTCCCTAAGTAACAAGCTGAGTGACCAACGATGTGGCCGTACTTAAGCCCCCAGCTTCTCCCATCTGCAACACGCGACGGCCCGTGGCCCTGGCCATCCCGCTCAGTCAGCCTCTCCACCCAGACAACACCTGCATGCCGGGTTCCCAGGCCAGGTGGGATCCTGGGGCTCACGACACTAATCACCACCATGCTCCCTGACAGCAAGACGCGGTCTTACTTGACCAGGGAACCAGGCAGGTGATAGTGACTCTCAGGTCACAGAGAATCAAATGAGTGCTAAAGAGACAAAGCCCCAGGAGGGGAACAGGCCCCACGCGTCGTGGAAGAAGTGACCTCAGGGCTGGAGCTGGAAGGGGGAGCAGGATTTGGGAGGTGGAGAGCAGGGACAGGTGATCCTCCTAGACCATGAGCTCCTCCCCAGCGTGGGCTCAAAGGCAGCCAGCTATGGCGTTAATGTCTTCCGTATCCCCGGGCCAGCTGCCCCTCCAACATCACCCACAGGCCACACTCATCCAAGACCCGGCACCCACGAGCTCGTCACGACAGATGGGAAACAGCTCAGATGGCTAAAGGATCGCGTCCCAGCCCATCCACCCGTGGGCCTCTGCAGAGAGGCCCAGCCCCTCGCCTGCCCCAGCTCCCTTTACCTGCGCTCTGGGCTCCCGCAGCCGGCTTCCGACCTTTGCCCTTTGGAGCAGGGGGTAATAATTCAACTTCCTCTTGGGGCATCTGGGCCACTTTTTGTAGAAAAATTTTCTCTAAAGCTTGGGCCATTAGCACTA
The DNA here is from genome assembly GCF_000001405.40 of Homo sapiens. NCBI lineage: Eukaryota > Metazoa > Chordata > Mammalia > Primates > Hominidae > Homo > Homo sapiens. Next base: position 134,051,697 of record NC_000009.12, read on the forward strand.
TGTCATCTGTGGGCTGAAGACACAGAGAGTCCAGGTCACGTGTCAGGAAAGGAGCTGTGTGCTTGCAAAGGACATTATTAGTTGTAGCTCAAAAAAATATTTAAAATTTGTTAACAGATTTGGCAGCGCAGGAGAGAACAAAATGAATATATGTGTGTGTGTGTGTGTGTGTGTGTGTGTGTTGTTTTTTTTGTTTTTTTTTTTTTTTTTTTGAGATGGAGTCTTGCTCTGTCACCCAGGCTGGAGTGCAGTGGCATGATCTCGGCTCACTGCAACCTCCACCTCCCGGGTTTAAGTGATTCTCCTGCCTTAGCCTTCCGAGTAGCTGGGATTACAGGTGCCTGCCACCACACCTGGCTAATTTTTTTGTATTTTTAGTAGAGACGGGGTTTCACCATGTTGCACAGGCTGGTCTTGAACTCCTGAGCTCAAGTGATCCGCCGACCTCGGCCTCCCAAAGTGCTGGGATTACAGGTGTGAGCCACGGCACCCAGCCAGGTGAAGCGCTTTGGGCCTGCCCAAGAGCTGCTGCAAAGCGCCCAGGCCCACTGCGTTGCACAGCGCCCCAATCCTTACTGCAAGCGGCGTGCCAGGCCCGCATCTTCTTACCTTGTTATAAATGTAACAATTTGTAAACATGGTGTTGAAGTCCTGCATACATTCGCTTGCACTCCAATAATAATTATTTTCTAGTCTCTTCTTAATAGTCCCCATATCCATTGGGTTTTTAATTATTTTATGATAATCCTAGGAAAGAGATTTTCAGAGGCATTACCAGAAGATTCTACATAATTATTTTCACAATTCCCAAGTGGACACAGCCCGACCTTCCCAAGTGGACTGAGGACTGGGGCTGGCCCAGAGGCACTTTCTGGTCTCTGAAGGCAGTGGGCTATGGTGACGTGAGTACTTGGCCAGCTCCAAACTCCTGCCCAACCTCTCTCCAGACCCCAAGCATGTGCAGAGAGGAGCCCACGGAGTTAGGGCAGACCCCAGGACAGGTCTACATACTGGAGATGGGGCCAAACCTTCCAGGGACCAAACCTGCAGGTGACCAGGGCCCAGCAGAGCCCAGAGCCCAGGCCACCAAGTGCCAGCCCAGGGATTCCTCTGCAATGCTCAGGGTTTGTCTATTTGGGCCCAGGTCAAAAATGAGCATGCAGATGAGGGCACCATCACCTGGAAAGCAGGCCTCAACATACACTCGGCCTCTAACTCCAAGTGGGCTCACCAAGCTGGCAGATGGGCCATCCTGCAGGAGCCAGTGAGGCAGAAGAAGGCCCCAGTGAGCCTCGACTCCTAAGCCCCATCACCACCCACTCGCTTTCCTCCCGGACACGCGTGGCTTCTCCCTATTTCCTGCACCTGGGGCAGCCGCCCTCCACTCTCCCACGCCCATGTGGCCCCTGTGCGCCTCTGTGCTGTGGACTTCCTGAGGCACAGGCTGTCCCCAGCTTAGCAGCAAATTCCCAAGGCCAGAGGCAGTCTTTCCAGGATGGGGGCAGCAGGAGGGGGACAGAGGACGGCAGCAGCAGAACGTGGCTCTTGGGGAGGCAGCAGCTACGCACCGGCAGGTTCAATTTGATTGCGTCCACGGGCTGGTAGAAGGGCCAGGCGAACTGGTGTTTCCAGAGCGTCTTCACCACCACATTCTGCATGTACTGCAGCTGGTTGGTCTTGCGGCCGGGCTTGCTGGGGTTGGAGACCTCCGGGGGGGGTGGGTTCACAGGGCCCGGGGTCGCCGGGATCCCCGCGGGGGCGACTGTCGTGGCGGTGGACATCCTCCGGCAGCTCACTCACTTTCTGTCACAGCAGCGGCTTGGAGAGGCCCTGGCTGCTTCTACGCTCCCTGAGAAAGCGCGACGTCCCATTTCCGGGCCCAACCAGGCGACAGCTGCAGAGGAGGAAGCACAACAGAGAGGAAGGCCAGTCACCCCGGGGACCCCCACCTCTCCCAGCCTCGGCGGGCTCCTGAGGGCACCTGTCGGGCCTCAGCAGGGCCTGCTCCACTCACTCACCCCCATTGCCCAGCCACCCAGGTGAGAGGCTGTCGGGAAAGCTGCTCAGGCGAAGCGCGACCAGCTCAGAACGACTCTCCAACCACTGCTCTCAGGCACGGGAGGGAAGGCCTGGGCGGTGGAGGGAGCTCAGGCACATGCCACTTGCTCCCAGGTGGGGGCTTGGGGAACACACTGGGAGGCAGGTGTGCCAAGGGACTCAGCCACTGGCAGCCTTCTGCCCACCAACCACCCACTCGTGGGGTCGACTCGTTGCTACTGGGCTCTGACAGCTTGGCCACAACAATGTACTGAAGAGTGACCCATGCGTGGACAGCCACGGTGCGGGCCCAACACAGCCAGGGGAAGTGGGGCCGGCACAACACGGACGTTTGCAGACCCAAACACGGTGCGGGGAGGTGGTGCCCTTGAGCGAGGCCAAGCAGTGAGGTTCTACCGTAACCAGGAGAACGGGCCCAGGTTTGTGATGGCGGCGTGGTTGTGACCCGGCCTGGCTCTCGGCCAATCAGAGAGGCGGGAGCGGCGGCTCAGACCCTGCCGACCTCCACACCCCAGCTGACCACAGGGAGCTCTGCACACACGAGATGCTGGGGCTTCCCTGGCCCCGACTGGCTAGCCACAGGCAGGGCTGGCAGGAGGAGGCCACCGCCACCCTGCGTGTCCCAGGAGGGCACGGACAGTTGAGAACGCCCATAGGAACGCTGCACAGTGGAGAACGCATGCAGGCCTCCAACCATGGCCAGGGCCCTGCGGCGTGGCCCCGTGTCTACCTGTAAAGGTGTGGGGCAGACCCGAGGAGCTCTAACCCAGCGCCTGGGACTTCAACTTCAGCCTCGTACCTTGCTGCCACTTGGGCCTTTCCTGCAGTCGTGTAACTGACAGTTAGACAGGTCACGGCTGGAGGCTCCCCTCGGAGCACAGGCAGCAGCTCTGCCATGGGAGGAGCCGGCTCCGGCCCCAGAACCGGCCACTTGTAGACGCTCGGGGCAGACAGTCAAGACTAGGGGAAGTTTGTGAGCTGGGTGACATCTGGTTGGTCCCCTGAAATCTGCCTCGGTGGGCAGTTACACCACAGCCATGGGCAAATGCTGCAAACCAGGACCCCCTCCCCAAGCTGGATGCTCAATGTCGTCAGCACCCTGCGTGTAACCTCACTTCCTCCCACCCCACCCCAGAGAGGAAAGGGCTTCAAACTACACGCAACACAGCTCACCCACCAAGCATGCCAGCACGAGAGAACGTGCCCCGTCTCTGGGGCGCCCACCTGTGCCAGGGCCTCATCCAGGGAAGCCCCTCACACCCACCCTCTTCTATGCCCTCCTGAGGTGAGCGGGTGCCTCTCCACCTCACCGACCCGGTGCTCACAGCCCCAGGCTGCAACCCTGGTGCGGAGGGCAGCCCCAGGCCAAAGCGTGGCAGCACTGCCCCTCGCCACCACCACTTGCAAGGATTTCCATGAAGCCCTCCCAGCAGGGCTCCCTGCTCTGCCCCGCAAGGACCGCCTAGCCCGCACCGCAGGGTGATCCTGTTAAAACCAAGTCGGATCAAGTCACCGGTCTGCTCAAAACCTCCCAGGGGCTCCACGTGACTCAGAGTGAAAGCGAGTCCTGCCCCACCCTGGTTGGTGGGGCCTGGGGTGACCGAGTCCTGAGACCTGTGTCCTGTCTCCTGTGACTTGCGGCCCTCCCTCAAGGCCTGGACAGCAGCAGGCTCCTGCCCTTCCAAGGCCTCCAGGTAGCTCCCAGAACACCCTTCCTGCTGGGCCCCCAGGCAGCACAGACACTGGGGCCAGCCACACGGCCTGGTCCTTCCACTTCCCCACGAGGCTCCTGAGGGTGGAGGAGTCAGGCACAGAGAGAGCTCACGCCAGTTATGGGCACCAAGCACCACACGCAGCTCCGCTGAGACTGCCGGGCAGCACCCTGACAGAAGGCCCAGGCTGTGCTGCTGCTGCCTCCCAGGGCCCAGATGTCAGCTCCCAGGTGTCGGTCAGGTGGGGACATTCCCAGTATCCACTGCTGCTGCACAGGCCCAGAGCCAGGAAATGGGGCTGAAACTGACCTTTGGGGATGTGGGGGTGGTCAGGGCACAAAGGAAGGCTCCCAGGCTGCAGGCCAGCTTCCTCCAAGCATGAGGATGGACGGTCACAGCTCAACATGGGGGCCTGCTTATGCTGCCGTCAGGATCCCACGCCTGGCCAGATCAGGCCCTCTAAGCCACCCACTTCCAACCACCTGACCACTGTTTCAAACCGGAGACTGAGAAGGAGCCCAGCTCCAGCCATGGACACCGGAGTGCATGCCTCGTCCTGGGTGGGGAGGGCAGCCCCGCCCGGCCATGGACTGTGAGCTTGAGCAAGGCAGAAGGAGGGGCGCCCCAGGCTCTGCTTGGCACCAGCCCACGAGCCACGGCAGAGCCGTCCAAGGCCCAGCCCAGAAGCCCTCTTGCTGCTGCCAGGGAAATCCCGGCCAATGTGGTTAAAGCTCTGGGGCTGCACCTGGTGCCAGCATGTGCTCACTGAATGCCAGTGGTCACTACAGGCCCTGAGGGTGCAGTTTGCCTCCAGCTCCGCTACCTGGCAGAAACACACCAACCCCAACAAGACCTGGAAGGCTGAGGGGTGCAGTATAAAAAGCCCCTGGCACACACGGGCAGGCGACTGCCCCACCCTCGGTGGTGAGGCATGGTGATCTCACCTCTCCTCTCCTGGAACACAAACCCTGCCCTCTGAGACACCTACACCCCACACACTCAGATTTTGCAAAAACTCGAGGACAACACGATGCCATGATAAGTGGCCCTGCCTCCCCCAGAAGCCCTTGGCATAGAAGCGGAGCCCCCAGGCAGCCTGGCACCAGCCAGTGGGAGGGGCAGGGAGGGAGGGCAGCCAGAGGGCAAAGGGGTGGCATCCCCCTCAAGCCCCCTCCGCTACCAGGTACTGGGACCCACCACCTGGCAAGGACCACGCCGGGCAGGAGGAGACCAGGAGGCGACAGTCAGGTGAGAGCCCGGGGTGACCCCTCCCTGTGGGAGAATGTGCAGTTCCCAGAGTCCCAGTGGGGAGGGAGGGCTGAGACGGGCTCAGTGCCTCAGGTCCCCGTCCACAGCACATTCACACCATGTCATCCCCTCTGGGGCCGAGGGCTGGTCCCGTCTGCAGACACCTTCCCTCCAAGCACAGTGGGTGGACAGGCTAGAGCCACAGCCAGGGCCTGGCTCTGCCACCCTCAGTGTCTCAACTGTCCAGACAGAGAAGCTGAAGAAACCAGAAGGCGTCTGTGCAAGAGAGCCCCACACAGACACTGGAAAGAACCAGGGCAACCTGCAGACCAACTCGAAAGACCTCCCCTAGGGCGACGGAAATGAGATGAGGCAAACAGCTTCCCGACCAGAGCCCATGCACCTTCCACGTCTGTGCAGGGAGCTCGGGGCCACATCCCGAGATGGGAAAGACAACTGAGGCTTCCACAAAGAAATTACAATGAAACAGACACTGGCCAGGCCAGCTGAAAATCAGTGATGGACTACGGTCCAAATCAACGTGGAGGTTCCAACAAGAGAAGGACGGTGGTGGGGTCACCCTACCCCAGCCTGCGAGTGCCCCAGAGGGTGCACAAGCAGGACAGCCACCCTGTTGCAGAGTGTGGTGCTTTCACACCATGTTCACCCCACCTCAGCCCTCTGGCCCAGACGTCGGTGGCTCCTCTGCCAGGTGAGGTGAGGTGAGGTGAGGTGGGAGCAGACAGTGGAGAAACACCACAAACAGCACAGGTGGTCGGCCAGGGCCACGAGCCCTTCAGCTCACCGATGCCGAGACCCCACAATCCCCACAACAAACCTGCAAGGTCAGAATAATTGCGCACGTGTACGGACGACTAAGCTGAGGCCCCTTCCTCCTTCACCTCCGGAATGCCACCTGAGCGCAAAGGCTTTGGGACACAAAGCACTCAGCAGTCGGCAGTGGAGGCACAGCCCAGGATCAAGACCCTGGGCTTCCTGTCCCAGGCTCCTCAACCTGCAGGCGGCCACACAGCAAGAAGACCCTGGGAAGTTAAAGAACGAGGCGCTCCTGCTTCCCCCACCCTCAACGGCCAGCAAGGACACAAAGGCAGCCCAGGGCAGGGCCAGCCGCCAGCCACAAGGCCCCTCCAGAACCCAAGGTCCAGTGGAGACTCTGAAAGGGCTGATTGCAGGGCCCCCACGGGGTCCACACACCAGACACAGAGGCCCATGCAGAAAGGCGGTAAGGGGCCCCCCTGGGGTCTGCACACCCGACACAGAGGCCCTGCGAGAGGGAGGCATGGAGCGCCCGCGGTGTCGGCACACCAGGATTCACAGCCCGGCTCTCCACCCCCAGCTGACCTCGCTGTGAAGAGATGGTTTGTGCTGAGAGCTTAGCAAGGCCGTCGTCTACCGAGTGCTTCCCACCACAGCCCATGCGCAGGCATGAGAGTCATGCCTCCCGCAGGCCACAGCTTCACTCATGCAAGGACATTCTGGGGGCCGGGACGTCCTAGCCAGTGGCTAGAACTGGGTGTGACCATGGGCCCCCTTGGCTGGGGAGAAAAGGAGGTGCCCCTAGATCCCAAGTCCCCTGGGGCCGCAGCAAAGGGAGGAGGACCTTGCATCACTCCAGGGTGCCACGTGGACGAACAGAGGTAACATTGGGAGTGTGGCTGGCAGTGTTGGACATTCAGAACATGTCTGCCCAAAACAAACATGGCCTTCGCTTCTCCCAGCTCCCAGAAACAAAGTAAACAGAAGGATCACGTCTGGACACCAGGGACCAGCCCCTGTTACATCCCTGTCCCCCCCAGGCCAGAGCCTGACCACTCCGTGTCACCTGCCTCTACTCCTGTAGTGACTGTCAACTTTTTGGATTTCAGAAAGCCAAACCAGCAAGGGAAGCCTTTTCCCGGGGGGTAGAGGTGTCTCTCCTACACACACCCCTACCCCAGGGTCTGAGATGACATCCCAAATCAAACCCGGTATTCTGCAGAGATACACAAAGGTTCAAACTACAGACAGCCTTGTATCAGCTGTAAAGGGGGGCCAGATTTTGCTGCAAAAGAAAAAACCCAGTATCCCCTCGCTCAGCCCACTGTGTCACCAAGAGGGAGGGTGGGCGGCTGGCCGAAGAGGGCTCCATTTTATAGTCCAGGAAGGGGTGGCCTGGGCCCCACAGCTGGTGGGGCAGTGGCACTGGATCTGAAGCAAAGCTGGGCACTGGAGGCTGTGCCTTGGGCCGGTGTGCTGGCAGCGCCTGCTGGAGGAGCCAAGGGGCACTGATTCAACACTGACTGTATTTCCGGAACCAGAGTTAGTATTGGGGGTATGGTGGCGTTGTGGTTACAATCTTTCAAAAGTCCTCATCTTTCAGAGATTTGGACTGAAAGTTCTATGAATGAAATGTGTCTGGAATCTGCTTCATGATAATGTGGGGGGTGAAAATGAGTGGGGTCTGGAAGAAACGGGCCAGCCCAGAGCTGCCCCCGCCCGCGGAAGCTGCTCAGAGGGAAGAGGGTGCACCTCCCTTCTCCCCGGGCCCCCAGCACCCCGTTCCTCAACACACACTCTGCATCCTGCGTCCTCACAGCAACTGTGGGGTCCAGGGTTCTGCCTTGCACCCACTCTCCACCTTCATGCGATGGGGAATAAGCCGACGGGACTCCTGTGAGGAAGTGGGGCAGGGGTGGGGCAGATGGACTCAGGTGGAGTGACTCGGGCTGGAGGAAGGCAGCGGTGCCAGAGACCCCAGTGCCTTAAAGTCTAGACACGAGACACACAAAACCTTCGTGCCGCAATCCCTCCTTCACCCCTCGCAGCTGCCCTGCGGGAATGTGCAGCAGAAGGGGGTGTGGTCTCCTGGGGGTAAACCCTTGCTCCTTTTCTTGGGGAACAGGGGGGCCCCACACCACAGGGACCCTGGACACTGGAGGGGCTGGAAGCCTGTCTGCTAAAATGTGAACCGAGAAGGGTCTGTGAGCATGTACAGTGCAGGAAGAACTCATTTCACCACTCAGCCCTCCAGTGGTGAAGGGGCTCCCACACAGCCTGCTGGCAGCCACCTCGCTCCAGGGGGCTCTTTGCTGTGCGGGCAAGGCCCCCTCAGGAAGGCAGCCTGGCCATCAGCAGCCTGTCGCAGCAGCAGCAGCAGCCTTGTCCTCAGCAAACGCACTCCATCCCTGGGACCATGGCAGGGAAGCGGTGGGTCCTTGGGGGACAGGCCTGGGGAGCCAGATGTGCCACTGCTGCTCTCCCCTGGGCACTGCAGGACAGGGATGGAGCTCTGTCTCCCAGAGGAGGGGGCGGAGGCTCAGAGACCCTCCCTGGGGTCCACCTCCCCGGGTCTCCCACTCAGCTGCCCACAAAGCCCATGCTAGAGAGCCCACAGGCACTGCCTGCCGGGCCCAGCAGAGACAGAGGCAGAGGCCACCCTTGCCAGTCGGGTAAAAGTCGGAGTGAGCAGGCAGCCTGCCTTAGACACAAGAGGATCCGAAACTGCCCAGAGAGGAAACTCAGACAAACCACAAAAGTCCTCGAACGCCAAGCGAAAACCCAGCAGTGAGTGGGTCTGGTGAAATCCTCAAGAAAGACCCAGGCCATGCGCAGTGACTCAGGCCTGTGACCCCAGCACCTTGGGAGGGGCAGGAGAATCCCCTGAAACCAGGAGTTCGAGACCAGCCTGGGCAACATAGTAAGGCCCTGATTCTACGAAAATTTAAAAAAATTAGCCAGGCCTGGTGGTGCACCTAGAATCCCAGCTATTCAGGAGGCTGAGGTGGGAGGATCACTTGAGCCTGGGAGTTTGAGGATACAGTCAGCTGTGATCGCACTGCTGCACTCCAGCCTGGATGTCAGAGCAAGACCCTGACACACACACACACACACACACACACACACACACGATCTGGAATGCCATGGAGATTTCCAAAGTAGCCAGCGGGGAGAGGGCAGTGGCCAGGCTCCCCTAACACTGACTAGCCCCCTTCCTGGGTCCCACTCATGCCCCATCCAAGAGAGGCTCTGTGCTGGACATGGAAGGAATGTTGGTGAGGTGGCCCGAATCCTACCTATCCTCACCCTTGCTGTGTGGCCCCAGGCAGGCCCACCTCTGGCCCTGAAGCTGTGGGTGGCCCCCTGAACCCTTCCCAAGGTCCCTGGACTCTGCCTTCCTCTCCATAGGGCACAGGAGGACCTGAATGAAAAGCAGAAATTCAGCCCCCTTTAGGCTGGCCCAGCCCAGAATTCATCAGAAAAGATGCTGAGTCCAGGGCTGTTTCAGGGCTGTGGACAAACAGGGAGGGAATGGGAATCTGTCCAGTTGCCACCAAAGAAAACACCCAGAAATGCCAGTAGCAGTCTCCCTGACCCCTCCTGCCATTCCATGGCCCTCTTGGGGAGCAGAGACCCAGAGGGGCAGGAGCAGGCATGTCGCCTGGGCAGCACAGCAGCCTAGCCTTCAGGCACTCCACAGAGGGAGGACAGAGGGGTGCTGCCTCCAATGCCACACCCTGGGGCAAACCAGCCAAGGGGCAGCGGCTGGACCATGGGGGCATCTCCAGCCTGGCCTGGGCCCAGAGCAAAAAGTCCTTATTTGGGGTCCAGGGATGGGGAGTCCCAGCTTTCAGCAAACAGGCAGGGTTGGGAGGACAGCTTACCAAGGCCATTCCAGCTATAGCATGAGTCTGGAGGAGCAGTGGCAGGGAGGGGCAGGGCTACATAGCTCTGCAGGGGCTCAACCAGACCTGCCAGCTAAAGGGTGGGAGACAGGAGCACTGGAACCAAGGGTGGGGGTGCTGGAGGAAGCTAGGGGAGGCCTTTCCCAGGGGCTCCCCATTCCCCATGGGTCTCCAGCCCTGGAATTTCCATAGCTCTGGGCCTCTGTACCTGTGTCCCTGACTGGATGGCCCCCACTGGGGCACTCCAGCCCGTCTCCTGGACTCTGTCCTGCGTCAGTGGGGGTCAGATGAGCCCCATCTTCCATAAGTGGAGGGGACGCTCAGAGGTGAAGGGGCACAACGTCGCCCAGGCAGAGAAGGCCAGAGCCAGCTTGAACAAAGCTGGACATCCATGCCAGACTCACCGCCAACACCCCACAGCCCCAGAATTCTCGGGATAATGCTGGGAGCAGTGCTGTGATCGGCTGTGGCAGGAGGGAGCTGAGTCTGTGAGAAGGGATCCCAGCCTGCTGCCCCCACAGCCCCATCTAACCCGGCCAACCTAGCACCTGTCCCCAGGCGGCCAGAGGGGCCTCCCCAGCCCACGTGGTGACCAGCGGCCACCCTCCAGGACTCGGGAAACTGGATCTGTCAGGGCAGGGCTGCCTTCAGTGACAGACGGAGCCAACTGCTTCCTTCTATGGAGCCAGGGGAGAAGTCGGGGGTTGGGGGCCCCCTGTAGCCCTGGAGGAGCCCTGGGGAGGGCAGCTGGGCATCGTGGGCCCCACCCAAGCAGGCACGGCCAGCCCTGGCGCCTACTCCCCAGGGGAATCTGCCCAGTGCTGTGAGCCCCCCATGCACAGCGCACCTGCTCTCCTGCAGCTGCCTGGCCGCCTGGAGGGCCCGGCTCTACAGGCCCAGCCCTGTCCCGGGGCGCTTCAGCAGACTGGTGGGGCTATCCTGGGGCATGGCCCCAGACACGCTGGGCAGGTGCAGCTGCCAGCGCTGCCTCTCCCGTGACTGTCCCCTGCACCCCACAGTTCTCCCCACTCTGCACCCACCAGTGCCTTCTAGACCTAAGACCTCATATGCCTCCTGCTTTCTGAACCCAGGGCCTGTGCTTCTCCATGGCCCCACGGCCCTGGGTGAGCGGCCTCTCTGAAGGTTTCCCTTCCTGCCATGACGCCCCCACAGCCTTCTGGCCACAACCCGTCACCTCTTCCAAGCTCCGTCCCTACCCGCCTCTCTACCCACTCCTCGAATAGAGAGGACTCAAAGGACGCTCTACCCCCGTGGGACCCTCATGAGGCGCGTGAGGAGGCCCGACCCTCCACACATGCTGGGAACGAGGAAGTTGGCCCCACAGACACTGGTCAGGCCCTCCCAACCCCAGGCCACCGCCACGTAGTCAGGGTCTCCCACGGGTCTGGGAAGGGCAGGAGAGCCACGACTCAGGCAGGGGACTCTCTTCAGAGGGGCAGTGAGTGAGGACAGCACCTGGCCCTTTAGAGGGAAGGAGACACCGTGCTCTTAGAGGGACACAGCCTCAGGGTCAGGCCCTGGTGCTCCGCACTTCCTAAAACAAAGCTGCGGCAGGCCCACCTAGCATCCATCTGTCTGCTCCATCTCCTCTCAGCCGGCCTGACAAGAACCAAACTCACAAAACACCCCGGCCCCAGGAGACAGGCCTGGCCTCACTGCTGTCCCACTCAGCCATGCCGAGCCAGGACAAGGGGCCAGCAGGGCCGCAGCTCTCAGACCATCCCCTTGGTTATTTCGTCTATGTTCTCTGCTCACCCCCAACCACAAATGCCGAGGACTGCAGGACGCCCCCAGGCCTGTTGCCGGGACAGACCGGAGGCAGAGCTAAGAGCAAAGCGTGGGCATGCAGCACATCTGTCTGTGAGTCCACAGCCCACGGAGCCACCGTGCTTGACCCTTGCCTCCTACCCAGCCCCTGGTACCAGCGAGGGCCTGGTCAGCATACCCAGGGCTCTGTCCTGTGGTGTGGGCAGATGGGGGCGGGTGGCACCCTGGACCCGCAGGCTCACACAGCTGCCCCTTTGCACATTTTGCTCCTTGTGGGATTGTCAGGCCAAGGCTCCAGTGACGCATGGCACAGGGAGGGCATCCTCTCAGCCGCTTATAGTAGATTCTTCCTTCTGCCACATGACAGGTTATAGCTACAATACTCAGCACTCCTGCAGGGGCCGGGCACCTCACACAGATGCATCTGTGCCTCATCTCGGTCAGTGCTCACACGGAGGCTAAGGCCGTCCCGCCCCAGAGTCCCACAGCTCCCAGGTACCGACTCTTAGTCCCAGGTCCTCACAGGTGCACTGAGGGCACTCCCTCTGCCCCAGACTCCAGGCCTGGCCAGCAGCCGCCTCTGCAGATCACACCCGAGTCCACTGGGTGCTTTGCAAAATGCTGCAGCTGGTTATCAAGCCACACTCAGAAAGATCCAGCCGGCGACTCCTGAACATCACTGCACCCTCAGCGGGACACTTTTCCAAGTGGCTGGAAAAGTTGTCTCCCACAATACCGGATTAACTTCTGACGAACTCAGTACCTTGGGGGCCTGCGGCAAGGAGGGGGGCGGGGGCATGTTCCACGCCCCATCTTCCCAACACCAGGCTCCGAAGGCCCTGTGAGGAGGCAGCCTGCGAACTGACTCTCAGGGAACAGCCACAGACTGGTGCGAGACGCAGACAGCCAACAGCACGGACACAACAGGGTCCGAGCCTCCAGCCACACGCACAGGTCCTGGCTCCACTGCGAGCTCAATCAGGAGTGGCCAGAAGACTTACAATTTAAACCACCAACAGGTGAATGGCCCAAAGTGACACTTTCTCTTTAAAAGAGCTCTCGGTCAGGCATGGTGGCTCACACCTGTAATCTCAGCACTTTGGGAGGCTGAGATGGGTGGATCACCTGAGGTCAGGAGTTCAAGACCAGCCCGGCCAACATGGCGAAACCCCATCTTTACTAAAAAATTAAAAAAAATTAAAAAAAATAGCCAGGCGTGGTGGCGGGCACCTGTAATCCCAGCTACTTGGCAGGCTGAGCCAGGGAGAATTGCTTGAACCCAGGAGGTGGAGGTTGCAGTGAAGGGAAATCATGCCATTACACACCAGCCTGGGCAACAGAGTGATACTCTGTCTCAAAATAAGTAAATAAATAAATGAGCTCTCAAGCATCTTGGCCGAGCATGGTGGCTCACGCTTGTAATCCCAGCACTTCAGGAGGCAGAGACGGGTGGGTCACTCACGGCCAAGAGTTTGAGACCAGCCTGGCCAACATGGTGAAACGCCATCTCTACTAAAAATACAAACAAACAAACAAATAAGCAAGCCCTCAAGCCTCTCAGATGGCAGGAGCCCAGGAACCAGAGCAGGGAGGCCCGGGCACAGGGGCCCATGATGTCTGTGCCCATGATTTCACAGGAAGGAGAATAGGCAAAGAAAACCCTATGCTCCGCCACCAGCTGGGCACCTCTACAAGGTGGCAGTACCAACAAAAACACAGGAGCAAGGCCATTCTTGGCAAACGCTGACCCAAATGCACCTGGCACCCCATCATGCTTTGCTACCTGTGCATCTCTTCTGCTCCAACAAGGGGGCGGAGCCACAGGGGTCGGGAAGGCCCAAGGCAGACCCGCAAGTTCCAAAACCTTTTACGGCAAGAAGCCTTGCATTCTACCATGATTCATCCAGTTACCTTCTAGCTTCAACCAGATACTGGCTTCGTGATATAAGGGACCTGCTGGCTAGGCACGGTGGCTCATGCCTGTAATCCCAGCACTTTGGGAGGCCAAGGCAGGTGGATCACGAGGTGAGGAGTTCGAGACCAGCCTGTCCAACACAGTGAAACCCTGTCTCTACTAAAAATACAAAAAATTAGCTGGGCGTGGTGGCGGACGCCTGTAATCCCAGCTACTTGGGAGGCTGAAGCAGGAGAATTGCTAGAACCCGGGAGGTAGAGGTTACAGTGGGCTGAGATCGTGCCACTGCACTCCAGCCTGGGCAACAATGCGAGACTCCATCTCAAGAGGAGAAGAGAAAAAAAAAAAAAAAGGAACCTGCCTAGGACAGGAACCCCGTCAGGTCAGTTATACTTTGATGACCGGTCAAGGAAGCAAGAGGAGGATCCTCTGACCAACTGCGTTAACTGCTTTGAAAACCAAGAGACCCGCAGCACGACTTCAGGCATGCCCCCACCTCCCAGGCAGCAACGCTGGGAAGAGTAGGCCCCGGTTCCCCATACCCCGCCCCGGTACCGTGTGTATCCACAGCAAAACATGGCTCTTCCCATCGACAACTGGGCATAGCTGTTGGTTTTGTGCCAATCACCCCACTTGGGAAACCCTGAGCCACCATGCCTCAGGGAAAGTGGTGGCACTTCCTGGTGGCACCAGGAATCGCACAAGGCCATCACTGCCGCCTGGTGCACAGGGCTCCCGCGGCTGGCATCTCCAGAGCCTGGAGGAAGAGGGTAGAGGAAGGTAGCACCGGCTGCAGCAGGCCTGGCTGCTTCGCTCTGCACACCCCCACTTTCACTTTCTGGGTATGACTACTTCGGAGTGTAGGGCAGGCACTGTTTGCAAGTCCCGTCCTTCATTCAAAGCTCACTCACTTCCGAAGCAGGCGCGAGCTGTTGTCAAAGGAAAGTAATTACTCTACTTTCTAAAAACAAAACAAAAATAAAAATGGAGTGACTGCCCACTCGGAGAAAGCTTTTGAAATCCCTCCTCCCCGGATGTCCCAACGGCAGGGCTCAGGCTGGAGCTGCTCCCACAGTCTTTCCAGGCACCCGGTGCCCTGCTGAGGCACCGGGCCTCTGAGGCTACCCGGAAGGTCAGAAAGAAATGCCCCTCGCTCGCCTGCAGCCCGTCCTGTTACAGCGTGTGCCTTATCTTTCATGATCAGTAACCACCAGCACCCATCAAGGCCTCAACAGAGAAAACGGCAAACACAGACCTTTATTTGCAAATGAGAGGCTGCATCAGGGCTGCCAGGGAAGAACCCGGAGGGAGGGCTCCCTAACCCCCGAGGCCAGCCCCTTGCAGGGGTTCAGACCTTCCTTAGACCCCGTTGGAAGCCAGTAACAAACTACTTTCCCCAGAAAAATGCCATACAACTTTGCATAGATTCCAGGATCTCCCCAGGCATACTACATGGACCCAGGAAAAAAAAAAAACCCTCCATTTTAAAGAAAAGAGTAAGGGGAAAAGCCTACAAAAGAGCAGGGTAAAAAGAAAACTCTTTTCCTCTTCTGTTCCTTCTCACAGGGTAGGGCGGGGGAGGACGGGACACACGAAGCTGCCTCTTGCAGTTCCAGCCCAATTACTCTGCCCACCAATGCACTACAGTCTCCCCTCCTGGTTAACTTTTGCAGACAATGACCAAGTTTAATGTAAGGGGGAGAAATCCCAGTATCTATTTCTGAGCAGAAAGCTTTCAACCAAAATTAAAGATCGCAACCACTCAAGGATTGGGTCGAACGGAGGAACCCACACGATGGACGCCGGGTCCCTGCCCCCGGTGGGTCTCGGCGGGCCGAGTTCTCGCCCTCCAGGGAAAGGAGGCCGCGCGAAGCCCCCATCCCGGCCCTGCCCCCGAACGAGCAACCGGTGGAATAAGACTTCCCGCACGCCCCAGCTTTATTCACAGAGAGCCCACCAGGGCCATGTGGGTGTACACGGTTCGGGGTGCGCATTTCTCCCCGGATGGGCTTGTATCACGTTGTCACTCCGGCGCCCCCCAAAAGTGGGAAGGAGGGGAAGCACCCCCGTCCCTCCCGCTCCAACTCGCCCTCGCCCGGATTAAGCGATTTTCAGGCTGATTTCAAAACGGGAACTGGGTCTCCCCCTGGTTTGGGTGCAATAATCCGGCAACTCAGGGGGGCTCAAAGTCAGCTCTGGGCCCGTAACTCTGGGAGGAGGCCGCGCAGAGCCCAGGGCCGAGCCCGGCCTTGCCCCCCGCCCCGGCCGCGGCGCGCGGCGACGGTCCCCAGGCGCGGGCCCCAGCAACGGCTCGGGAGCGAGGCCGGCGGAACAGGCGCGGGGAAAGTGGCCCCGCGGAGCGCACGGCCGCAGGCCGGGGCCGCCGCGCGCACCTTCCCCCTCCGCGTCCTCCCTGGGTTCCCCCTTCGAAAGATGGCGGGCGGAGGAAAGGGGGAAAAAAATCCCTTCCGTGAGGGAGGGCGCGCGGAGGCCGGGCTGGCGCGGGGCGCGCGGGCCGCGCCAACTCCGGGCTGCGCGCCCCGGCCGCAGCGACGCCCCGAGTCCGGGACGGAGGCGGCCAAGCGGGAGCGGGAGGAGGGGAGCGGAGCCCGCGCCACCGCCGCCGCCACCGCCGCCGCGACCCCGGGCGGCCGCCGCGCTTTGTTGCATCGTGGCCGCGCACAAAGGCGGCGGCGGCGGCGGCGGCCCCGGGCGCCCGGTTCACCCGGACGCGCCGGCGGACTGCGCGGGGCGCTCGGGGCCGCGCTCCCCGGCCCAGCCCGGCCCGCCGCCGCCCGCGCCGCCCGCCGCCCCGCGCGCGCAAGGAAGCAAGAGAAAGGCGTACTTGGCCTCGCGGCTCCGGCGGCCGTCCCCTCCCGGCCCGCGCGGCCGGCTCCTCTTTGGCTCGCCGGCCCCGGCAGCATAATAGACGCGCCGGAGCCGAGCAGGGCTCATGCGCTGCGCCGCGGCGCCTGGCGGGAGTCGTAGTCCGCGGCCGGGCCCGCGCCGGGGCCGCCCAGGGGAGGCCGCGGGCGCGCGGACTACATGTCCCGGCCCCGCCGGCGCCGCGCCCCGCCCCGGGGGCCCCCGCCCGCCCCGCCGACCCGGCCGAGAGCGGGCCTGGCCCGGGGGGCGCGCGGGGGCGGGGCTCGGCGCCCGCCCGGCAGGGCAACAACGCTGGGACCCCGTGGGCCGTTCCCCGCCCGGGCCCGCACGGCTCTCCTCACCCCGTGTCGGGGACAGCGCCTGGCGGCGGATTTTCCGGTGCCCCAGGACGGCATGGAAGAAGCGGGCACGCAGCCAGCACCGCAGCCCCCGTCCGGGCACCCCGAGGCCCGCGGGAGCCACCCTCGAACCCCGGCCGCGCACGGGCGGGGCGGCGCGCACCTGCCGGGAGCCCGTGTTTGTAAACAAACCGCGCGCCTAATTAGCCTGGCGGGAGCGCGCGCGCGGGGCGGGGGGCGGGGCGTCGGTGCGCGCGGGCAGGTCGGCCCCGCCCGGGGAGGAGCCGCGCTCTGCCGCGCCCTCCGTGTCACCATCTCCCCCACCCGACTTGCTGGGGCGCGGGCGCCCAAGTTCGCTGTTGCTGGAGAGGGCGCCAAGTCCCCAGAGCTGGCGAAGAGTTAGGGGTGCTCCCAGCTCTGCCTGGGGACCTTCTCGCCCCAAGCCCCGGTTTCCCCATCTGCCCAGTGAGGGGCGGGAACTAGATACCAGGTTCCCAGCCTGAGATTCCGGGAGAGGGCCACCCCTGGCCCTTTTTCTGTATCTTGAAAGGTTCAGCCCGTGGACACGTTTTGCATCTTGTTTTGGGTGATGACGACTCGGGTTTACACATAAATCAAGTTGTGGGGGGGGGGGTTTTGTTGTTTTTTTGGTTTTTGTTTTTTTTTTTTTTTTTTGAGACGTTAGTTTCGCTCTTGTCACCCAGGCTGGAGTGCTGTAGTGTAGTGAGTGGCTCGATCTCGGCTCACTGCAACGTCCGCCTCCCGGGTTCAAGCCATTCTCCTGGCTCAGCCTCCCGAGTAGCTGAGATTACAGGCACCCGCCACCACGCCCGGCTAATTTTTGTATTTTTTAGTAGAGATGGGGTTTCACCGTGTTGACTGGGCTGTTCTCAAACTCCTGACGTGAGATGATCCGCCCACCGCGGACTCCCAAAGTGCTGGGATTACAAGCGTGAGCCAACGCACCCGGCCACATAAATCAATTTTAATCCAGCTGTAACTTAAGGTGGTTACACGTTGTGTACATTAGACCCCAATAAAAACGTCAAAAACAAAACGAGGTTCCTTGGTGCCTGCTGAACCTGCCAACTGCAAGGTCGAGTTTCCTTGTGTGGGCTGCACCCACCCCAAGCCCCTGGGGTCCCCAGGTGTGTTCCAAGTTGAGCAGCAGCTCCACTGCCTGAAATGCACACATCTATGCAATATTCACAAAGTGAGTGCCAGCACAGAGACAATTCATCCCCATGCTCACCCAGAAGGCAGGTGTTCTGTTCCAGGCTGACAGGTAAGGAAACAGGCTCAGTGAGGCAAAGGGTCCTGCCCAAGGTCACAGAGCCAATTTGCAGGACGGCTGAGACCCAAAGCCCCGGGGTCTTAGGAAGAGTTTGCAGGGGAAGCCAACACCTTTCCCAATCCTGTCCCTCTGTTTCTGCTGGGAGCCCAGGACCTTCTCACACTCCAGGGCAAGGCTCTAGGACGAGGTTCCAGCCTTGCCTTTCTAGTTGGCAAAATGGACAAAGTGCAGTCCTCAGGCGCAGGAAGGTCGGGGAGGGGGAATATGAGAGGTGAGGATCTGCAGGCAGTTCCCTTAGAACTACCATCCTGGTTGTGTCCCCAAACCCCCGGTGCAGTTCCTCAACCTACAGGCTTCTGTGTTAGCCACCTTGGAGGCTGCAACCCATTCCTGCTGTCTGCATCTCATCTCCTTGGGTATCTTGAGCACTCTGACCACCAGGATGGCCACCTCACCACTTACACAGACCCCACTGCACTCCTCCCAAGGCTAGAACAAAAAGCCTTTCCGCCTGGTCTTGACCTCAAGGAACCCAGGTACATGCACACAGCAGGCTGCCCTGACCAGCCAGCGTGTCTGAGGCTGCTGACCAAATGCCCCCAACCCTTATGGGCCTCCCACTGCCCTAAGGTGACCCCCAGGAGTATGGCAGGAACCCAGGCGCTCCCTGGGCACTGGCTCTGATGGAAGCACCAAGGTCCCCTTCTTTCCCTTCCCGCTGCTCACCCACACATGAGTGGCCCGGATGGCTCCATGGAGCCAACTTTCCCGAGGCTGGAGAAGTCTCTAGGAAGCAGAATCTGTAAGGGAACAGGACAGAAACTCTCATTTGAGCATCTCAGCCCCTGTGCTACTATCTCTGAAGACTAGTTTAGGGGCCACAGTGGCAAACAGCTGAAAGCCAGCAGGGCTGCCATTGAGAAGGGATTTGGGGTGGCTCTGCAGTCCCCTCCAGCCCCTAGCAGCCCATCATCCTCTCCCTTCCTGCTCAGGCTCTTGGAATTTTAACCTCTGGTACTGCTGAATTTCCCAAGTGAAGCCACTTAATCTCCCCGACCCAGGTTTCCTCCCCTGTCACAGGAGGATAAAAATAGAACCTGATCCCGCAGCTCTGGTAAGGGAGGGGGGCATGTGCAAAGGTTGGGGCTGTGATCAGGAGCAGGCTGCTGCCTTTGCCTCCTTGGCCATCACTCACCTCTCTACCTTCACGTTTTACTTCCTGAGCCTCCTTGTGGGCTGTCTCACGGCTCCATGAGAGCAGAGCACTTTGTCCATGAGGTATCCCTAAACATCCTTCAACAGTATCTGGCACCTAGTGGGTGCTCAATACATAGTTGTTGAATGAATAAATGTTCTCTTCTGCACCTCTGTCCTGCCCTCCAGCCTCCATCTGCAAACCTCAGTGTAGCCCAAGCTCTACCAGTGAAGCAGCCACCTGCTCACATCTAAAGGAGGACCCAGAGCCAGGCTCCAGCCAGTACAGGAGCCAGGGCCTCAGCTGCCTCCTCCTCCTTCACCCACAATGCCCCTTAAGGCAGCAGTCCCCAGCCTTTTTGGCAACAGGGACCAGTTTCATGGAAGACAATTTTTCCACGGATGAGTGGGGGCAGATAATGGTTTTGGCATGAAACTGTTCCGCCTCAGATCATCAGGCATTAGATTCTCATAAGGAGCTCACAACCTAGATCCCTCACGTGCGCAGTTCAGAGTACGGTTTGCGCTCCTGTGAGAATCTGATGCAGCTGCTGATCTGACAGGAGCCGGAGCGCAGGCGGGAATGCTGGCTCACAAGTACTCACCTCCTGCTGTGTGGCCCCGTTCCTAACAGGCCACGGACCAGTAACAGTCCAAGGCCCAGGGGTTGGGAATCCTGCCTTAAGGCGCAGAGCAGTTACATCATGGCACTGAAGTTTATACATCAGTTTCTTGAAAGTTTCATTATCATGTGTCTTTCCCCAGGACTGACCAGCTCTCAGCACAACTTTTTAAGAAAATGAATTTCTGTCTCCACCAAGCAGAGGCTGGGCTACAGAGAACTCTGGAGGGTGGAGGAGCAGAGGTTTTTAATTATACAATAATTTAGTGCCTACTATGTGCCAGGCCCTGTGTCAAGAGCCTTATGTACACCATTTTACTGAATCCTGGAACAGTTCTATGACGTAGGGATGATTATGTCTACTTTACAGGTGAAAATGGAGGCAAAGTTAGGTTAAATTACTAGCCTGAGCCATGAACCCAAATGTGGGTTCATATTTCATTTACAAAATATATTCCAGAAGACTGCACCTTGGTAGGGGAAGGTGAGGCATTTAACTTGAGGAAGCAAATGCCCAGATCTAAGTTCATTAAACTTCTCTTAGAAAAGGGTGGGAGGCCGGGCACCGTGGTCCATACCTGTAATCCCAGCACTTTGGGAGGCCAAGGTGGGCGGATCACCTGAGGTTGGGAGTTCGAGACCAGCCTGACCAACATGGAGAAACCCTGTCTTTACTAAAAATACAAAATTAGCCAGGCGTGGTGGCTCATGTCTGTAATCCCAGCTACTCAGGAGGCTGAGGCAGGAGATTTGCTTGAACCCGGGAGGCAGAGGTTGCGGTGAGCCAAGATCGTGCCATTGCACTCCAGCCTGGGCAACAAGAGCGAAACTCTGTCTCAAAAAAATAAAAAGAAAAGGGTGAGGAGCCCCATGGAAAGGAGGGAACTTGGAGTTGAGTCTTCTCACTTTCCTGTTCTTCCTGTCCCCAACATGGAAAATTGTTTGCACAAAAATCATAGCAAAATCCTTAAAGGCATAGAGTGGAAAGGTCTCTGGTATAACCTAGGAGCCCCGGTGAACAGGGAGAGAGAGCTGTGCTGCAGCTGCATAAATGTGCTTGCAGAAAGACAGTCAAAAGGAGGCAGGCAGGACAAGAAGACAGGTGGGCCGGGCTCAGGGGCTCACACCTGCAGTCCCACAGTTTGGGAGGCTGAGGTGGGGGATCGCTTGAGCCCAGTAGTTGGAGGCCAATCTGGGCAACAAAGTGAGTGCCAGTATCTACGAAAAATCAAAAATGTAGCTGGGTGTGGTGGTGCACACCTGTGGTCCCAGCTACACAGGAGGCTGAGGCAGGAGAGTCGCTGGAGCCCAAGGAGGTTGAGGCTGCAGGGAACTGTGTTTGTGCCACTGCACTCCAACGCATGGGCGGCAGAGTGAAACCCCTGTCTGAAAAAAAAGGACAGAACAGGTGACCCCCACTGAGTCTTAGTCTTCACATCTGTAAGATGGGTACAATAAATACTTACCTCTGCTGGGCGCAGTGGCTCACGCCTGTAATCCCAGCTCTTTGGGAGGCTGAGGCAGACAGATCACAAGGTCAGGAATTCGAGACCAGCCTAGCCAACATGGTGAAACCCCATATCTACTAAAAATACAAAATTTAGCCAGACATGGTGGTACACACCTATAATCCCAGTTACTCGGGAGGCTGAGTCAGGAGAATTGCTTGAACCCAGGAGGTGGAGGTTGCAGTGAGCTAAGATCACGCCACTGCACTCCAACCTGGGTGACAGAGCAAGACTACGTCTCAGAAAACAAAAAACAAAACAAAACAAAAAAACAGGCCGGGCACGGTGGGTCATGTCTGTAATCCCAGCACTTTGGGAGGCCGAGGTGGGTGGATCACCTGAGGTCGGGAGTTTGAGACCAGTCTGACCAACCTGGAGAAACCCTGTCTCTACTAAAAATAGAAAATTAGCCGGGCATGGTGTCTCATGCATGTAATCCCAGCTACTCGGGAGGCTGAGGCAGGAGAATTGCTCGAACCTGGGGGGCGGAGGTTGCAGTGAGCCGAGGTTGCACCATCGCACTCCAGCCTGGGCAACAAGAGCAAAACTTGGTCTCAAAAAAACAAAACAAAACACTTACCTCATAGGATTGGCGTGAGGATAAATGAGGTAGGAATACTCTCTCGTAGCTAGAACATTCATTCGTTCATTCACTCCAGAGGTATTGACGGAGTTTTTATGCTCTCCCCTCCTGACACTGCAGTGAACAAGACAAAGCCTTAGCTGTTGTGGAGCTGACCCCCTCCTAGGGACAGACAGACAATCATAAATTACTAAAACATACGGTGTGCCTGATGGTGTTCAGTGCTAGGGAGAAAAGGCAGGCAGGAAAGGGAGCCAGGGAGATGGGCTGATGTGGTCATGGCAGCTATATATGGGTAATAAATATCGTGGGTAGTTTTATTTTTCTTTTTGATCATTGGTTTTTTTCCACTTTTCTGTGGCAGACAGGTATTACTAGGTAATCAAAATTGAGTTTGGTTTTAAAAATCAGTCATCATGATGTAATGGAGACAGAGCTGGCCTGGAAGGTCCTATAAATCTCTTGGGATCCTTGCTTAATTTGTAGGTGTCCTTGGCATTCCTGAAGCTGATGGTTTACGAGATGATGTGCCAGCCCATCTTGGCTTTGCCATCCACAGGAAGGCTTTCTGCATTGCTGTCCTGCGACACCATGGCCCTCTCTGTGTTCCCTCCTCATATCCCCAGCCACAGAGAAGGAGCCCCAAGACAATAAAATAAGTGTGTTTAAAAGGATTAAAAACATAAAATAAACTTTTTAAAAAAAGACTAATGAAATTTTCTGGAAGTTTTGAAAATAATCCCAGAACTTTGGAAAATAAAAAATATGGGCTACATGGAAATTTAAATCTTAGGGAAAGGGTTAGCCAAGCATGGTGGTGCGCACCTGTAATCCCAGTTACTCGGGAGGCTGAGTCAGGGGAATTGCTTGAACCCGGGAGGCGGAGGTTGCAGTGAGCTGAGATCGTTCCACTGCACTCCAACCTGGGTGACAGAGCAAGACTCCATCTCAGAAAACAAGCTTAGACGAAACTGAGGAAAGAGTTAGTTCCTTGAAAGATAGATCTGAGGAAATCAGCTAGAATGAAGCTTAGAGAAACAGAGACAAAAAGCATAAAAATTGGAAAATTCTGGTGAGAAACAGGAAAGGGATGGTTATAAGAAGTTCAGAAAAGTCACCAAATGAATAACAGCAATTACACTTAGATGGCAGCAACAATCCCTGGGCAACAGGGAGGATCTGATTTCCAGAGTTGCCGCATTATAATATTTGAAATGTCCAGTTTTCAACAAAAAAGCTACGAAGCATGCAAAGAAGCAAAGAAAGTGTGGCCCATACACAGGGACAAAAAAAGGAATTAATAGGAGCTCATCCTTAGGAAGCCCAAGCATTGGACTTACTACACCAAGACTTTAAATCAACTCTTAAATATGCTCAAGAGCTAAAGAAAACCATGTACAAAGAGCCAAAGGAAACTATGAGTATGATATCTCACCAAGTAGAAAAGAGAAATAAAGAGAAGTTGTAAAAAGGAACCAAATAGAAAGATTGAGTTGAAAAGAGCAATAACTAAAATTAAAAATTCCATCTACAGCCATACCACCCTGAAGGAACCCAATCTCATCTGAAATTAAAAATTCACTAGAGTCTCCCTCTCGCTCTCCCTCTCTCCCTCTCTCCCTCTCTCTCCCTCTCTCCCTCTCTCCCTCTCCCTCTCCCTTTCCACGGTCTCCCTCTGATACCCAGCCGAGGCTGGACTGTACTGCTGCCATCTCGGCTCACTGCAACCTCCCTGCCTGATTCTCCTGCCTCAGCCTGCCCAGTGCCTGGGATTGCAGGCGCGTGCCGCCACACCTGACTGGTTTTTGCATTTTTTGGTGGAGACAGGGTTTCGCTGTGTTGGCCGGGCTGGTCTCCAGCTCCTGACGGCGAGTGATCTGCCTGCCTCGGCCTCCCGAGGTGCGGGGATTGCAGACGGAGTCTTGCTCACTCAGTGCTCAATGTTGCCCAGGCTGGAGTGCAGTGGCCTGATCTCGGCTCGCTACAACCTCCACTTCCCAGCCGCCTGCCTTGGCCTCCCAAAGTGGCAAGATTGCAGCCTCTGCCCGGCCGCCACCCCGTCTGGGAAGTGAGGAGCGTCTCTGCCTGGCCGCCCATCGTCTGGGATGTGAGGAGCCCCTCTGCCCGGCCACCGAGTCTGGGAAGTGAGGAGCGCCTCTTCCCGGCCGCCATCCTGTCTAGGAAGTGAGGAGCGTCTCTGCCTGGCCGCCCATCGTCTGGGATGTGGGGAGCGTCTCTGCCCCACTGTCCTGTCTGGGATGTGAAGAGCGCCTCTGCCCCACCGCCACCCCGTCTGGGAGGTGAGGAGCATCTCAGACCGGCCGCCCCGTCTGAGAAGTGAGGAGCCCCTCTGCCTGGCTGCCGCCCCTTCTGGGAAGTGAGGAGCGTCTCGGCCCGGCAGCCGCCCCGTCTGGGAGGTGGGGGACAGCCCCCGTCCGGCCGCCGCCCCGTCTGGGAGGTGGGGGGCGCCTCTGCCCGGCCGCCCCGTCTGGGAAGTGAGGAGCCCCTCTGCCCGGCCGCCACCCCGTCTGGGAGGTGTACCGAACAGCTCATTGAGAACGGGCCATGATGACGATGGCGGTTTTGTCGAATAGAAAAGAGGGAAATGTGGGGAAAAGAAAGAGAGATCAGATTGTTACTGTGTCTGTATAGAAAGAAGTAGACATAGGAGACTCCATTTTGTTCTGTACTAAGAAAAATTCTTCTGCCTTGGGATGCTGTTAATTTATAACCTTACCCCCAACCCTGTGCTCTCTGAAACATGTGCTGTGTCCACTAAGGGTTAAATGGATTAAGGGCGGTGCAAGGTGTGCTTTGTTAAACAGATGCTTGAAGGCAGCATGCTCCTTAAGAGTCATCACCACTCCCTAATCTCAAGTACCCAGGGACACAAACACTGCGGAAGGTGGCAGGGCCCTCTGCCTAGGAAAACCAGAGACCTTTGTTCACATGTTTATCTGCTGACCTTCCCTCCACTATTGTCCTATGACCTTGCCAAATCCCCCGCTCCGAGAAACACCCAAGAATGATCAACAAATATTAAAAAAAAAAAATTACTAGAGAAATTTCATAGCATATTTGAGAAGACAGAAAAAATAATCAGCAAACCTAAAGATAAGTCAATTGAAATTACGCAATTGGAGCAACAGAAAGGAAAAAAGAATAAAGAAAAAAATTAACAAAGCCTTAAAACTGTGGGACACTATCAAGCATACCAATATATGTACAATGGGAGTCACAGAGGAAAAAGAGAGAGTAAGGAGGAAAGATTATTTCAGTGAATAATGGCCAAAAATTTCCCAAATTTTTGGTGAAAGATATGAATCTACATATCCAAGAAACTCAAAAAAGTTTTTTCAAGGTGAGATAAACTCAAATAGATCCATACCAAGCTACATTATCATCAAACAGTTGAAAGACAAGAAGAAGGCTGGGCATGGTGGCTCACACCTGTAATCCCAGGACTTTGGGAGGCTGAGGTGGGTGGATCACCTGAGGTCAGGATTTCAAGATCAGCCTGACCAGCATGGTGAAACCCTGTCTCTACTAAAAATACAAAAATTAGCCAGGCGTGGTGGCAGGTGCCTGTAGTCCCAGCTACTCAGGAGGCTGAGGCAGGAGAATTGCTTGAACCCAGGAGGCAGACATTGCAGTGAGCCAAGATTGCACCACTGCACTCCAGCAGCCTGGGCAACAGAATAAGACTGTGTCTCAAAAAAAAAAAAAAAAAAAAAAAAGACAAGAAAATCCTGAAAGTAGGGAGAGAAGCAACTCATGTACAAGGGATCCTCAATACAGTTAACAGTGGACTTCTCATCAGAAATCACAAAGGCCAAAAGGTAGTGGGATGATATACGCAAAGTGCTAAAAGAAACGAAAAAACTTGTCAGCCCAAAATTGTATATCTTGCAAATCTATTTCTCAAGAAAAAAGGAGAAATTAAGACATTCCCAGATAAACAAAAACCAAGATGTTTACTTCTAGTAGACCTGCTATTTAAGAAATGCTAAAGGGAGTCAGTCAGGCTGGAATAAATGAACACTGAACAGTAACTTGAATCCATGTAAAGAGATAAAGAGTAGGCTGGGTGCAGTGGCTCATGCCTGTAATCCCAGCACTTTGGGAGGCCAAGGTGGGCAGATCACAAGGTCAAGAGTTAGAGATCAGCCTGGCCAACACGGTGAAACTCCGTCTCTACTAAAAATACAAAAATTAGCTGGGCATGGTGGTGTGCACCTGTAATCCCAACTACTCAGGAGGCTGAGGCAGGATAATTGCTTGAAGCCAGGAGGTGGAGGTTGTAGTGAGCCAAGATCGCAACACTGCATTCCGGCCTGGGCGACAAAGTGAGACTCCGTCTCAAAAAAGAAAAAAAAAAAAAAAGAGATAACACCAGTAAAGGTAATTACATATGCAAATTTAAAAGTCACCATTAATAATACATTTTTGGTTAGTAACTCTTCTTTCCCTTTCAAATGATTTAAAAAAATAACTACATAATTGTAAATATATGTCAATGCACACACAATGTATATATATATGTAATTTTTAATCAGAACAAGATGGGGGATGAGCCAATATATGAGCAAAGTTTTTGAATACTGTTAAAATTAATCAGAATTCTGTTATGAATTAAGATGTTAATTGTAATCCCTAGGGCAAATAATTTTTAAAAAAACAAAATATATATTAAAAGAGAAGGAAATCAAAATGGTACACCTCCAAGTATCCAATGCAAAAGAAGCAGTGGAGGGGGCAGGTGTGGTGGTTCATGCCTGTAATCCCAGCACTTTGGGAGGCTGAGGCGGGAGGATCACCTGAGGTTAGAAGTTCGAGACCAGCCTGGCCAACATGGTGAAACCCTGTCTCTACTAAAAGTACAAAAATTAGCCAGGCGTAGTGGCAGGCACCTGTAATCCCTCCTAACTTGGGAGGCTGAGGCAGGAGAATCACTTGAACCAGGGAGGCAGAGGTTGCAGTGAGTGGAGATCATGCCACTGCACTCCTGCATGGGCGACAGAGTGAGACCCCCTGTCTCAAAAAAAAAAAAAAAAAAAAAAAAGAAGCAGTGGAGGAACAGGGGCATGAAAAAAGTTAAGATATTTGGGAGTTGCTGCGGCTGCCGCATGACGTGGTGCAGCCGAAGCCTAAAGGCTAGAGCTGGAGCTGCCTTGCCAGTGGCCCAGAAGGTCCTCTCCCCGAGAATTCGTGTCCTGGAGCTTCATTAGCACAGCGGCCAGTGAGATGTTCCTGCCTCCCTCTTTCTTCCTCCGCTCTTTCTCTTCTCTCTTGTTCAGTTTGCCTGGAGCACGTAAGGAGAAAGCAGGGGGCTGCCCCAAACCGCTTCTGCTTCTGCTCATTGCAAGTGGCACTACCACCATGGGCCTCACCATCTCCTCCCTCTTCTCCTGCTTCTTTGGCAAGAAGTAAATGCACATTTTGCTATTTGGATTGGATGCTGCTGGCAAGATGACCATTCTGTATAAACTGAAGTTAGGGGAGATAGTCACCACCATTCCTACCACTGGTTTTAACGTGGAAACAGTAGAGTATAAGAACACTTGTTTCACAGTACGGGATGTTGGTGGTCAAGACAGAATTAGGCCTCTCTGGAAGCATTACTTCCAGAATACCCAGGGTCTTATTTTTGTGGTAGATAGCAATGATCGTGGAAGAATTCAGGAAGTAGCAGATGAGCTGCAGAAAATGCTTCTGGTAGATGACTTGAGAGATGCAGTACTGCTGCTTTTTGCAAACAAACAGGATTTGCCAAATGATATGGCCGTCAGTGAAATGACAGATAAACTAGGTCTTCAGTTTCTTCATAACAGAACATGGTATGTTCAAGCCACTTGTGCAACACAAGGAACTGGTCTGTATGAGGGACTTGACTGACTGTCAAATGAACTTTCAAAACGTTAAATGAAACCGGATGTCTAATCAAGGACTTGTTTGATAAAATTGGTCTAGGCTTCTTACAACAAAATTAGTTTGTATCTTGGTTATTATTAAACAGTATCTGGGACTGGTTTGGGTAGAATATTAAACTTATTTTGTTGCCAGTTATTGTTTACCAAGTATAATGTTGCTATTTAGCAATGTGCTTGGTTTTAAAGAAATCCTCCTTGGGAAAAAAGTATCCTCTTTTAATTTTACTTCCCATAAGCCTAAATGCCTGGACATAGCTATTGTGAAACCTTTAAATAAATCAATTTTGAGTGTTAAAAAAAGGGATATTTAGAAAACAAATAGAAAAATAACAGAAGTAAATACTTCTGCATAAATAATTATATTAAATCTAAATGAATTAAATTCTCCAAGTAAAAGGCAGAGACTGACAGAATGGATTTTTTTTTTAAAAACCAGGATCTAACTATATGATGTCTATATATAAGATATTCACTTTACAGTCAAAAAATAAAATAGGTTAAAAGTAAAAGTACGAAAAATGATATTTTATGTAAACAGTAACTAAAAGAGAGCTGGCCTGGCTATACTCATATCAGACAAAATAGACTTTAAGAAAAAATGTTTATAAGAAACAAAGAAAGACATTATGTAATACTAAAATACTCAATAAATTAAAAATATATAACAATTATAAACATCCATGCACATAACAACAAAGCTGCAACACATATGAGCAAAAACTAACAGAATTGAAGTGAGAAACATTAGTCCAACAATAATAGTTGGAGACTTTAACATTCCATTTCTCTTCTTTTCCTTTCTTTTCTTTTCTTTTCTTTTTTTTTTCCAGATAGAGTCTTTGTTGCCCAGACTGGATGGATCTTGGCTCACTGAAACCTCTTCTAGGCTCAAGTGATCCTCCCACCTCAGTCTCCCAAGTAGCTGGGACTACAGGTGCATACCACCATGCCTGGCTAATTTTTGTGTGTGTATTTTTTGTAGAGATGGGTTTTGCCATGTTACCCAGAATGGTCTCCAACTCCTAGGATCAAGCAATCCACCTGCCTTGGCCTCTGAAAGTACTGGGATTACAAGCATGAGCCACTGCACATAGCCAGCACCCCACTTTCTTGTTGTTGTTGTTGTTTTGTTTTGTTTTGTTTTTGTTTTTGTTTTTTTGAGATGCTTGCTTTGTCACCCAGGCTGGAGTACAGTGGCACATCTCGTCTCACTGCAACCTCTGCCTCTTGCGTCCCAACAATTCTTCTGCCTCAGCCCCCTGAGTATCTGGGACTATACGCATGAGTCAACACAACTGATTACTTTTTGTATTTTTAGTAGAGACGGGGTTTCACCATATTGGCCAGGCTCATCTTGAACTCCTGACCTCAAGTGATCCACCCACCTCAGCCTCCCAAAGTGCTGGGATTACAGGCATAAGCCACCGTGCCTGGCCAGCCCCCAAAATTTATATGTTGAAGTCTTAACCCTCAGTACCTCAGAATGTGACTGTATTTGGAGATAGTGTCTCTAAAGAAGTCATTAAGTTAAAATAAGATCATTAAGGTGGGCCCTAATCTAATATGACATGTGTCCTTATAAGAAGAAAAATATCTAGACACAGACAGTACAGAGGTGAAGACATACGGAGAAGATGGCTGTCTACAAGCCAAGGAGATAGGTCTCATAAGAAACCAATCCTAGGCTGAGCCCAGTGGCTCATACATGTAATCCCAGCACTTTGGGAAGTTGAGGCAGGGGAAGTGCTAAGGCTAGGAGTTCATGACCAGGCTGGGCTATAAATTAGACTCTGTCTCTACAAAAAAAGTTTAAAAATTAACTGGTCACAGGACACGTCCGTAGTCCCAACTACTTGGGAGACTGAGGTGGGAGGATCACTTGAGCCCAGCAGTTCAAGGATGCAGTGAGCCTTGATCGCAGCATTGTGCTCCAGCCTGAGTGACAGAAAGAGATGGAAGGAAGGAAGGAAGGGAGAGAGGGAGTCCCTGCACATGCTCTCTTGCCTGCTGCCACGTAAGATGTGCTGTTGCTCTTCCTTTGCCTTCCACCATGGTTGTGAGGCCTCCCCAGCCATGTGGAACTGTGAGTGCATTAAGCCTCTTTCCTTTATAAATTACCCAGTCTCAGGTATGTCTTTATTACCTGCATGAGAATAGGCTAATACAGTGTGGTACTGGCACAAGCATAGACACATAGATCAATGGAACAGAATTGACAGTCCAGAAATAAACCATATATCTGTGGTCAATTGATTTTTGACAAGGGCACCAAGACTATCTAATGGGGAAAAAATAGTCTTTTCAACAAATGGTGCTATGATAACTGTATATTCACATGCAAAAAATGAAGTTGAAGCTGGGTGCAGTGGCGCACACCTGTAATCCCAGCACTTTGGGAGGCTGAGGCAGGTGGATCATTTGAGGTCTGGAGTTCAAGACCAGCTCGGCCAACATGGTGAAACCCTGTCTCTACTAAAAATACAGAAATTAGCTGGGCATGGTGGTGCATGCCTATAATCCCAGCTACTGGGGAGGCTGAGACAGGAGAATTGCTTAGAGCCTGAGACACAGAGGTTGCGGTGAGCCGAGATTGTGCCACTGCACTCCAGTCTGAATGACAGAGTGAGACCCTGTCTCAAAAAAAAAGAATGAAGTTGGGCCAGGTGAGGTGGCTCATGCCTGTAAGCTCAGCACTTTGGGAGGCTGAGATGGAAGGATTGCTTGAGTCCAGGAATTTGAGAACAACCTTGGCAACATGGTAAGACTCCCCATCTCTATCAAAAAAAGTTTTTTAAAAAAGAATGAATGTGGACCCTTATCTCACACCATATATAAAAATTAACTCAAAATAGATCAAAGACCTACATATAAGAGTGAAAGCCAGCCGGGTGCGGTGGCTCAAGCCTGTAATCCCAGCACTTTGGGAGGCCGAGGTGGGCGGATCACGAGGTCAGGAGATCGAGACCATCCTGGCTAACACGGTGAAACCCCGTCTCTACTAAAAATACAAACAAAAAAAAAATTAGCCTGGCATGGTGGTGGGCACCTGTAGTCCCAGTTACTTGGGAGGCTGAGGCAGGAGAATGGCATGAACCCGGGAAGCGGAGCTTGCAGTGAGCCGAGATCATGCCACTGCACTCCAGCCTGGCCGACAGAGCGAGACTCTGTCTCAAAAAAATAAAAATAAAAATAAAAGAGTGAAAGCCAGGCTGGGCGTGGTGGCTCACGCCTGTAATCCTAGCACTTTGGGAGGCTGAGGCAGGTGGATCATGAGGTCAGGAGTTCAAGACCAGCTTGGCCAATATGGTGAAACCCCATCTCTACTAAAAATAAAAAAATTAGCCAGGTGTGGTGGCACATGCCTGGAATCTCAGCTACTTGAGAGGCTGAGGTAGGAGAATCGCTTGAACCTGGGAGGTGGAGGTTGTGGTGAGCCCAGATTGCACCACTGCACTCCAGCCTGGGCAACAGAGCGAGACTCCATCTCAAAAAAAATAAAATAAAAAAAAAGAGTGGAAGCCATAAAACTCTTGGAAGAAAACATGGAGGTAAATCTACAAGACCTTGGATTTGACAATGGATTATTTGGTACTAAAGTAAAAGTTCAAGCAACAAAAGAAACAATGGATACATTTAACTTCATCAAAGTTAAAAACTTTTGTGCATCATATCAAGAAAGTGAAAAGACAACCCAAAGAATAGGAGAAAACATCAACAAATCATATATTTGATAATGGCATAGTATCCATAATATATAAAGAATTTATACAACTCAACAGCAAAAAAACACATGAAAAGATGCTCAACACCATGAGTCATCAATGATGTACAAAATCAAAGCCACAGTGAGATTCCACTTAACACCCAGCAGGATGGCTGTAATTTTTGTAAAAAGGAAAATAAATGTTGGCAAGGATGCGAAATAATTAGAGCCCTCATGTATTGCTAGTGGAAATGTAAAATGGTACAGTCACTGTGGAAAACAGCTTGGCAGTTTCTGAAAAAGTTAAACATGGAATTACCATATGACCCAGCAATTCCATTCCTAGGTATACACCCAAAAGAACCGAAAACGGGTGCTCAAATAAAAACTTGTAAGAATAAGAACTGTTCATAGCAGCATTATTCATAATAGTCAAAAGGCAAGAAAAAACAAATGTCTATCAGCCAATGAATGGATGAAGAAAATGTAGTATATCCTTATACAACAGAGTATTAGTCATAAAAAGGAATGAAGTACTGATACATGTTACAACATGGATGAATCTTGAAGATATTAGGGGCTACATGAAAGAAGCCAGAAACAAAAGACCACATCTTGTATGATCCCATTTATATGAAATGTCCACAAGAGGCAAATCCACAGAGACAGAAGGTGGATTAATGGTGGCTCACATCTGTAATATCAGCATCTTGGGAGGTCAAGGCAGGAGGATCAGTTGAGCCCAGGAGTTACAGACCAGCCTGGGCAACAGAGTGAGATGCTGTTTATCAAAAAAAAAAAATTAGCCAGGCATGATGGTCCATGCCTGTGGTCCCAGCTACTCAGGAGTCTGAGGTGGGAAGATTGCTTGAGCCTGGGAGGTTGCCAAGGGCTGGGGAGAAGACAAATGGGAGTGAGTGTTAATGGGTACTGGGTTTCTGTTTAGGGTAAAGAAAATGTGCTGGAATTAGGCAGAGGTGATGATTGCTCAGCATTGTAAATATGCTGGAAGTCATTAAATTATACACTTTAAAATGGTTAAAATGGCAAATTTTATGTTATGTGAATGTTACATCCATAGTAAGATTTTTAAAATTTATTTTGTTTTTAGAGACAGAGTCTCACTCTGTCACCCAGGCTGAAGTGCACTGGCACAACCATGGCTCACTACAGTCTCGACTTCCCAGGCTCAAGCAATCTTCCAACCTCAGCCTCCTGAGTAGCTGGGACCACAGGCATCCACCACTATGCCTGATTAATTTTTTTTTTTTTTGAGAGACAGGGTCTCACTATGTTGCCCAGGCTGGTCTCTAACTCCTGGGCTCAAGTGATCCTCCTGCTTTGGCTTCCCAAAGTGCTGGGATTACAGATGTGAGCTGCTACACCCGGCCCAATAATGATAATTTTTAAAAGCCGCTGGCTCACCCTCATTCTGATGGCTAGTTGTCTGGAAGAATGCAGAAGGGAAGGAGATGGTTTCACCCTTGGGAGACACCACCAATCCAAGGCTCTTCAGAAACAGTGGGGCCCTGGAAAGGTTAGCAGTGGGGAGGTGGAAAGAGGTTAAAACACAGAGAGAACAACCAGCGGAAAAGAATGTGTCACCTACAAAAGAATGGCAATAGAGCCGGGCGTGGTGGCTCACGCCTGTAATCCCAGCACTTTGGGAGGCCGAGGTCGGGGGATCACGAGTTCAGGAGATTGAGACCATCCTGGCTAACATGGTGAAACCCCGTCTCTACTAAAAATACAAAAAATTAGCTGGGCATGATGGTGGGTGCCCGTAGTCCCAGCTACTCAGGAGGCTGAGGCAGGTGAATGGTGTGAACCCAGGAGGCAGAGCTTGCAGTGAGCCAGGATTGTGCCACTGCACTCCAGCCTGGGCGACAGAGTGAGGCTCCGTCTCAAAAAAAAAAAAAAAAAAAAAAAAAGGCAATAGAATAGCAGCAAGGCTGTCCATAGCAGAAAAGGAAGCCAGAGAGAAAATAACTGTCTACCTAGAATCCTCTAAATAGTGACACTATTGTTCATGAGGAAGGGCAAAATAAAGACTTTTTCTCAAACTGCCATGAGAGCCCTTGGCAGAAACTGTCCTCACTCTGAGGCCCACTTGAATTGACACTTCAATAAACAGATGTTGAACCCTGAGAAGGAATCATGAGTGAGGAAATCAGAAGACGTGTGGGTAATTGCAGATGAGCTTGGACTGCAGATA
Organism: Homo sapiens; assembly: GCF_000001405.40. Lineage (NCBI taxonomy): Eukaryota > Metazoa > Chordata > Mammalia > Primates > Hominidae > Homo > Homo sapiens. The sequence continues at coordinate 134,085,373 of NC_000009.12, forward strand.
CCATATATGGTAGGTAGAGACTTCAGGTTGACCCCAAATGCCCATGCACCCCCTTTCTCAGTCATCGAGTCCCCGATTTCTACTGGATGTGAGGCCTGCCCAGATAAAGACTACCTTTTCCAGCCTCCCTTGCAGCTGGGAGTGGCCAATAGGGTAAGAGTAGATTTGGTGTTTGTATCTCTGGGAATGATCCATCCTTCTCTCCTCCCCTAATACTGCTGGAATGGGGCCAGAGGGCCATGCTATAGCTTGAAAGTGTCCCCTAAAAGTTCACATGCTGGAAACTTGTAACAGTATTAAGTGGTGGGGCCTCTAGGAGGTGATTAGTTTCCACCCTCTTGAATGGATTAATGCCAATATCACTGGAATGGGTTTGTTTTCACAAGAGTGGGCTCCTGATAAAAGGATAAGTTTGGCCCCCAATTTCTCTCTGTCTTGTGTACTTGACTTGCCCTTCCACCATGGTATAAATGCAGCAAGAAGGCCCTTACCAGGTGCCTGTGCCGTGCTGTTGGACTTCGCAGCCTCTGGAACCATGAGCCAAATACATTTCTGTTCCTTAAAATTATTCAGTTTGTGATATGCTGTTATACAGCAGAAAACAGACTAATGCAGGCCATTATCTTGAACATGATGCTATTGCTCCTCTGTCTTTAGAAGAGGAGAAACCCCTGCCCAACTGGTCCTGGCTCCTTCCCCATGGGCTTGCTTGCTTTTCTTTCTCTCTCTCTTTCTTTCTTTCTTTTTTTTAGGGTCCTTCTCTGTCACCCAGCTTGGAGTGCAGTGGTGTGATTATGGCTCACTGCAGCCTCACCCTCCCAGGCTCCAGCAATCTTCCTGCTTCAGCCCCCCAAATAGCTGGGACTACAGGCACATGCCACCACACCATCTCTTTAAAGCAAATCCCCATCTGTTTTTTTTTTGTTTTTTTGTTTTTTTTGGGTTTTTTTTTTTGAGACGGAGTCTCGCTCTGTCGCCCAGGCTGGAGTGCAGTGGTGCGATCTCGGCTCACTGCAAGCTCCGCCTCCTGGGTTCACGCCATTCTCCTGCATCAGCCTCATAAGTAGCTGGGACTACAGGCTCCCACCACTACGCCCGGCTAATTTTTTGTATTTTTAGTAAAAATGGGGTTTCACCGTGTTAGCCAGGATGGTCTCAATCTCCTGACCTTGTGATCCACCCGCCTCGGCCTCCCAAAGTGCTGGGATTACAGATATGAGCCACCGCACCCGGCCACAAATCCCCATCTCTTAAAAAAAAAAACAAATCCACAAAGTTCCAAAGAACAAACCTTGAATTTGTGCACTGAGTACTACATTGAATCCACACAAGTAAAGTGATGTTATAGGCATTGTACTAGCTATTTTAAGTAATCTAGAAATGATTTAAAGTATATTTAAACCAGATGGTGGGGCAAAGTGGCTCATGTCTGTAACCCCAGCACTTTGGGAGGCCCAGGCAGGAGGATCGCTTGAGTCCAGGAGTTTGAGGCCAGCCTGGCCAACATGGAGAGACCCTGTCTCTACAAAAAAATGAACAAAATTAGCTGGGCATGGTGGCACATGCCTGTGGTCCCAGCTACTCAGAAGGCTGAGAAGGGAGGATTGCTCGAGCCCAGGAGGTTGAGGCTGCAGTGAGCCAAGTTTGCGCCACTGCACTCCAGCCTGGGCAACACAGCAAGAACCCATCTCAAAATGTTTTAAAAAGTATCTGGCCGGGCGTGGTGGCTCACACCTGTAACCCCAGAATGTTGGGAAGCCGAGGCGGGCAGTTCACCTGAGGTCAGGAGTTTGAGACCAGCCTGACCAACACGGAGAAACTCCGTCTCTACTGAAAATACAAAATTAGCCAGGCATGGTGGCACATGCCTGTTATCCCAGCTACTCAGGAGGCTGAGGCAGGAGAATCGCTTGAACCCGGGAGGCAGAGGTTGTGGTGAGTTGAGATCGTGCCATTGCACTCCAGCCTGGGCAACAAGAGCGAAACCCCGTCTCAAAAAAAAAAAAATAGTATATGGAAGGATGTGCACAGGCTCTGTGCAAAGAGTATGCTACTTGACATCAGGGACTGCAGCCTCTGCATATTTTGGTACCCACAGGGTCCTTGAACCAGTCCTCTGCAGGTGCTGAGGGCCAGCTGCCCATGCAGCTGTGAAGGGCATGAGTGTTGGTGTCCGACAGATTGGGGCTTGAGTTCTAACTCTGCCCCTTGTTGTGTGACCTTCAGCAAGTTACTTCACCTCTGTGGGCCTCAGTTTCCTCCTGTGTGAAGTGGAGATTATAATGGAACTCACAGTATAGGAATTCCAGGGGATAAGGAGATAGTGTCTATGTGGCGAGGTGGAGCAGCACAGCCAGGGCCGCCCAGGTCACAGTGCTGAGAGGCGAGCAGAGGCACGGGAGGACCGTGGGCATCAGGCCTGATGGCCCAGGGAGTCCCGGCAGTGGCAGTGTGTGAAGGACAGACCCCTGGGGCTCACTGCCTTGGGTATGAGCCCCCTGACCTCAAAGGCCCCATTAGGAGCTAGTGTCACCCTTGACTTCCCCCAGCCCCACTCCCCACATCCAGTTGGCCACCCTGTCCTGTGGTTTCTACCTCCTAAATATCCCTCCAATGTGTCCACTCCCTCTTTTCCTGTGTACCTGCAGTGGCCTCTGAGCTTCCACAGAGTAGCTGGAGGGGACATGTCCTTGCTGCTGACAGTGTACCACAGCTGCACAATGTCCCCAGCCTGGCCTGCAGTTCACGCATGCTCCTGTCTGCCCACTGGCCTGCCCACCCTGTCTGGGCTGCTCTGGCCCCTCCCAGATCCTCAGACTTGCCAAGCTCCGTCCTGCCACAGGGCTCTGGTGTAGCCTGTTCTCTCTGCTTGGAACATGCTCTTCTCTTCTGCCCTGCTCCTCCTGGCTTCTGCTGCTCAATCTCCCTGGCTCCCTTCAGGGAAGCCTGCCCTGGCAACACCCCACCCTTTTGAGCTCTTACATGCGCAGCCACACCCTGCCCATGGCAGGACTCACCCCACTGTGTATGTGTGGTCACAGGCACGAGGCTTTGACCGCATCTCATTTGCCTTGGCCCCGGGGCTGCAGCTCTGTAGCTATCTCAGCCCCCTGTGTGTCCCCACTGCTTGGCACCGATGATGAGCTCAACACAAGAGGCTTCATGCACGGCCCTTGCCAGGCAGCGAAGGGGAGCGTGAGGAGCAGGTGAGGTCACTGGACTGGCACACGGGCTCATTTTAGGAGACTCTTGAAGCTCTTCAAATCGGTACTTTAAATCTAGGCCAAATTGTACATCAATACCTTCTGTTAAGAAGGGAAGGATAGACCGGGTGCGGTGGCTCACACCTGTAATCCCAGCACTTTGGGAGGCTGAGGCAGGCGGATCACGAGGTCAGGAGATCGAGACCATCCTGGCTAACACGATGAAACCCCGTCTCTACTAAAAATACAAAAAATTAGCCAAGCATGGTGACAGGTGACTGTAGTCCCAGCTACTCGGGAGGCTGAGGCAGGAGAATGGTGTGAACCTGGAAGGCTGAGCTTGCAGTGAGCCGAGATTGCGCCACTGTACTCCAGCCTGGGCGACAGAGTGAGACTCCGTCTCAAAAAAAAAAAAAGAAGGGAAAGATGGCCCGGCCAGGCATAATGGCTCATGCCTGTCATCCCAGCACTTTGCGAGGCTGAGGTGGGCAGATCACAAGGTCAGGAGATCGAGACCATCTTGGCTAACATGGTGAAACCCCGTCTCTACTAAAAATACAAAAAATTATCTGGGTGCGGTGGCGGGCGCCTGTAGTCCCAGCTACTTGGGAGGCTGAGGCAGGAAAATGGCGTGAACCCGGGAGGTGGAGCTTGCAGTGAGCCGAGATGGCGCCACTGCACTCTAGGCTGGGCGACAGAGTGAGACTCCATCTAAAAAATGAAATAAAATAAAATAAGAAGAAGAAGGGAAAGATGGCTGGGCGCCGTGCTCACACCTGTAATCCCAGCACTTTGGGAGGCCAAGACAGGCGGATCACAAGGTCAGGAGTTCGAGACTAGCCTGGCCAACATGGTGACACCCGTCTCTATCAAAAATAAAAAAATTAGCTGGGCGTGGTGGTTGGTGCCTGTAGTTCCAGCTATTCGGGAGGCTGAGGCAGGAGAATCGCTTGAACCTGGGAGGCAGAGGTTGCAGTGAGCCAAGATCGTGTCACTGCACTCTAGCCTGGGCGACAAGAGCGAGACTCCATCTCAAAATAAATAAATAAATAAATAAATTTTAAGAAATAAAAGAAGGGAAAGACATTGTTGCTCATGTCCTTGCACTCCCGTGGGGCGTGTCTGCATTTTTGGGGATGGGGAGAGTCATGCTGACGTGAAGGTTTTCTGAAATAAGTCGGGGAATGCGAATGAGACTGTGTGTGTGTGTGTGTGTGTGTGTGTGTGTGTGTGTGTGAGAGAGAGAGAGAGAGAGAGAGAGAGGCAGACAGAGAGAGAGAGAGGCATGAAGATCCTGTCTTCCTAAGAGGCTTCGGACAGAACAGGAAGTAGGTGTCAGGAGACAGAAGGTGAAAGAGGAGGCGGGGTCCTGCCAGCTGCCTCTCGTTCCTGGGGCGTCTGTTCCTATTCCTCTTTGCGTGCTCTCACCTGCAAATGGGGCACAGCGCATCCAGAACCAGACAGCCCTTCTCTGCTCCAGCCCTGGACTACCTTGGATTCAACATTGTGGCTGCTGTCCCTGTCCCACCTTATGTGAGGAAACCACAGGTTAGAAGAGACATGTATGGGTAGGTGTCAGAGCCTGGACTGGACACAGTCTAGTGCCAATGCCCGGGGGCATAACCACTCGGCTCCCTGGCCTTGTGCCCACATGTACAAGGTTGTGCATACACCAGGGTGTCCACAGAGGCCAGGAAGTGGCAGGTTAAGAAGGGGGTCAGAAAGTGGAGACTGTACACAATCATGATGACCCCTAGAGCTTTGCCAGGCTGAGGTGACATTGCAGAAGGAGTTGCAGCCCTCCTTGTCTTCCTAGGTGCCCAGACTTTTTGGGCCCCACTTGTGCCCAAGGCCGTTCAGGGTAGTGACACCAGCTGTAGCCGACAAAGAAAGGAGGATGGATGCCTGCCCGAGAGTGTCACTAGGCCGTGATGAGCCAAGGCCCCAAAAGACACCCTCCTGGCCAAAGATCATGTTTCTACTCACTTTTTAAAAACGTTTTATTTTAGAATGATTTTTCTTTTTTTGAGATGGAGTCTCGCTTTGTTGCCCAGGCTGGAGTGCAGTGGCACGATCTCAGCTCACTGCAAGCTCAGCCTCCCGGGTTCACGCCATTCTCCTGCCTCAGCCTCCTGAGTATCTGGGACTACAGGCACCTGCCAATAAGCCCAGCTAATTTTTTGTATTTTTAGTAGAGACGGGGTTTCACCATGTTAGCCAGGATGGTCTCGATCTCCTGACCTCATGATCTGCCCACCTCAGCCTCCTAAAGTGCTGGGATTACAGGCGTGAGCCACCATGCCCAGCTAGAATGATTTTACATTTGTAGAAAAGTTACAAAGACAGTACAGAAAGTTCCTACAGACCGCCCCCCCAACCCAGTTCCCCCATTGTTAACTTCTTACATCACCAAGGCACACTTGTCATAACGAAGAAACCAATGCTGGAGCAGGAAGTGTGATGCTTCCAGCTTTATTTTTAATTTCTCAAGGTTGCTTTGGCTATTCAGAGACTATCGTGGCTCCCTGTGAATTTTAGAATTGTTTTTCTCTATTTCTGTGAAAACTGCCATTGGAATTTTGATAGGGATTGTGTCGAATCTGTAGATCATTTTGGGTAGTATTGGGCATTTTAATAATATTAATTCTTCCAATCCATGAACATAGGCTATCTTTCCATTCATTCATGTCTTCAATTTTTTCATCACCTTTTTTTTTTTTTTTTTTTTGAGATGCAGTTTCACTCTTGTTGCCCAGGCTGGAGTGCAGTAGTAGGATCTCAGCTCACTGCAACCTCTGCCTCCTGGGTTCAAACAATTCTCCTGCCTCAGTCTCCCCAGTAGCTGGGATTACAGGTGTCTGCCACCACACCCAGCTAATTTTTTGTATTTTCAGTAGAGATAGGGTTTCACCATGTTGGCCAGGCTGGTCTCAAACTCCTGACCTCAGGTGATCTGCCCACCTCAGCCTCCCAAAGTGCTGGGATTACAGGTGTTAGGCACTGTGCCCTGCCTCATCAATGTTTTACAGTTTTCAGTATACAGGTCTTTCATCTTCTTGGTTAAATTGATTCCTAAGTACTTTATTATTTTGGATGCCTTTGTAAATGGCATTGTTTTCTTGCTTTCCTTTCCAGCTGTCCTGTTATTGATATAAAGAAATATAACTGATTTTTTTTTTAAGAGAGAGAGACAGGGTCTTGCTGTGTAGCCCAACTTGGTCTGAAACTCTTGGCCTCAAGCAATCCTCCTGCCTCAGCCTCCCAAAGTGCTGGGATTACAGGTGTGAGCCACTGTGCCCAGCCAGAACTGATTTTTATATGTTGATTTTGTATCCTGTGAGTTTGTTTGTTAGTTCAACTAACAATTGTTTTGTGGAGTCTTCAGGGTTTTCTACAAATAGAATCATGTCATAGCAAACAGAGATAATTTTACTTCTTCCTTTCCAATTGGGATTGCTTTTATTTATTTTTTCTTGTCTGATTCCTCTTGCTATTACTTCCAGTGCTACGTTGAATAGAAGAGACAAGAGTGAGCATACTGTCTTGTTCCTGACTTTAAAGGAAAAGCTTTCAGTTTAGCTGAAAGTTAGCTGTTTTGGTTTAACTGTTGGCTTTTCATAAATGGCCTTTATTATATTGAGGGAATTTCCTTGTATATCTAAACTGTTGAAAGTTTTTATCAAGAAAGGATGTTGAGGCTTGGTGTGGTGGCTCATGCCTGTAATCTCAGCACTTTCGGAGGCCAAGGCAGGTGGATGCCTTGAGCCCAGGAGCTCAAGACCAGCGTGGGCAACATGGTGAAACCCCATCTCTACAGAAAATACAAAAATTAGCCAGGCGTGGTGACACACGCCTGTAGTTGAAGGGGTGGGTTGCCCCTCCACACCTGTGGGTGTTTCTCGTTAGGTGGAACGAGAGACTTGGAAAAGAAAAAGACACAGAGACAAAGTATAGAGAAAGAAATAAGGGGGCCCGGGGAACCAGCGTTCAGCATATGGAGGATCCCGCCAGCCTCTGAGTTCCCTTAGTATTTATTGATCATTCGTGGGTGTTTCTCCGAGAGGGGGATGTGTCAGGGTCACAAGACAATAGTGGGGAGAGGGTCAGCAGACAAACACGTGAACAAAGATCTTTGCATCATAGACAAGGTAAAGGATTAAGTGCTGTGCTTTTAGATATGCATACACATAAACATCTCAATGCTTTACAAAGCAGTATTGCTGCCCGCATGTCCCACCTCCAGCCCTAAGGCGGTTTTTCCCTATCTCAGTAGATGGAACGTACAATCGGGTTTTATACCGAGACATTCCATTGCCCAGGGACGGGCAGGAGACAGATGCCTTCCTCTTGTCTCAACTGCAAGAGGCATTCCTTCCTCTTTTACTAATCCTCCTCAGCACAGACCCTTTACGGGTGTCGGGCTGGGGGACGGTCAGGTCTTTCCCTTCCCACGAGGCCATATTTCAGACTATCACATGGGGAGAAACCTTGGACAATACCTGGCTTTCCTAGGCAGAGGTCCCTGCGGCCTTCCGCAGTTTTTGTGTCCCTGGGTACTTGAGATTAGGGAGTGGTGATGACTCTTAAGGAGCATGCTGCCTTCAAGCATCTGTTTAACAAAGCACATCTTGCACCGCCCTTAATCCATTTAACCCTGAGTTTGACACAGCACATGTTTCAGAGAGCACGGGGTTGGGGGTAAGGTTATAGATTAACAGCATCCCAAGGCAGAAGAATTTTTCTTAGTACAGAACAAAATGGAGTCTCCTATGTCTACTTCTTTCTATACAGACACAGTAACAATCTGATCTCTCTTGCTTTTCCCCGCAGCAGTCTCTGCTACTCGAGAGGCTGAGGCGGGAAGACTGCTTTAGCCTGGGACACAGAGGCTGCAGCGAGCCATGATTGTGCCATAGCACTCCAGCCTGGGTGACAGAGTGGCCCTGTCTAAAAAATATATATACATATGTTATATATATATAGAGAGAATATATATATAGTATATATATACTATACTGTATATATAAATACTGCAGTGTATTTACTATATACTATATACTATTATTTACTATATACCATATATACTATATACACTATAGTGTATTTACTATATATTGTATAGTAAAGCTATAGTGAACAAAGTGGGATGGTACTAGCATAAAAACAGACATATAGACCAGTGGAAAGTCAGCCCAGAAATAAACCCAAGCAGATACAGTCAACTAATTTTCAATAAGAGTGCCAAGAGGACTGTATTAGTCTGTTCATACACAGCTATCATGTGCAAGAACCTGAGACTGGGTAATTTCTAAAGAGGTGTAATCGGCTCACTGTTCTGCAGGCTGTACAGGCTTCTGCTTCTGGGAATACCTCAGGAAACTTACAATCGTGGCTGAAGGTGAAGGAGAAGCAGTCACGTTTACCTGGCAGGAGCAGGAAGAGAGAGTGAAGGGCGACGCACTACACACTTTCAAACAACCAGATCTTGTAAGAACTCTATCACAAGACAGCAAAATGGGAGGATGGTGCTCAACCATTAGAAACACCCCCGTGATCCAATCACCTCCCACCAGGCCCCACCTCCAACACCGGGGATTATAATTTAACATGGGATTTGGGTGGGGACACAGAGCCAAGCCATATGAGGGACACAATGGGGAAGTATAGTCTCCTCAATAAATGATGTTGGGAAGACTGGATATCCATGCGCAAGAGAATGCAATTAAACCCTTATCTTACACCATACAAAAAATCAAGTCAAAGTGAATTAAAGACCTAAATGTAAGACCTGAAACCATAAATCCCCTAGAAGAAGACAGGGGGAAGGCCCCTTGACATTGGCTTTGGCAATGATTTTTTAGATATCACACCAAAAGCTCAGGCAACAAAAGCATTGAATAAACAAATAGGACTACGTAAAACTAAAAAGCTTCTCACAGCAAAGGTGACAATGGACAAAATGAAAAGGCAGCCAATGGAATGGGAAAAAAATATTTGCAAACCATGCACCTGATAAGGGATTAATATCCAAAATATATAAGGAACTTATATAACTCAATAGCAAAAAATCCCACAAATATCCCAGTTAAAAATGGGCAAAGAACCTGCATAGACAGTTTTCAAAGAAGACAAAAATTGCCAATGGATGTTTAATTGTGACATTTAACAGATATCCTTGCAGTTTAAGATGATACTTTAAAAATGAATTATCTCCTAATGATTACTTGAGCCCTGCCAATCAATGGGAGAATCAGCAGAACCGGTAAGATCTTATTTGGAATTGACATTTTCTATTGTAATTTTCTTCCTGTTTATTTTAAAAATTTCCTTCTGTTTCACTGGAAAGGACAGGTGATACTCAGTTGGTTTTTTTTTTTTCGAGACGGAGTCTCGCACTGTCGCCCAGGCTGGAGTGCAGTGGCACGACCTCGGCTCACTGTTCACGCTATTGTCCTGCCTCAGCCTCCCGAGTAGCTGGGACTACAGGCGCCTGCCACCATGCCTGGCTAAATTTTTTTGTATTTTTAGTAGAGACGGGGTTTCACCACGTTAGCCAGGATGGTCTCGATCTCCTGACCTCGTGATCCGCCCGCCTTGGCCTCCCAAAGTGCTGGGATTACAGGCGTGAGCCACAGCGCCCGGCCAATGCTCAGTTTTAAATGTGCAGTGGTGTACACCTGTAATCCCAGTTACTTGGGAGACTGAGGGGGCCAGGAATTCAAGACTGGTTTGGGCAATATAGCAAGACCTTGCCTCTAAAAAAATTATTGTAAAGGCTGGGCATGGTGGCTCACACCTGTTATCCCTGCACTTTGGGAAGCCAAGGCAGGAGGATTGCTTGAGTCTAGGAGTTTGAGACCAGCCTGGGCAACATAGTGAGACCCCATCTCTGCAAAAAATAAATGTAAAAAACTAACCAGGTATGGTGGTATGTGCCTGTAGTCCCAGCTACTCAGGAGGCTGAGGTTGGGAGGTTCACTTGAGCCCAGGAGCTCAAGGCTGCAGTAAGCAATGATTGTGCCACTGCACTCCAGCCTTGGTGACAAAGCGAGACCCAATATCTAAATTAAAAAGGAAAATGTGTACAAGTTGCTTTGTTACAATAAGACTAAAGGTGTACACACACACACAATGGCCAACTGGTCTATGAAAAGGTGCCCAACATCACCAATGATGACAGAAATGCAGAAATGCAAACGCCAGGGTCTGAATGTTTGTGTTTCCCCAAAATTCATAGGTTGAAACCCAATCCCCAAGACGATGGCATTAAGAAGTGGGGCCGGCTGGGTGCAGTGGCTCACGCCTGTATTCCCAGCACTTTGGGAGGCCAAGGTGGGCAGGTCACGAAGTCAGGAGTTCGAGACCAGCCTGGCCAATATGCTGAAACCCCATCTCTACTAAAAATACAAAAATTAGCCAAGCGTGGTGGTGCGCCCCTGTAATCCCAGCTGCCTGTGAGGCTGAAGAAGAAGAATTGCGTGAGCCTGGGAGGTGGAGGTTGCAGTGAGCCAAGATCGTGCCATCGCAATCCAGCCTGGGTGACAGAGAGAGAGTCCATCCATACAAAAAAAAAAGTAGGGCCTTTGGGGGTGATCAGATCGTAAGGACTCTGCCCTCTTAAAGGGGATTAATGCCCTTGTAAGAGAGGCATGAGAGAGCTTGTTCACCCCTTTCACCATGTGAGAGCACAAAGAAGGTGCCATCTGAGGAATGGACACTTAGCAGATCCTCAGTTAGCTGGTGCCTTGATCTTGGACTACCCAGCCTCCAGAACTGTGAGCAATCAGTTTCTGTTGTTTATAAAGTACCCAGTCTAAGATATTTTGTAATAGCAGTGCGAACTGACCATGGCAGCAAATTAAAACCACAATGAGATATCACTTCACACGTTAGGATGGCTGTAACCAAAAGACAAGGGATAAATGTGAGCAAGGCTGTGGTGAAAGGTACATTTGTACACTGTTGATGGGTATGTAGATCGGTACCATCATTATGGAAAACAGTATGGAGGCCCTTCAAAAAACTAAAGGTAGAACCACCATATGATCCAGCAATCTCTCTTCTGGGAATATAGCCAAAGGAGATGAAATATAAGCACTTCATAGAGATACCCGCACTCCCATGTTCAATGCGGCACTATTCGCAATAGCCAAGGCATGGAATCCACCTAAGTGTCCACTGACAGAGGCCTAGATAAGGAAACTGTGGTCTACACATGCAATGGAATATTTCCAGCTCTTCAAAAGGAGATTCTGGCTGGGCACGGTGGCTCACACCTGTAATCCCAGCACTTTGGGAAGCCAAGGCGGGCAGATCACCTGAGGCCAGGAGTTCAAGACCAGCCTGGCCAACATGGAGAAACCCTGTCTCCACTAAAAATACAAAAAATTAGCCAGGCGTGGTTGCGGATGCCTGTAATCCCACCTACTCAGGAGGCTGAGGCAGGAGAATCGCTTGAATCCAGGAGGCAGAGGCTGCAGTGAGCCAAGATCATGCCATTGCACTCTAGCCTGGGCAACAAGAGTGAAACTCTGACTCAAAAAAAAAGGAGATCCTGCCTATGCGACAACATAGATGAACCTGAAGACATTATGCTAAATGAAATAAGCCAAACATAGAAGGAAAAGTACTGCATGATCTCATGTATATATGAAATTTTTTTTTGCGGGTGGGGGTGGGGATGGAGCCTCACTCTGTTGCCCAGGTTGGAGTGCAGTGCAGTGGTGGTATCTTTGCTCACTGCAACCTCCACCTCCCTTCCTGGGTTCAAGTGACTCTCCTGCCTCAGCCTCTTGAGTAGCTGGGATTACAGGTGCGTGCCACCACGCCTGGCTAATTTTTGTATTTTACTAGAGACAGTGTTTCACCACGTTGGCCAGCCTGGTCTTGAACTCCTGACCTCAAGTGATCCACCCGCCTCGGCCTTCCGAAGTGTTGGGATTACAGGCATGAGCCACAGCACCTGGCCAAAATATTTTTTAAAAGTGTCAAATACGGCCGGGCACGGTGGTTCACGCCTGTAATCCCAGCATTTTGGGAGGCCGAGGCAGGCGGATCACGAGATCAGGAGATCAAGACCATCCTGGCTAACAGGTGAAACGGCATCTCCACTAAAAATTCAAAAAAAAAAATTAGCTGGGCATGGTGGCGGGAGCCTGTAGTCCCAGCTACTCGGGAGGCTGAGGCAGGAGGATGGGGTGAACCTGGGAGGCAGTGGTTGCAGTGAGCCGAGATCGAGCCACTGCACTCTAGACTGGGCAACAGAGCGAGACTCCATCTCAAAAAAAAAAAAAAAAGGTGTCAAATACATAGAAACAGTAGAACAGTGGTTACAGGGGCTTGCAGGTGGTGGAGATTGAGATGGAGGCCAAAGGGTACAAAGTTAAAGTTACACAGGATGAATGAGTCTAAAGATCTAAAGTCCAGCGTGAGGACTATAGTCATCAATAATAATGTATTGTATACCGAAAACTTACTGAGAGTAGATTTTAGGGGCTCTCAGCACGCACACAGAGGGGGCAACTATGTGAGACGATGGACATGCTCATTTGTTTGACTGTTGTAAGCATTTCACAACGTTACATGGTGCACATTATTATTATGATTACAAACAGGGTCGCACTTTGTTACCCAGACTGGAGTGCAGCGGTGCCATTATAGCTCACTGTAGCCTCAAACTCCTGGGCTCAAGAAATCCTCCCGTCTCAGCTTCCCAAAGCTCTAAGATTACAGATGTAAGTCACTGTGCCCAGCCTGCGCTTTAAATAGTCTATATTTAAGTATTAATTATGGCCGGGTGCGGTGGCTCACGCCTGTAATCCCAACACTTTGGGAGGACATGGTGGGTGGATCGCTTGAGGTCAAGAGTTTGAGACCAGCTTGGTCAACATGGCGAAACCCCCATCTCTACTAAAAATACAAAATTAGTCGGGCATGGTGGCACATGCCTATAATCCCAGCTACTCGGGTGGCTGAGGCAGGAGAATCACTTGAACCTGGGAGGCGGAGGTTACAGTGAGCTGAAATCATGCCATTGCATTCCAGCCTGGGTGACAAGAGCGAGACTCTGTCTCAAAAAAAACCCCCAAACTATTCCTTAAATAGTACATTAGGTATATATGAAATAGCATATATTTAATAATAATAAAGAAACTGACATGGATATATTGCTATTTTTTTTTCTAGACAGGGTCTCACTCTACCACCCAGGCTGGCATGCAGTGGTGCAATCAAAGCTCACTGCAGCCTTGAACTCCTGGCCTGAAGTGATCCTCCTGCCTCAGCCTCCCAAAGTACTGGGATTACAGGAGTGCAGCACCACACTCGGCTGGTACATTGCTATTAATTAAACTCAGGTTACATTTGGATTTCACCAGTCTGCCTGCCAATGCCCTTTTTCTGTTCGGAATCCAACCTAGGGCACTGCTTTGCACTGAGGTGTGAGTTCCCTCCCATCTCTGACAGTTTATCAATCTTTTCTTGCTGTTTATGACCGAGACAGGTTTGAGAAGCACGGATGGGGTATTCTGCAGAATGCACCCCCATCTGGGGCTGTCTGAGGTTTGCTCCTGATCAGTCTAGAGAGAAGACCGTGAAGCCAAGTGCCTTCTGCTCACGTTCGTCACAGCAGGGACCCATGCAGCCCATGAGACCTCATCGCCCGGGGTCACGCCCACCAGGCACCTGCACTGTGACGTTGCTGTTCCCCTACTCGGTACTCTGTTCTTTGGGAGAGAGAAGAGAGGCACTAAGCACATTGCACTCTCACAGGGCAAAGGTTTTAGCTCCACCTCCTGGAGGGGGACAGTACTACATGTCACTTGGGATTCTTCCATTCTTCTCTAAGGAAGATCTGTCTCTCCACCATTTATTCAATCACTATGAACTGATGTATATTTATGTCATACTTTGGGTCATAATCCAATGCTACATTATTTATTTTGTTGTTCTAATCATCCCAGCTTTGGCCACTGGGTGCTCTTTCCAGGTTGGCCCTGTGTCCCTGTGACCTGCCCCGTCCTTTTGTTTCTTGAGCAATTCCCTACTTTCCGTCATTACTTAATGCTCCAGGCTTGAAACAAAAGATGTCACTCTGACCGTGCGCAATGGCTTACACCTATAATCCCAGCACTTTGGGAGGCAGAGGTGGATGGATCACTTGAGGCCCGGAGTTTGAGACCAGCCTGGCCAACATGGCAAAACCCTGTCTGTACTAAAAATACAAAGAATTAGCCAGGTGTTGGAGCACGTGCTTGTAATCCCAGGTACTCAGAAGGCTGAGGCACAAGATTCGCTTGAACCCAGGAGACAGGGGCTCCAGTGAGCCAAGATTGTGCCACTGCACTCCACACTCCAGCCCGGGAGGCAGAGTCACACTCTGTCTAAAAAAGAAAAAAAAAAGATACCAGCCTGACTCCCCAGCTGATTCATTTAGTCTTCTGGCAAGTCTCTGTTAAGCACCTGCTGCATACCCACTGCTGTAACAGTGCCAGGAACATAGTGTGCATAAAGCCTTCCTCCATCCATATCTTCAAACAACAGCCCATGAAGCCCGTGCTCTGTCCCCAGAGTTGTACCGGGCTTAGGGGATTCTGCAGAACATAGCAGATGAGACCTCTGCCCTTGCAGAACATGCACCTGAGTGGTGCAGAGAGACCTAAAGTCATAATGACAGCAGCAGCTGTGTGCGGTGAACCCTGCTGAGGCTACCAAGGGGGCTAGTGGGGAAAGCCTGGAGCCCTTTGTGACAGGCAGAAGTGGTAAGCCTGGGCTCTACCCTAAATCTTTGGAGCGAGCTGCTGCTGCAATCCTCCCAGTGACTGCGTGGCTCTAGATAAGGCACCTTTCCAGAACCTCCTCTCATTTCACAGGGGCCAGAATGGGACCAGGCCATCTATTTCCACATCATGTGGATGGAGAAACAGAGGCCGTGTTCAGGACCCCAGAGCCAGGGGGCCCTTGGCTAAGACCCTCTCCCCCTGGCCGGGTCCAGCATTCCAGACTGGAAATCAGAGAGGACAACATCCTAGATACAGGGACCAGCACTGACCAGGAGTTCACAGAAAGGCCATCCCTGCCCCTAGACACACTGTTATAT
Organism: Homo sapiens; assembly: GCF_000001405.40. Taxonomy (NCBI): domain Eukaryota; kingdom Metazoa; phylum Chordata; class Mammalia; order Primates; family Hominidae; genus Homo; species Homo sapiens. The sequence continues at coordinate 134,100,673 of NC_000009.12, forward strand.
GTAAATGCTTGTTCCCCGGTGCTGCAAAGAAATAGCACTTGAACATAAATTTAATCCTCTCAGCAAGGCCTTTTGTACTTTCTGCAGAAAGGGTGCTCATCGCAGATGGAATAATGGCGAGAGCACATCCGAACAAAGGAGGGAAGCAATTTTTATTCCTCACGCAGTTTGTCCCAGCTACTGCGTCCTGTCTCCATTGGCAGGAGCCAGACCGCACAATCTAAACTAAAACCTGATTGGCTAACAGTTTAAAACTTTTCGGCCAGGCGCGGTGGCTCACGCTTGTAATCCCAGCACTTTGGGAGGCCGAGGCGGGCGTATCACGAGGTCAGGAGATCGAGACCATCCTGGCTAACATGGTGAATCCCTGTCTCTACTAAAAATACAAAAAATTAGCCGGGTGTGGTGGCGGGTGCCTGTAGTCCCAGCTACTCAGGAGGCTGAGTCAGGAGAATGGCGTGAACTCGGGAAGCGGAGCTTGCACTGAGCCGAGATCGTGCCACTGCACTCCAGCCTGGGAGACAGCAAGACTCCATCTCAAAAAAAAAAAAAAAAGAAATTTTCTAAATAGGTAAAAGTAATGGAAGGATAAAGGAAAAGAGGAAGTTGCTTACGAAAGGACTTAGAAAAGTAATAACATTCCCAAATAAGGAAGGGGCATGGGCTGTGAGCTGGGACATGCCTGTGATCACGTCCAGCACAGATGTCTTGGTTAAAGTACAAGGACATAGAATATATTACATGCCTGTGAGCATGTCTAGCATAAAGCTAGTCTTTAAAAGAAACTATTATTTCTAACCCTTATGATTTATTTTTAACAAGAAGGGAAACTTTGAAGAGGAACTTTTACTTTCTACACACTTCATCCCAAATTTGACCCTGGCTCGTGTTTAGAGGGGGGCGGTCAGCACAACCTGCCTTGCGGTTTGACTTAAAGATGAAGCGGGAGTAGACCCGGTGTGGGGGCATCCCGGGCTCTGGTACACAGTAGGCGCTCAGTGGGTGTGCTCTGGCCTGGTGACGTCTCTGGACACTGAGGTGGAGGGACCCTGTACAGCAGTCTGTCATAGGGAATTGCCCAGGTACAGGATGGCAAAGCTGACAGATAGATGTACCAGTCTCCCTGCCTGCCAGGCAGCTCTCAGCCTGCAGACATCGCCAATCTCTAGCGCCTGAGCAGGGAGCAGGGACTGGTCAGCAAAGCCATGCGCAAGGAAGGCTGGTGATGTGTGCAAGGTGGGCAGGCAGCCAGGCCTCGGTGCCCGGGGAGGAAAGGCATACAGGGAGCCTGGGATTGGCATTGGGTAAGGTGCTGACACCCTGGAAATGAGTGGAGGATGGCAGAGCCTCAGACATTAGGAGTACTGCCTCCCTCTTCACCGAGCCAAGGAGATGGGGAAAGGAGGGGAAAGAGAGGAATGTATGCACTTCTTCATTGATAACTGGGGAAATGGAGGCAAAGGGGGCTGTGGGCGGGCCTCAGGACCTTTAGGAACCCCACCAGTCTGGCTTGGTTGGTAGCTGCATGTGTGCAGACAGCGTTAGTGCATACCACAAATGCACAGAGGGACAGGCTGAGTTGCATTCTCTCCCTCCTGTCCTGGAGTTGTAGCCAGGGCTCACATCCCTCGGTCCCCGGACTCCTTTCCCTCTAGGTTGCTTTCCCTCCCAGTTGCCCGCCTCTGGTATTTGTTGCTACTTACAGAATCTTTAGGACCAAAGGGCTGAGCGTGGGGCCAAGAATCTGGTGAGCAACAAGTCACTGGCTCTGCCCCTTCCACTTTTGACAGGGTGTACCCGGGGTGGGGAGACGGTGATCCTAGACCCGCTGTCACCTGTGGGGCTGTTCAGTGCATGAGGGTAAAGAACGAGTTGGTCCCACTGCTCATAGTTTATCCCTGCCACTTGGCACAGGGCATAGCACAAAGCAAGCCCTCGAGTAATGCTTGTTGGATACATGAATATACCACAGCCTAGGTCTGCATCTTGGAGAGAAGATTTTGGAATGTGCTAGATCCAACAATTCTCTGAGACAGGAAAACCCCTGACCATCAGCAGGATATTCTGACATTGGTTCTGACCCATCAGCAGGATATTCTGACGTTGGTTCTGACAGCTTCCTCTGGCCCTGCTAGGCAGCTGAGGGGAAGAGAGCAATGAAGACATCTTTTTTTTTTTTTTTTTGAGACAGAGTCTCGCTCTGTCGCCCAGGCTGGAGTGCAGTGGCCCAATCTCGGCTCACTGAAAGCTCCACCTCCCGGGTTCAGGCCATTCTCCTGCCTCAGCCTCCCAAGTAGCTGGGACTACAGGTGCCCGCCACCATGCCCGGCTAATCTTTTTTGTATTTTTTAGTAGAGACGGGGTTTCACCATGTTAGCCAGGATGGTCGCAATCTCCTGACCTCGTGATCCGCCTGCCTTGGCCTCCCAAAGTGCTGGGATTACAGGTGTGAGCCCCTGTGCCTGGCTGATGGAGACATTCTGAGTCCACACCAGAGGGGCTGGACTTGGATCCCAGTTCAGCACCACATCTCTCTGTCCCTCAGTTTCCTCTTCTTTCAAATGGCGATGATACCTTGTTGGAGGATTAAACAAGATCACGTGGATAAAACGTCACCACGGTGTCTATGTATATTACAACCAACGTTGAATCTGGGATCAGTCTCACCCAGACTGCATATTGGCCACCTAATGTCCTGTTGATCCATCCATCCACCATCCATCCATCCAGCATCCATCCATCCACCATCCATCCAGCATCCATTCATCCACCACCATCCATCCATCCATCCACCATCCATCCATCCACCATCCAGCATCCATCCATCCACCATCCATCCAGCATCCATCCATCTACCATCCATCCATCCAACATTCATCCAGCATCCATCCATTCACCATCCAACCATCCATTCACCATCCGTCCGTCCATCTATCCATCCATCCAGCATCCATCCACCACCATCCATCCATCCATCCAGCATCCATCCATCCAGCATCCATCCTTCCAGCATCCGTCCATTCATCCAGCATCCATCCATCCTTCCACCACCATCCATCCATCCTTCCAGCATCCATCTATCCATCCATTCGGCATCCATCCATCCATCCATCCATCCATCCATCCATCCATCCAACATCCATCCATCCATCCACCACCATTCATCTATCCATCCAGCATCCATCTATCCATCCATCAAGCATCCATCGAGCATCCATCCATCCATCCATCACCATCCATCCATCCATTCACCACCATCCATCCATCCATCCATCCATCCACCACTATCCATCCATCCATCCACCACTATCCATCCATCCATCCACCATCCATCCATCCACCATCCATCCATCCATCCACCACAATCCATCCATCCATCCATCCATCACCATCCATTCATCCATCCATCCACCATCCATCCATCCATCCATCCACCACCATCCATTCATCAATCCACCATCCATCCATCCATCCATCCACCACCATCCATCCATCCATCCACCACCATCCATCCATCCATCCATCCATCATCATCCATTCATCTATCCACCATCCATCCATCCATCCATCACTATCCATCCATCCACGCATCCATTCACCACCATCCATCCATCCATCCACATCCATCCATCCATCCATCCATCCATCCACACCATCCATCCATCCATCCACCACCATCCATCCATCCATCCACCACCATCCATCCAGCCATCCATCCACCTCCATCCATCCATCCATCCATCCATCCATCCACCATCCATCCACCATCCATCCATCCATCATCATCCATTCATCCATCCACCATCCATCCATCCATCCCTCCATCACTATCCATCCATCCACGCATCCATTCACCACCATCCATCCATCCATCCACATCCATTCATCCATCCATCCATCCATCCATCCATCCATCCATCCATCCACACCATCCATCCATCCATCCACCACCATCCATCCATCCATCCACCACCATCCATCCAGCCATCCATCCACCTCCATCCATACATCCATCCCTCCATCCATCCACCATCCATCCACCATCCATCCATCCATCTATCCACTCACCTAATGCCTCCAGCTTTGTCTTTTTTTTTTTTTTTTTTTTTTTTATGGAGTCTCACTCTGTCACCCAGGCTGGAGTGCAATGGTGCAATCTTGGCTCACTGTAACCTCTGCCTCCCAGGTTCAAGTGATTCTCCTGCCTCAGCCTCCTGAGTAGCTGGGACTACAGGTGCCCATCACCACGCCCAGCTAACTTTTTTGTATTTTTATTAGAGACAGGAATTTCACCATGTTGGCCAGGATGGTCTTGATCTCTTGACTTCGTGATCCACCCACCTCGGCCTCCCAAAGTGTGTGGATTACAGGCGTGGGCCACCGCACCCGGCCCACTCTCATCACTTTTATACAACATAAAACTGGAAGTCCTGGCCAGAGCAAGGAGGCAAGAGAACGAAATAAAAGGCACCCGAATTGGAAAGGAAGAAGTCAAATTAGCCTTATTTACAGATTACATGATCTTATACTTAGAAGAACCTAAAGACTCCACCAAAAAAACTGTTAGTACTGAGAAATCAATTTAGTAAAGTTGAGAAATCAATTTAGTAAAGTTGCAGGGTATAAAAATAACATACAAAACCCAGTAGCATTTATATATATCAACAGCAAACAATCTGAAAAAGAAATCAAGAAAGCAATCTCATTTACACCAGCTACAAAGAGCATATAATACCTTGAAGTAAATTAAACCAAAGAAGTGAAAGATCTCTACAAGGAAACTATAAAATGCGGATGAAAGAAATTGACAGACACACACAAAAATGGGAAGATATCACATGCTCATGGATTGGAAGAATTAATATTGTTAAAATGACAGTTCTACCCAGAGCAATGTACAGATTTAATGAAGTCCTTCAAATACCAATGACATTCTTCCCAGAAATAGAAAAAACAATTCTAAAATTCATATGAAACCATAGAAGATCCTGAATAGCCAAAGCAATGCTGAGCAAAGAGAACAAAGCTGGGCCGGGTGTGGTGGCTCACGCCTGTAATCCCAGCACTTTGGGAGGCCGAGGCAGGCAGAATACCTGAGGTCAGGAGTTTGAGACCAGCCTGGCCAACAGTAGAAACCCTGTCTCTACTAAAAATACAAAAATTAGCTGGGTGTGGTGACGCACACCTGTAATCCCAGCTACTCAGGAGGTTGAGGCGTGAGAATTGCTTGAACCTGGGAGGCGGAGGTTGCAGTGAGCCAAGATGACACTAATGCACTCCAGCCTGGGCGACACAGTGAGACTTCGTCTCAAAAAAAAAAAAAAAAAAAAAAGAACAAAGCTGGAGGCATCACACTACCTGGCTTCAAAACATACTACAAAGTGGCCGGGCACAGTGGCTCACGCCTGTAATCCCAGCACTTTGGGAGGCCGAGGTGGGTGGATCACCTGAGGTCAGGAGTTTGAGACCAACTTGGCCAACATGGCAAAAACCCGTCTCTACTAAAAATACCATAAAATTAGCTGGGTGTGGTGGTATGCACTTGTAATCCCAGCTACTACTGGGGAGGCTGAGGCAGGAGAATTGCTTGAATCCGGGAGGTAGAGGTTGCCATGAGCCGAGATTGCACCATTGCACTCCAACCTCAGCAAGAGAGCAAGACCCTGTCTCAAGAAAAAAATAATAAAACATACTACAAAGCTATAGTAACCAAAATAACAGGGTATTGGCATAAAAACAGGCATATAGACCAACAGAACAAAACAGACAACCCAGAAATAAATCCACACATTTACAGCCAAATCATTTTCAATAAAGGTTCCAAGAACATACAATGGGGAAAGGACAATCTCTTCAATAAATGGAGCTGAGAAAACTGGATAACCATATGCAAAAAAATGAAACTAGCCGGGTACAGTGGCTCACACCTGTAATCTCAGCACTTTGGGAGGCAGAGGCGGGCGGATCACCTGAGGTCAGGAGTTCAAGATCAGCCTGGGCAACACGGTGAAACCCCGTCTCTACTAAAAATTCAAAATTAGCCTGGCGTGGTGGCACATTCCTGTAATCCCAGCTGCTCAGGAGGCTGAGGCAGGAGAATCACTTGAACCTGGGAGGCGGAGGATGCAGTGAAAAAAAAAAGAAACTAGACCCCATCTCTCACCATATACAAAAATCAACTCTAGTAGATTAAAAACTTAAATGTGGCCGGGCGCGGTGGCTCACGCCTGTAATCCCAGCACGTTGGGAGGCCGAGGCGGGCGGATTGTGAGGTCAGGAGATCAAGACCATCCTGGTGAACATGGTGAAACCCTGTCTCTACTAAAAATACAAAAAAATTAGCCGGGCGTGGTGGCGGGCACCTGTAGTCCCAGCTACTGGGGAGGCTGAGGCAGGAGAATGGCGTGAACCCGAGAGGCGGAGCTTGCAGTGAGCCGAGATGGTGCCACTGCACTCCAGCCTGGGAGACAGAGCGAGACTCTGCCTCAAAAAATAAAAAAAAATAAAAATAAAAAGACTTAAACGTAAGACCGGAAACTAGGAAACTACTTGAAGAAAACATTGGGAAAATGCTTCCAGACATCAGTCTGGGCAAAGATTTTTTGGGTAAGACCTCAAAAGCATAGGCAACAAATGCTAAAATAGACAAATGGGACTACGACAAACTAGAAAGCTTGTCACAGCAAAGGAAATAACAACAGTAAAGAGGCAACCTACGGAATGGGAGAAAACATTTGCAAACTATCAATCAGACAAGGGATTATTAGCCAGAATATATAAGGAGCTCAAACAACTCAATAGAAAAAAAACACAAATTATTCAATTTTAAAATGGGCAAGGATCTGAATAGACATTTCTCTAAAAAAGACAAACAAATGGCCAACAGGCACATAAAAAAAAAATGCTCAATATCACTAATCATGGGAGAAATGCAAATAAAAACCACAATGAGATAGCATCTCACCCCAGTTAAAATGGATTTTACCAAAAAGACAAGGAAGAACAAATGCTGGCAAGGATGCAGAGAAAGGGGAACCCTCCTCGTACACTCTTGGTGGGTATGTAAACCTGCACAGCCACCACAGAAAACTGTATAAAGGTTCCTCAAAAAACTAAAAATGTACTACCATATGATCCCACAATCCCACTGCTGGGTATATATCCAAAAGAAAGGCAAATCAGCTCATCAAAGGGATATCTGTACTCTCATGTTTAGTGCAGCACTAGTCACAAGAGCCAAAATATGGAACCAACCTAAGTGCCCGTGAATGGATAAACAAATACAGAAAATGTGTATATAGGCCAGGCGCAGTGGCTCACACCTGTAATTCCAGCACTTTCCGAGGCAGGCGGATCACCTGAGGTCAGGAGTTTGAGACAAGCCCAGCCAACTTGGTGAAACCCCGTCTCTACTAAAAATACAAAAATTATCAGGGCATGATGGTGTGCACTTGTAATCCCAGCTACTACTAGGGAGGCTGAAGCAGGAGAATCGCTTAAACCCGGGAGGTGGAGGTTGCTGTGAGCCGAGATCGTGCCAGTGCACTCCAGCCTGGGCAACAGAGCGAGACTTCGTCTCAATTAAAAAAAAGAAAATGTGTATATATTACACAATGGAATATTATTCAGCCATAAAAAGAATGCAGTCCTATCGTTTGCAGCAATATGGATGAAACTGGAGTCCTTATGTTAGGTGAAGTAAGCCAAGCACAGAAAGACAAACATCCCGTGTTCTCCCTCCTATGTGGGAGCTACAAGGTGAGTCACATGAAGACAGACAGTAGATTGGTGGTTACCAGAAGCCAAGAAGGGTAGGGAGGAGGGGGATATAGAGAGGGGTTAATTAATGGATACAAATATACAGTTTGATAAGAAGAAATAAGACCCAGTGTTTGAGAGTTCGGCAGGGTGACTATCGTCTACAATCATCTATTGTATATTTCAAAATAGCTAAAAGAGAATAATTCAAATCTTTCTAGCATAAAATACAAATATTTAAGGTGATAGATATTTTAATTGCACTGATATGATCAATGTGGTCATATCATGATATGAATCAATATATGAATACATTAAATTCATATAATAAATTTATATCAACATGTGGATGTGTTACATTATCATACGGACACTGAAAATATGGACATCTATTATGCATTAAGAAACATAGCCCAGGCGTGGCGGCTCATACCTGTAATCTCAGCACTTTGGGAGGCCGAGACAGGTGGATCACCGAGGTCAAGAGTTTGAGACCAGCCTGGCCAACATGGTGAAACCCCGTCTCTACTAAAGATACAAAAAAGTTAGCTGGGCATGGTGACGGGTGCCTGTAGTCCCAGCTACTCAGGAGGCTGAGGCAGGAGAATTGCTTGAACCCGGGAGGCAGAGGTTGCAGTGAGCTGAGATCACACCACTGCACTCCAGCCTGAGTGACAGAGCTAGACTCAGTCTCAAATAAATAAATAAATAAGAAAAATAAATTTTAAGGAAGATGAACCAGCAACATTTTTGGAAGGCTACTTGGTGGTGTTTATCAAATTTAAATGACTTCTGGGAAGCTGGACTAGAGACACATTTCTCCCTATTTCTTCTGCTAAATACAACTTAAAAAACTGACCATTGTATGTAGAACAAACACAAGAAGACTCTGACAGGCGGAGAGAAGACAGCTAGCCTCACAGAGTAATAACGAAAATGTCCAAGTTTCATCTGAAAACTACCCGAGGAGTCCTAGAGGGCAGTGAGCTCCCTGCGGTTCATTTGTTTGTTTTTGCCTCCTGCCTCAGATGAAAAAGCCAGAAACTCAGCCATGAGCAATGGGCACAGACACAAAAGCTCCCCCAAGGCTGGGCGTGGTGGCTCACGCCTGTAATCCCAGCACTTTGGGAGGCCAAAGTGGGCGGATCACGAGGTCAGGAGATCGAGACCATCCTGGCTAACATGGTGAACCCCCGTCTCCACTAAAAGTACAAAAATTAGCCCAGCATGGTGGTGCTTGCCTGTAATCCCAGCTACTTGGGAGGCTGAGGCAAGAGAATCGTTTGAACCTGGGAGGAGGAGGTTGCAGTGAGCCAAGATTGTATGACTGCACTCCAGCCTGGGCGATAGAGCAAGACTCCATCTCAAAAAAAAAAAAAAAAAAAAAAAAGGCCAGGCGCTATGGCTCACGCCTGTAATCCCAGCACTTTGGGAGGCTGAGGCGGGCGGATCACAAGGTCAGGAGATCGAGACCATCCTGGCTAACACGGTGAAACCTCGTCTCTACTAAAAATACAAAAATTTAGCCAGGTGCGGTGGTGGGCGCCTGTGGTCCCAGCTACTCGGGAGGCTGAGGCAGGAGAATGGCGTGAACCCGGGAGGTGGAGCTTGCAGTGAGCCGAGATCGCGCCACTGCACTCCAGCCTGGCTGACACAGACTCCCTTTCAAAAAAAAAAAAAAAGAAAGAAAGAAAAACACAATACCTAAATTTGAAGCTCAGTGGTGGTGACTCAGCAGCAGAATGGAGGGGACAGAGGAAAGAATAGTAAACTGGAAGATAGAATAATAGAAATTACCCAATTTGGCTGGGCACAGTGGCTCACGCCTGTAATGCCAGCACTTTGGGAGACCATGGTGGGCAAATCACCTGAGGTTCAGGAGTTCGAGACCAGCCTGGGCAACATGGCAAAACTTCGTCTCTACTAAAAATACAAAAATTAGCTGGGCGTGGTGGCACACACCTCTAATCCCAGCTAGTCGGGAGGCTGAGGCAGGAGAATTGCTTGAACCTGGGAGGCGGATGTTGTGGTAAGCTGAGATCACGCCATCGCACTCCACCCTGGGCAACAAGAGTGAAACTCTGTCTCAAAAAGGAAAAAAAAAAAGAAAGAAAGACAGAAATTACCCAATTTGAACAGGGAAAAAATAGACGGGAAAAGCCGGGCGCGGTGGCTCACGCCTGTAATCCCAGCACTTTGGGAGGCCAAGGCAGGTGGATCATGAGGTCAGGAGATCACGACCATCCTGGCTAACATGGTGAAACCCCGTCTGTACTAAAAATACAAAAAAAATTAGCCAGGCGTGGTGGCGGGCACCTGTAGTCCCAGCTACTCAGGAGGCTGAGGCAGAAGAATGGCATGAACCCAGGAGGTGGAGGTTGCAGTGAGCCAAGATGGTGCCACTGCAATCCAGCCTGGGCAACAGAGCGAGACACTGTCTAAAAAAAGAAAGAAAGAAAGAAAGAAAGAAAGAAAGAAAGAAAGAAAGAAAGAAAGAAAGAAAGAAAGAAAGAAAGAATAGACTGGAAAAATAAATAAATAAATAACAGCCTCAGGGGCCTGTGGAACAATAACAAAAGCTCTAACATTCATGACGGTATAGTCCTAGGAGAGGAGAGACGGCAGGGCTCAGATGCATACAAAGAAACCATGGCTGGAAACTCCCCAAACTGCGGAAAAGACATAAACTGACCTAGAGATTCAAGAAGCTGACTGTGATGGTGAATATTAAACCTCAACTTGATTGGATTGAAGGATGCAAAGTATCGTTCCTGGGAGTGTCTGTGAGGGTGCCGCCAGAGGAGATTCACATTTGAGTCAGCGGACTGGGAGAGGCAGACCCACCCTCAATCTGGGTGGGCACCAAACAATCCGCTGTCAGCATAAAAGGCATGGGAAGAGCAGACTTGCTGAGTCTTCCGGCCTCCATCTTTCTCCTGTGCTGGATGCTTCCTGCCCTCGAACATTGGATTCCAAGTTCTTCAGCTTTTGGACTCTCGGATCTACACCAGTGGTTTGCCAGGGACTCTCGGGCCTTTGGCCACAGACTGAAAGCTGCACCGTCGGCTTTCCTACTTTTGAGGTTTTGAGACTCAAAACCTCAGCCAGGACTGGCTTCCTGACTCCTCAGCTTGCAGATGGCCTATTGTGGGACTTCAACTTGTGATGGTGTGAGTCAGTTCTCCTAATCAACTCCCCTTCATACATTCAACTATCCTATTATTTCTGTCCCTTTGGAGAACCCTAATACACTGAGGGAAACTAAAATAATGAGGTTAAACTTTAAAAAAAACAACAAAAAAAAACCCACACCAGCTGGGCGTGGCGGCTCATGCCTGTAATCCTAGCACTTTGAAAGGCTGAGGCAGGCGGATCAAGAGGTCAGGAGTTCGAGACCAGCCTGACCAAAATGGTGAAACCTTGTCTCTACTACAAATGCAAAATTAGCCAGGGGTGGTGGCGTGCACCTGCAATCCCAGCTACTCAGGAGACTGAGGCAGGAGAATCACTTGAACCTGGGAGGCGGAGGTTGCAGTGGGCCAAGATCACGCCACTGCACTCTAGTCTGATGTCTTAGTCAAACTACCAAAACTGGCTGGGCTGAGCACGGTGGCTCATGCCTGTAATCCTAGCACTTTGGGAGTCCGGGGTGGGACAGATCACCTGAGGTGAGGAGTTCGAGACCAGCCTGACCAACATGGAGAAACCCCATCTCTACTAAAAATACAAAAATTAGCCAGGCATGGTGGTTCATGCCTGTAATCCCAGCACTTTGGGAGGCCGAGGCAGGCGGATCACGAGGTCAGGAGATTGAGACCATCCTGGCTAACATGGTGAAACCCTGTCTCTACTAAAAATATAAAATTAGCCAGGGTTGGTGGCGGGCGCCTGTAATCCCAGCTGCCAGGGAGGCTGAGGTAGGAGAATCGTTTGAACCCAGGAGGCAGAGGTTGCCGTGAGCGAAGATCGCTCCACTGCACTTGATCCTGGGTGACAGAGTGAGACTCCATCTCAAAAAAATAAACAAATAAATAAAATAAAAATAAATAAATAAATAAATAAAAATACAAAAATTAGCCGGGTGTGGTGGCACATGCCTGTAATCTCAGCTACTCGGAGGCTGAGGCAGGAGAATTGCTTGAACCCAGGAGGTGGAGGTTGCAGTGAGCTAGATTGCACTACCACAATCCAGCCTGGGCAATAAGAGCGAAACTCCGTCTCAAAACAAAACAAACAAAACAAAACAAAAAAAAACAACTGGCTGGGCACGTGGCCTATGCCTGTAATCTCAGCACTTTGAGAGGCTGAGGTGGGAGGATGGCTTGAGGTCAGGAGTTCAAGACCTGCCTGGGCAACATAGCAAGACCCAATCTCTACAAAAAATTTAAAAATTAGCCTGGTATGTGGTGCGTGCCTATAGTCCCAGTTACTGGGGAGGCTGGGGAGGGAGGATTGCTTGGGCCCAGGAGTTTGAGATTGCAGTGAGCTATGATCGCGCCACTGCACTCCAGCCTGGGTGACACAGTAAGACCCTATCTCTAAAAATTAAATTAAATGGAAATTTTTAAAAACTACCAAAAACTAAAGACAAAGAAAAAAAAATTTTTTTTTTTCTTTTAGAGACAAGGTCTCACTATGTTGACCAGGCTGGTCTCAAATTCCTGGCCTCCGGCAATCTTCCTGCCTCAGTCTTCCAAAATGCTGGGATTACAGGCATGAGCCACTATGCTCAGCTACAGAAAAAAAAAAATTGAAAACAGTGAAAAAGAAAGAACCCTTATCAAAAAATATTGAAAAATATTGAATGATAACAGATATCTCATCAGAAACCATAGAGGCCAGAAGAAAGTGGAACGTTTCTTTCTTTTTTCTTTTTTTTTTGAGATGGGGTCCCGCTCTGTCGCCCAGGCTGGAGTGCAGTGGCGCCATCTCGGCTCACTGCAAGCTCTGCCTCCCGGGTTCACGCCATTCTCCTGCCTCAGCCTCCCGAGTAGCTGGGACTACAGGCACCCGCCACCTCACCTGGCTAATTTTTTGTATTTTTAGTAGAGACGGGGTTTCACTGTGTTAGCCAGGATGGTCTCGATCTCCTGACCTCGTGATCCACCCGCCTCGGCCTCCCAAAGTGCTGGCATTACAGGCGTGAACCACCGCGCCCGGCCAAAAGTGGAACTAACATTTCAAATAAAATTATTTTTATTTAATTTATTTATTTAGAGACAGAGTCTCGTTTTGTTGCCCAGGCTGGAGTGCAGTGGCACATTCTTGGCTCACTGCCACCTCCACCTTCCGAGTTCAAGTGATTCTCATGCCTCAGCTACCTGAGTAGCTGGGACTACAGGCGTGCGCCACCACATCTGGCCAATTTTTGTATTTTTAGTGGAGACGGGGTTTTACCTTGTTGACCAGGCTGGTCTCAAACTCCTGATCTCAGGTGATCCGCCCACCTTGGCCTCCCAAAGTGCTGGGATTACAGGCATGAGCCACTGTGCCTGATCTTTTTTTTTTTTTTTTGAGATGGAGTCTCGCTCTGTTGCCAGGCTGGAGTATAGTGGCGTGATCTTGGCTCACTGCAACCTCTGCCTCCTGGTTTCAAGTGATTCTCCTGCCTCAGCCTCCCAAGTAGCAGGACTACAGGCGCGTGCCACCATGCCTAGCTAATGTTTGTATTTTCAGTAGAGATGGAGTTTCACCACGTTGGCCAGGCTGGTCTCGAACTCCTGACCTCGTGATCCGCCCACGTCGGCCTCCCAAAGTGTTGGGATTACAGACGTGAGCCACCGCGTGTGGTCTTTTTATTTTTATCTTATTAAATTTTTTGAGACAGGGTCTCTGGCTCTGTTGCCCAGGCTGGAGTACAGCTGCTTGATCCTGGGTCACTGCAACTTCGACCTTCCAGGCTCAAGTGATCTTCCCACTTCAGCCTCCCAAGTATCTTGGAAAACAGCTACTTAGCCATACCTGATTAATTTTTATTTATTTTTTTTATTTTTTCCTTTGGAAACTACTTTATTTTTTATTTATTTTTTTTTTGAACATATGTATTTGTCAATATATTTTTGGCTGATGTGTTTACACAGGAAAAAATAATATTTACATACTCAAACCTCAGTTCAACATTTTAACAAAACAACATGCAGAAAAGTCTTCACTTCCTTTCTAAATACAAATGCTAGAATGTCGGAATCACACGTGGATGTTTTGAAAAGCGTGCTGAGCCTCCTCAAGGGTCATGGAGCTGCACATGCTACGACACCAAAGCAACTGGGTTTTGTTGGTTTTGTGGCAGTTGCTTATTAATATGTAATTTACATTCAGTAAAATCTGCCTTTTATTTTTTTTTTATTTTTTATTTTTAAATTTATTTTTTTATTGATAATTCTTGGGTGTTTCTCACAGAGGGGGATTTGGCAGGGTCATGGGACAATAGTGGAGGGAAGGTCAGCAGATAAACAAGTGAACAAAGGTCTCTGGTTTTCCTAGGCAGAGGACCCTGCGGCCTTCCGCAGTGTTTGTGTCCCTGATTACTTGAGATTAGGGAGTGGTGATGACTCTTAACGAGCATGCTGCCTTCAAGCATCTGTTTAACAAAGCACATCTTGCACCGCCCTTAATCCATTTAACCCTGAGTGGACACAGCACATGTTTCAGAGAGCACAGGGTTGGGGGTAAGGTCACAGATCAACAGGATCCCAAGGCAGAGGAATTTTTCTTAGTGCAGAACAAAATGAAAAGTCTCCCATGTCTACTTCTTTCTACACAGACACGGCAACCATCCGATTTCTCAATCTTTTCCCCACCTTTCCCGCCTTTCTATTCCACAAAGCCGCCATTGTCATCCTGGCCCGTTCTCAATGAGCTGTTGGGCACACCTCCCAGACGGGGTGGTGGCTGGGCAGAGGGGCTCCTCACTTCCCAGTAGGGGCGGCCGGGCAGAGGCGCCCCTCACCTCCCGGACGGGGCGGCTGGCCGGGCGGGGGGCCGACACCCCCACCTCCCTCCCGGACGGGGCGGCTGGCCGGGCGGGGGGCCGACACCCCCACCTCCCTCCCGGACGGGGCGGCTGGCCGGGCGGGGGGCTGACCCCCACACCTCCCTCCCGGACGGGGCGGCTGGCCGGGCAGAGGGGCTCCTCACTTCCCAGTAGGGGCGGCCGGGCAGAGGCGCCCCTCACCTCCCAGACGGGGCGGCTGGCCGGGCGGAGGGCTGACCCCCCCACCTCCCTCCCGGACAGGGCGGCTGGCCGGGCGGGGGGCTGACCCCCCAACCTCCCTCCCGGACGGGGCGGCTGGCCGGGCAGAGGGGCTCCTCACTTCCCAGTAGGGGCGGCCGGGCAGAGGTGCCCCTCACCTCCCAGACGGGGCGGCTGGCCGGGCGGAGGGCTGACCCCCCCACCTCCCTCCCGGACGGGGCGGCTGGCCGGGCGGGGGGCTGACCCCCCCACCTCCCTCCCGGACGGGGCGGCTGGCCGGGCAGAGGGGCTCCTCACTTCCCAGTAGGGGTGGCCGGGCAGAGGCGCCCCTCACCTCCCAGACGGGGCGGCTGGCCAGGCGGAGGGCTGACCCCCCCACCTCCCTCCCGGACGGGGCGGCTGGCCGGGTGGGGGGGCTGACCCCCCCATCTCCCTCCCGGACGGGGTGGCTGGCCGGGCTGAGGGGCTCCTCACTTCCCAGTAGGGGCGGCCGGGCAGAGGCACCCCTCACCTCCCGGAAGGGGCGGCTGGCCGGGCGGGGGGCCGACACCCCCACCTCCCTCCCGGACGGGGCGGCTGGCCGGGCGGGGGGCCGACACCCCCACCTCCCTCCCAGACGGGGCGGCTGGCCGGGCGGGGGGCTGACCCCCACACCTCCCTCCCGGACGGGGCGGCTGGCCGGGCAGAGGGGCTCCTCACTTCCCAGTAGGGGCGGCCGGGCAGAGGCGCCCCTCACCTCCCAGACGGGGCGGCTGGCCGGGCGGAGGGCTGACCCCCCCACCTCCCTCCCGGACAGGGCGGCTGGCCGGGCGGGGGGCTGACCCCCCAACCTCCCTCCCGGACGGGGCGGCTGGCCGGGCAGAGGGGCTCCTCACTTCCCAGTAGGGGCGGCCGGGCAGAGGCGCCCCTCACCTCCCAGACGGGGCGGCTGGCCGGGCGGAGGGCTGACCCCCCCACCTCCCTCCCGGACGGGGCGGCTGGCCGGGCGGGGGGCTGACCCCCCCACCTCCCTCCCGGACGGGGCGGCTGGCCGGGCAGAGGGGCTCCTCACTTCCCAGTAGGGGTGGCCGGGCAGAGGCGCCCCTCACCTCCCAGACGGGGCGGCTGGCCAGGCGGAGGGCTGACCCCCCCACCTCCCTCCCGGACGGGGCGGCTGGCCGGGTGGGGGGGCTGACCCCCCCATCTCCCTCCCGGACGGGGTGGCTGGCCGGGCTGAGGGGCTCCTCACTTCCCAGTAGGGGCGGCCGGGCAGAGGCACCCCTCACCTCCCGGAAGGGGCGGCTGGCCGGGCGGGGGGCCGACACCCCCACCTCCCTCCCGGACGGGGCGGCTGGCCGGGCGGGGGGCTGACCCCCACACCTCCCTCCCGGACGGGGCGGCTGGCCGGGCAGAGGGGCTCCTCACTTCCCAGTAGGGGCGGCCGGGCAGAGGCGCCCCTCACCTCCCAGACGGGGCGGCTGGCCGGGCGGAGGGCTGACCCCCCCACCTCCCTCCCGGACAGGGCGGCTGGCCGGGCGGGGGGCTGACCCCCCAACCTCCCTCCCGGACGGGGCGGCTGGCCGGGCAGAGGGGCTCCTCACTTCCCAGTAGGGGCGGCCGGGCAGAGGCGCCCCTCACCTCCCAGACGGGGCGGCTGGCCGGGCGGAGGGCTGACCCCCCCACCTCCCTCCCGGACGGGGCGGCTGGCCGGGCGGGGGGCTGACCCCCCCACCTCCCTCCCGGACGGGGCGGCTGGCCGGGCAGAGGGGCTCCTCACTTCCCAGTAGGGGTGGCCGGGCAGAGGCGCCCCTCACCTCCCAGACGGGGCGGCTGGCCAGGCGGAGGGCTGACCCCCCCACCTCCCTCCCGGACGGGGCGGCTGGCCGGGTGGGGGGGCTGACCCCCCCATCTCCCTCCCGGACGGGGTGGCTGGCCGGGCTGAGGGGCTCCTCACTTCCCAGTAGGGGCGGCCGGGCAGAGGCACCCCTCACCTCCCGGAAGGGGCGGCTGGCCGGGCGGGGGGCCGACACCCCCACCTCCCTCCCGGACGGGGCGGCTGGCCGGGCGGGGGGCCGACACCCCCACCTCCCTCCCAGACGGGGCGGCTGGCCGGGCGGGGGGCTGACCCCCACACCTCCCTCCCGGACGGGGCGGCTGGCCGGGCAGAGGGGCTCCTCACTTCCCAGTAGGGGCGGCCGGGCAGAGGCGCCCCTCACCTCCCAGACGGGGCGGCTGGCCGGGCGGAGGGCTGACCCCCCCACCTCCCTCCCGGACAGGGCGGCTGGCCGGGCGGGGGGCTGACCCCCCAACCTCCCTCCCGGACGGGGCGGCTGGCCGGGCAGAGGGGCTCCTCACTTCCCAGTAGGGGCGGCCGGGCAGAGGCGCCCCTCACCTCCCAGACGGGGCGGCTGGCCGGGCGGAGGGCTGACCCCCCCACCTCCCTCCCGGACGGGGCGGCTGGCCGGGCGGGGGGCTGACCCCCCCACCTCCCTCCCGGACGGGGCGGCTGGCCGGGCAGAGGGGCTCCTCACTTCCCAGTAGGGGTGGCCGGGCAGAGGCGCCCCTCACCTCCCAGACGGGGCGGCTGGCCAGGCGGAGGGCTGACCCCCCCACCTCCCTCCCGGACGGGGCGGCTGGCCGGGTGGGGGGGCTGACCCCCCCATCTCCCTCCCGGACGGGGTGGCTGGCCGGGCTGAGGGGCTCCTCACTTCCCAGTAGGGGCGGCCGGGCAGAGGCACCCCTCACCTCCCGGAAGGGGCGGCTGGCCGGGCGGGGGGCTGACCCCCCCACCTCCCTCCCGGACGGCACGGCTGGCCAGGCGGGGGGCTGACCCCCCCACCTCCCTCCCGGATGGGGCGGCTGGCCTGGCCGGGGCTGACCCCCCCCCACCTCCCTCCCGGACGGGGTGGCTGCCGGGCGGAGACGCTCCTCACTTCCCAGATGGGGTGGCTGCCGGGCGGAGAGGCTCCTCACTTCTCAGACGGGGCAGCTGCCGGGCGGAGGGGCTCCTCACTTCTCAGACGGGGTGGTTGCCAGGCAGAGGGTCTCCTCACTTCTCAGACGGGGTCTCGGCCGGGCAGAGGCGCTCCTCATCTTCCAGACGGGGTCGCGGCTGGGCAGAGGCGCTCCTCACATCCCAGATGGGGCGGCGGGGCAGAGGCGCTCCCCACATCTCAGACGATGGGCGGCCGGGCAGAGACGCTCCTCACTTCCTAGATGTGATGGCGGCTGGGAAGAGGCGCTCCTCACTGCCTAGATGGGATGGCGGCCGGGCGGAGACGCTCCTCACTTTCCAGACTGGGCAGCCAGGCAGAGGGGCTCCTCACATCCCAGACGATGGGCGGCCAGGCAGAGACACTCCTCACTTCCCAGACGGGGTGGCGGCCGGGCAGAGGCTGCAATCTCGGCACTTTGGGAGGCCAAGGCAGGCGGCTGCTCCTTGCCCTCGGGCCCCGCGGGGCCCGTCCGCTCCTCCAGCCGCTGCCTCCCGGGCGGCGCTCGCCGGCGCAGCGGCAAAGACTGAGACAGCTCCGCTGCCCGCTGAACTCCATCCTCCCGGCGGTCGGGCGGCGGCGGCTGCCTTAATTTTTATTTTTAATTTTGTTTGAAGAGATGAGGTTTTACTATGTTGCCCAGGCTTGTCTTGAACTCCTGGGCTCAAGTGATCCTCCTGCCTTGGCCTCTCAAAGTGCTGGGATTACAGGCATGAGCTGCCATGCCTGGCAGAACAATATTTTTAAAGTCCTGAAAAAGAAAGGAACTCTCAACCCAGAAATGGTCAATCCAGCAAAAATATTTTTCAGGAAGGATGAAGGAAGAGCAAAAGAAATTGTAAATATCTAGGTAAATAGACTATTTCTGTGTAAGTCCTTTAAAATGTGTATGACGGTTGAAAGAAAAATACTACTACATTGTGTAGTGGGATTTTTTTAATGTATTTAGATCTAATACACAGGACAATTACAATATAAAGGCAAGAGGGTAAAGAGATCAATATGGTCTCATACCTGATACAAAAATTAACTCAAATTGGATCATAGATCTAAATGTAAGAGGTAAAACTTAGAATTTTTACAAGAAAACACAAAAGAAAATTATTGTGACTATGGATTAGGCAGAGTTCTTTGATGTGATACCAAAAACACAATCCATGAAAGAAAAAAAAAATTGGCCGCGTGCAGTGGCTCAGCCTGTAATCCCAGCACTTTGGGAGGCCAAGGCAGGCAGATCACCTGAGGGCGGGAGTTTGAGACCAGCCTGACCAACGTGAAAAAAACCCCTCTCTACTAAAAATACAAAATTAGCTGGGCATGGTGGCACGTGCCTGTAATCCTGGCTACTTGGGAGGCTGAGGCAGGAGAATCGCTTGAATCCGGGAGGCAGAGGTTGCGGTGAGCAGAGACCGTGCCATTGCACTCCAGCCTGGGCAACAAGAGCAAAACTCCGTCTCAAAAAAAAGAAAAAAGAAAGAAAAATTGATAAATTGGACTTGATCAAAATGTAAAAAGCTTTGCCCTATAAAAGATACTGTTGGCCGGGCGCAGTGGTTCATACCTGTAATCCTAGCACTTTGGGAGGCTGAGGTGGGCAGGTGACTTGAGGTCAGGAGTTCAAAACCAGACTGGCCAGCGTGGTAAACCCTGTCTCTAGTAAAAATACAAAAATTAGCCAGATGTGGTGGTGCACGCCTGTAATCCCAGCTACCTGAGAGGCTGAGGCAGGAGAATTGCTTGAACCTGGGAGGCAGAGGTTGGAGTGAGCCAAGATTGGGCCACTGCACTCCAGCCTGGGCAACAGAGGGAGACTCCGTCTCAAAAAAGAAAAAAAAAATACTGTTAATAGGATGAAAAGGCAAGACACAGACGGACTGGGAGAAAATGTTTATAAATTTCATTTCCTACAAACAACTTGTATCTGCAACATATAAATAACTCTCACTACTAAACAATAAGAAAACAAGCCAATTAAAAACTAAGCAAAAGTTTGGCTGAGTGCAGTGGCTCACCCAGCACTTTGGAAGGCTGAGGCAGGTGGATCACCTGAGGTCAGGAGCTCAAGACCAGCCTGGCAAACATGGTGAAACCTCATCTCTACTAAAAAAAAAAAAAAATACAAATACAAAAATTAGCCAGTGTGGCCGGGCATGGTGGCTCACGCCTGTAATCCCAGCACTTTGGGAGGCCGAGGCGGGTGGATCACAAGGTTGGATCACAAGGTCAGGAGATCGAGACCATCCTGGCTAACACGGTGAAACCCAGTCTCTACTAAAAATACAAAAATTAGCCAGGTGTGGTGGCAGGCGCCTGTAGTCCCAGCTACTCGGGAAGCTGAGGCAGGACAATCGCTTGAACCGGGAGGCGGAGGTTGCAGTAAGCCGAGATCGCCCCAGTGCACTGCAGCCTGGGCGACAGAACGAGACTCCCATCTCAAAAAAAAAAAAAAAAATTAGCCAGGTATGGTGGCTCACACCTGTAATCCCAGCTACTAGGGAGGCTGAGGCATGAGAATCACTAGAACCAGGGATGTGGAGGTTGCAGTGAGCTGAGATCACGCCACTGCACTCCAGCCTGGGCGACAGCGAGAGTCCGTCACAAAAAAATTAAAAAAAAAAAAAAAAAAAGTTTGAACAGACACTTTACCAAAGAAGATATAGAGGTGGAAATAAGACAATATCATGAGTCAAGAGAGAAATGGAAATTAAAATCACAATGAGATACCCAAAAAAACTGGAAGCAGGAGATCAAACAGATGCCTGTTATCGTCTTAGTCCATCTGTGTAGCAATAACAGAGTACCTGAGACTGGGTCACTTATAAAGAAAAAAGATTGATTTGGCTCATGCTTCTGATGGCTGGAAAGTTCAAGATTGGGCATCTGCACCTAGTAAAGGCCTCAGCTGGTGTCCACTTATGGCGGAGATGAAGGGGCGCCAGCCTGTGCAGAGATCCCATGGGAAAGCAGAAGCAAGGTGGAGGGGTTCTCTTAACATCCAGCTCTCACAGGAACCAAAAGAGTAAGAACTCACTCACCCCCGAGGGAGGGCGCAGGCCTATTCATGAGGAATCTGCCCCCATGACCCAAAAGCCCCTCACTAGGTCCCCCTCCAACACTGGGGATCAAATTTCAACAACGAACATCCGGACTATAGCAGCTATGTTAGCAGCATGATGCACGACAGCCGGAAGGTGAAAATAACCCAATTGTCCACCAACAGATTAATGGATTAAAAAATAAAGAAATGCTGAAGGCTGGGTGCCGTGGCCATGCCCGTAATCCCAGCATTTTGGGAGGCTGAGGTGGGTGGGTCACCTGGGGTGAGTTTGAGACCAGCCTGGCCAACATGGTAAAACCCCGTCTCTGCAAAAAATACAAAAATTAGCAGGGCGTGGTGGCACATGCCTGTAATCCCAGCTACTCAGGAGGCTGAGGCAGGAGAATCGCTTGAACCCAGGAGAGGGAGGTTGCAGTGGGCCGAGATGGTGCCACTGCACTCCAGTCTGGGCCACAGAGTGAGACTCTGTCTCAAAACAAAACAAAACAGAACAAAGATTAAAAAAATAAAAATAGGCTGGGCACGGTGGTTCATGCCTATAATCTCAGTACTTTGGGAAGCCGAGGCGGGCAGATCATGAGGTCAGGAGATTGAGACCATCCTGGCTAACACGGTGAAAGTCTGTCTCTACTAAAAAAATGCAAAAAAATTAGCCGGGCGTGGTGGTGGGCACTTGTAGTCCCAGCTACTCGGGAGGCTGAGGCAGGAGAATGGCATGAACCTGGGAGGCAGAGGTTGCAGTGAGCAGAGATCGCGCCACTGCACTCCAGCCTGGGCAACAGAGCGAGACTCCATCTCAAAAAAAAAAAATAAATAATAAATAAAATAAAAATAGGTCAGGTGTGGTGGCTCACACCTGTATTTCCAGCACTTAGGGAGGCTGAAGCTGGTAGATCACTTGAGGTCAGGAGTTCGAGACCAGCCTGGCCAACATGATGAAACCCTATCTCTACTAAAAATACAAAAATTAGCTGGGCATGGTGGCGTGTGCCTATAGTCCCAGCTACTTGGGAGGGTGAGGCTGGAGAAACACTTGAACCTGGGAGGTGGAGGTTGCAGTGAGCTGGGATGGCACCACTGCACTCCAGCCTGGGTGACAGAGCGAGACTCTGTCTCAAAATAAATAAATAAATAAATAAATAAAAATAAAATGGTATATACATACATTGCAGCATTATTCAGCCATCAAAAGGAATGAAATTATGAATCATGCTACAATTCTGATACAGAGATGAACCTTGGAGACATGATACTAAGGGAAATCAGCCAGGTACAAAAAGTCAAGTATTGTGTGGTTCCACTTACGTAAAGTACTTAGAATAGGCAAATTCATAGAGACAGAAAGTGTAATAGAGATGATCAGGGGCTGGGGGAAAGGGAAAATAGGAAGTTAGCGTTTAGTGTATACAGAGTTTCTGTTTAGGATGATGAAAGTGTCCTAGAAAAGGACAGTGGTGACGGTTGCACAATAATGTGGATGTGCTTCCTGTCACTGAATCACACACTTAACACTGGCGAGAAGGGTGGTACATTTCATGTGTATTTTACCACAATACAAAATGTTGGGAAAAACCCACTATGAGAATCTGCTACCCACCTATTAGAGTGGGAGGAACACCTGGACACCTAACACGTGCTGGGGAGGGTGCGGATCAGCAGAACCCGCCCCCACTGCTGGGGACGTGCAGCAGCACCGCCACTCGGCAAACAGCTCTGCAGCCTCTTAAAAAGTTAAACAGGCCAGGCACGGTGGCTCACACCTGTAATCTCAGCACTTTGGGAGGCTGAGGCAGGCTGATCACCTGAGGTCGGGAGTTCAAGACCAGCCTGACCAACATGGAGAAACCCCGTCTCTACTAAAAATACAAAATTAGCCAGGCGTGGTGGCACACGCCTGTAGTCCCAGCTACTCGGGAGGCTGAGGCAGGAGAATCGCTTGAACCCGGGAGGCAGAGGTTGTGGTGAGCTGAGATTGCGCCATTGCACTCCAGCCTGGGCAACAAGAGTGTAACTCCGTCTCAAGAAAGAAAGAAAGAAAGAAAGAAAATTAGCCAGGCGTGGTGGCGGGCGCCTCTAATCCCAGCTACTCGGGAGGCTGAGGCAGTAGAATCGCTTGAACCCGGAAGGCAGAGGTTGCAGTGAGCTGAGATCGCACCATTGCACTCCAGCCTGGGCTACAGAAAACAAACAAACAACAACAACAAAAAACAAACAAACTGAAACATGCAACGTGAAAGATGAATGTCAAAGGCATTGTGCTGAACGAAGGAAGCCAGTCTCAAAAGGTTACATATTGCGTAACTCCATGTATGTCATTCTGGAGAAAACGACACTGGAGGGAGGTAGCGTGGATCAGTGATAGCCAGGGGTTGGGGACGGGGTGTGGTCTGACTTCCAAGGGGCAGCCGGGAGGGGTTGGAGGTTTGAACTCTCCTATAGTCCTCGTCATGGTGGTGGGCCACAAATCTACACATGTGTAAGACATAGAAATGGATAGTCCCATCCAATTTAATGTTTACAATTTATTTATTTAAGAAAAAAATGTTTTGTAAAGAACTGTACCTGGGCCAGGCGCAGTGGCTCACGCCTGTAATCCCAGCACTTTGGGAGGCTGAGGCAGGCGGATCACGAGGTCAGGAGATTGAGGCCATCCTGGCTAACATGGTGAAACCCCATCTCTACTAAAAATACAAAAAATTAGCCGGGCATGGTGGCGGGCGCCTGTAGTCCCAGCTACTTGGGAGGCTGAGGCTGGAGAATGGCGTGAACCCAGGAGGTGGAGCTTGCAGTGAGCCGAGATTGTGCCACTACACTCCAGTCTGGGTGACAGAGCAAGACTCCATCTCGGAAAAAAAAAAAAAAGAACTGTACCTGGCTGGTCACATTGGCTCACACCTGTAATCGCGACATCTTGGGATGCTGAGGTGGGAGGATTGCTTGAGTCCAAGAGTTCAAGACCAGACCGGGCAACATAGGGAGAGCCCTGTCTCTACTAAAAATAAAAAATTAGCTGGGTGCGGTGACATGCACCTGTGCTTCCAGCTACTCAGGAGGCTGAGGCAGGAGAATTGCTTGAGCCTGAGGGGTTGAGGCTACAGTGAGCTATGATCACACCACCACACTCTAGCCAGGATGACGAAATGAAACTTTGTCTCAAAAAGTAAATAAATAAAAACTGTACCTTTGGCTGGGAAATGGTGGCTCACGTCTGTAATCCCAGCATTTTGGGAGGCCGAGGTGGGTGGGTCACCTGGGGTGAGTTCGAGACCAGCCTGGCCAACATGATGAAATCCCATCTCTACTAAAAATACAAAAAATTAGCTGGGCGTCGTGGCAGGCACCTGTAATCCCAGCTACTCGGGAGGCTGAGGCAGGAGAATTGCTTGAACCCAGGAGGCGGAGGTTGCGGTGAGCCAAAACCGCACCACTGCACTCCAGCCTGGGCAACAAGAGGGAAACTCCATCTAAAAAAAAACAAAACTGTACCTTTGAGGGCTTGCCGAGTCTAGCCCCCTTATTGCATAAGAATCCTTAAAACCCCAGACGGGTTGGGCTTCCCATTTTACAGCAGAGGAAACTGAGGTGTAGGGAGGTGCCTAGGTGTGTCTGACTCTAAGCTAAACACATGTTTTTAACCCCTGTGCAGTTCAGAGTCTCGTAAACCTCTGGCTCCATGTTCTCGTCAGGATCCCTCTGCTGAGAGCTCAGCGCAGGTGGCAGGGCTGGACACAGGAGATGGGGACGAGGCCCATGCTGTAGAAGGGGCAGATCTGGGATCTCACCCTAGACAGACCATCCAATGGGAAGGGTCCGGGATTGCGGGACAGAAAGAGGAGACAAGAGAGCCAGGCTAGCAGCGCCCAGATGGACAGACACGTAGTCTCTGGGTGCGTTGCTGGAGGAGCATCCCACGATGGCTGGAACTGTCTGGATGCTGTGCCAGGCAGGCCAAAGTGGCCAGTCACATCGCAGCTGCTCTCAGCTCCTCTCGGCCACCACGGGCTCTGCTGAAGTGGCAGCCCTGAGCCGGGACACTCCCCACTCCCAACAGACATAGCTGGCGAGGAGGGCACTGCCTATAGGTGGCCTCCACAGGCTTGTGTGGGATCCCACACTGCAAGATTCTCCCTCAGGAAGGGAATCTGGGGACCCTGGAGAGACTGAGGCCCTTGAGGGATGAGCCGAGGCTGGAGGAGGGGATGAGGCTGTGCGGGCAGTGTAGTCCCAGGACCATGGCTGGCTCAGCGCCAGAGGAAGGAAAGGCTGGGAAGGAGGCGCTGAGACTTGAGCCGAGGGGAGAGCCAGAGAAGGGGAGGGGAGGCTGTGAGGATGGACTTGCATCCAGGTCACATTGGGCTGGGCCCAGAGCAGTTTCTCCAAGTGTGGCCAGGAGCTTACAGGTGGCTGTTTAGAACTACAGATTCTGGTCTGGTGTGGTGGCTCCCGCTTGTAATCCCAGCACTTTGGGTGGGTGGATCACGAGGTCAAGAGATGGAGACCATCTTGGCTAACATGGTGAAACCCCCCTCTACTACAAATACAAAAATTAGCTGGGCGTGGTGGCACATGCCTCTAATCCCAGCTAGTCCGGAGGCTGAGGCAGGAGAATTGCTTGAACCTGGGAGGTGGAGGTTGCGGTGAGTCGAGATCACGCCATTGCACTCCAGAGGAGGTGACAGAGTGAGACTCCATCTCAAAAAAAAAGAACTACAGATTCCTGGGCTCCTCCCCAGACCTACCGGGGGGCCGGGGAACCTGCATTCCACCAGCTCCCCAGGTCATTCTGTTGCATCCTGAAGTCTGAGAGGCACTTTGCCTAAGTGAGGAGCCCGGAAACGTGGCCCAGCCCGTCTGCAGCGACTTTTGCAAGGGTTCCCTCTGCTGCTGCCCTTCACCGCTTCCCGCAGGTCCTGCTCTCACCCGACTGGCCTAAAGCTCACAGTGTCTCTGCCTCTCACAAACAGCCCTGCAGGGCGGGACCCTGCCCACACCACCCGCCTCGTTTGGGGTGAAAGGCAGAGCCTGCAGAGACAAGTGTGTCCAGGCCCCTCCGAGACCCGGTCAGCCTTTGGGCACTGGGGTCCAAGTTAGGGTCCATCCTTCTACACTGCTACCCCCAAATGATGTTATTTTATTTTATTTTTTTATTTTTTTTGAGACGGAGTCTCGCTCTGTCGCCCAGGCTGGAGTGGAGTGGCGCCATCTCGGCTCACTGCAAGCTCCGCCTCCTGGGTTCACGCATTCTCTTGCCTCAGCCTCCCGAATACCTGGGACTTCAGGTGCCTGCCACCACGCCCGGCTGATTTTTTGTATTTTTAGTAGAGATGAGGTTTCACCATGTTAGCCAGGATGGTCTCGATCTCCTGACCTCGTGATCCTCCCGCCTTGGCCTCCCAAAGTGCTGGGATTACAGGCGTGAGCCACTGCACCTGGCCAGGATGGTTTCTTTCATCCTTGGGCCTCCCTGACCTTCCCCAGCTTGGCACGAGGCAAAGGCCTCCAAGTCGGCCCAGTGTGGGTGGCTGGTCTCTGTGCCAGCTCAGCTGTCTCCTGGCTTCACGTCAAGGAGGGCTGTGAGCATCCCCCACCCACCTTGTCTGCATCGTTCGCCCACCCTTCCCTGTAGCATGCTGGGTGGGGGTGGGGGTCAGCCCTACGCATACCCACCTCTCTGGCTGGATCTCCCCTGTGCCTCCAGCCTCACCCCACTGCCCCCACGCCCTGGCCTTTGCTGACACAGCCCGTCCTCACCCCAGAGGCCTGTGTGGTGCCTGCAGGGCAGCCTGGCTTTTCTGGCGCCTCTGGTTGAACACCACCCAGGAAGGGTCCCTTGAT
Organism: Homo sapiens; assembly: GCF_000001405.40. Classification (NCBI taxonomy): domain Eukaryota; kingdom Metazoa; phylum Chordata; class Mammalia; order Primates; family Hominidae; genus Homo; species Homo sapiens. The sequence goes on from NC_000009.12 coordinate 134,127,488, forward strand.
TTTCCACCAACTCGTCAGCATGGCCTTCCATTCCAGAACCTGGCACTGCATCCTGCAACTGTTGCCTGCGGGTCCGGCTCCCCCAGATGGAGCCCTCCCTGAGGGCAGGTACCAGGTGGGCCTGCTTCAGACCCACGACACCTGGCAGTACCTATATAAACACCACTCCAGGGATGCGGGTGACGAGGTGAGGGGTGGGAACTGGGTTGATGGGAGAGATTTGTAGTGGTCTAGCAGCCCTGTGTATCACTCTTCTATTGTGGAAAATGAAGGAGGCTTGTTATTTCTTTCATCGCAAAGGCAGGACACCTGCCTGAAGAGCATCGGTGCTCCCCAGGGAGAACTGAGAGACCCCCCCCCGCCCCCACTTTCTTTTGTGTGTGTGTGTGTGTGAGACAGAGTCTCGCTCTGTCGCCCAGGCTGCAATGCAGTGGCACGATCTCGGCTCACTACAACCTCCGCCTCCCAGGTTCAAACAATTCTCATGCCTCAGCCTCCCGAGTAGTTGGGAGTACAGGCCCCTGCCACCACGCACGGCTATTTTTTGTATTTTTAGTAGAGACAGGGTTTCACCATGTTGGTCAGGCTGGTCTCAAACTCCTGACCTCAGGTGCTCCGCCTGCCTCGGCCTCCCAAAGTGCTGGGATTACAGGCGTGAGCCACCGCTCCTGGCCTTGGTCCTTCCTACTTTCATTCCTTGTGGGCTCCTGTGGAACCATTTCTTCTGCACCCTCCAAAGCCTACCTTCCTCCCCGCATCTGGCTTTGTTTTACAAAACTGGTCATTCTGTGCCCCTTCTCCCATTGCTTGTTTCTCCCTCTTAACAACATGTCGCTGCCGTTGCTCTGTGGCAGGACTACCCAAGCTACCTTATCCTTTTGGCGGCCGTGGACTGTTCCAGAATCCGGATGTCCCATGGCGTATTTACCTATTCCTCTACAGATGGACATTTGTCTCCAATGAGTTCATCATTATAAATACTGCTGCCACGGACATCCTGGGGCAGCCTCAGGCCCTTCTGCAGGTGTCTCTGAAGGAAAGATTCCTGGGAGGGAACTCACAAAGGGTTGTATATTCTAAATGGGCACTGGGGCCAGTGCTGTAATCCCAGAACTTTAGGAGGCTGACGTGGGAGGATACCTTGAGGCCAGGAGTTTGAGACCAGCCTGGGCAACACAGTAAAACCCCATCTCTACAAAAAATTTAAAAAGTTAGCCGGGCATGGTGGTGCACACCTGTAGTTCCAGCTCGTCGAGAGACTGAGGCAGGAGGATCACCTGCACCCCGGGGGATCGAGGCTGCAGTGAGGTGTGACCGTGCCACTGCACCCCAGCTTGGGCAACAGAGTGAGACTTCATCTCCAATAAACAAACCCACAGGCACTTGGGGTCCATCTTTTATTTCTGTCTTAGAAACCACGGTTGTGATTCAAATGACCTCCACGCTCTGGTAGTCCCTGCCTCTCTGGTTTCCGACAGCTTTAACATGAGACCCCAAGATGAGGAACTCAATGTCTGAGGTCAGAACTATCCAGGACCAGCCATGTCCTATGGACTGCACCTCCTCTGCCCGAATTCGAGCCTGCCCACCCTTCCCATAGCCCACCGTGCTGAGATCGGCCCCATGTGCCTGCCTGCCTGCCTCTAGCCGCTGGAGGCGTGGTGGGGTGGCTGCTCCCTGCCTCCAAGGCTGTCCCCCAAGCTCTGTTGGCCACTGGAAGACAGCTGGGAGTAGGGCCCAGGCTGACCGCCTTGGAGAAGCCTCTTCTGCCGCATTCGTGGAGATGCTCAGGCCTTAGCTGGTTTTGTGGGGAGTTAAAGACCGCAGAGGTATAGGGCAGGGGTGGGCAGATGGAGGGGCCGCGAGGGTCCTTGGGGGAGCCAGGAAGGAAGGGAGGTGCTGGGAGCCAGAGACCAGGCCAAGGCCTCCACCTGAGCCCGAGCCTCTCCTCTGCGTCAGCTTTCCTATTTCAGGCAGCTGCTCCCCGCCTAGGGAATTCTCCGCGAGCTGTGGAAAATGCAGCGGGGCGGGCCCTGCGTCTGTGGCTTTTTCCTCTCTTCCTCAGCTACCGCCCCAGGGCCCGGCCTTCAGTGCCTCGGGCTGGCGAGGGCCGCCCCCCTCAAGGCTGGTACGCGCTCGCCTAATCCCACGTCACCTCTTTCCTTAGGTTACTTATCCCCGTGGAGAGTGTGCTGCCTCTTAACCAAGTCAGGGAGCGCTTCTATTTTATCCCAAAGAAACACTTCATCACTGTGAAATCCCAGAAACAATGGGAACGGGCAGCGGGGCTAAAGTGCAGCTGGGGGCGCAGGAGGGAAGGAACTGGGAGCGGGTGTCGGCGTGGAGGGCGGACCACAGAGCTGCTGTGGGGACAGCCGCTCAGGGATGATGTCCACACTTAGGGCCGGTATGACTTCCAGGAACACGTGGCTCCTACGGAGGTCTGCAGAGCAGGGGCAAGCCCCAGCCTGTATGTACTTGGCTGTGTGACATTGGGCAGGTCACTGAGGCTCTCTGGGCCCCTCATTTTCCTCATCTACCAGAGCGTGGAGGTCTTTTAAATCATTTTCCTCATCTGTAAAGATCAGAATAGCTCCCACGTTTGGGACTGAATGAGGTGGTATCTAAAGTTCTTAGGTGGGCCGGGCGTGGTGGCTCACACCTGTAATCCCAGCACTTTGGGAGGCCGAGGTGGGGAGATCACCTGAGGTCAGGAGTTCAAGACCAGCCTGGACAACATGGTGAAACCCCGTCTCTACTAAAAATACAAAAATTAGCCGGGGGAGGTGGTGCAGGCCTGTAATCCCAGCTACTCGGGAGGCTGAGGCAGGAGAATCACGTGAACCCAGGAGGCGGAGGTTACAGTGAGCTGAGATCACACCACTGCACTCCAGCCTGGGCAACAAAGCGAGACTCTGTCTTAAAAATAAAAATAAAGATAAAAATAGGCTGGGCGCAGTGGCTCACGCCTGTAATCCCAGCACTTTGGGAGGCCGAGGCAGGTGGATCACGAGGTCAGGAGATGGAGATCATCCTGGCTAACACAGTGAAACCCTGTCTCTACTAAACTACAAAAAATTAGCCGGGTGTGGTGGCACGCGCCTGTAGTCCCAGCTACTCCGGAGGCTGAGGCAGGAGAATGGAGTGAACCTGGGAGGTGGAGCTTGCAGTGAGCCGAGATGGCGCCCCTGCACTCCAGCCTGGGCGACAGAGCCAGACTCCGTCTCAAAAATAAATAAATAAATAAATAAATAAATAAGTAAATAAATAAAAATAAATGAAGTCCTTAGGTGGGTGACAGGCACACAGTAGGCACTCAGGAATAACAGCTGTGGTGGTTTTTAATAGCTCGGACAGATGGAAATAGTTTGGTATGATGGGGAAGCACGGGTGGAGTACTACTAGCAGCTGCATATAGAGCCCTTAAAAAATGACTCCTACAAACCACCACTGCACTAGCCACACTCCTCCCACCCGGCCCTGTCAAACAAAACTAAACAAAACAAACTAAAGCCTTTGAAAAATCGCCTTGGCTCTTTGGGCCTCTGATTTCCACCTGGTCTGTCCCAGGAGCTGTATCTTTCACAGTGGTCTTTGCCGGGACCCTCTGTAACCAGTGGGATTATGCTGCCGCCACCAGCACCACCGAGAACCCGAGGTGGGGAGGGGATTTGCAGACTGCGCCAGGTGCAGCCTGGCTTTGGAAACAAGGGTCGCATTCCTGGAATTCTGGCTGGGAGATCCGCCCAGCTTGGCCTGACCCAAACTGGTGCCTGCATGGCTTCTGGGCACGCGCAGCTGAGCTCCCAGCACCACCTGGGGGAAGAGGGGGGCCGTCCCCGGGGACACCCTGGCCTGGAGTGGAGTGGAAGGTGGGGCAGGCAGACAGTCATAGGGACTTTTAAGCAAGTTTAACAGGTTTAAATCCCAACAGGAAGTGGAAGAGAACATGCCACCATTCATTCATTGTGAGGGTCTTTATTGAGCACCTGCTGTGTGTCCCTCCTGGCAGGCACCGAGGTGGACAGGGTGTCCCTCTCTCATGAGCCCACAGTAGCGAGGGAGGTGGACAAGGGAGCGGCCCCTGGTGAGGGTCAGGATGCTGGCAAGGATGGAGGGGCCTTAAGGAAGGGACAACCCAGGCGATCAACCATCCGGATTTCTTTGGGATTGAGGGGCTGCCAGGGGCAGGGACTCCGGTTCTGGAACTGGGGCTGTGCCAGTCAAAGTGGAGTGTTGTCACTGCAGACAGGGGCAATCTAGAGGGGCCACCTTAGAGGATGGCCAGGGGAGCGGACGTGATGAATGGAGAACGAGGCTGGTGGGAAGGAGAACGGAGTGGAAGGAGAGAATTTGACACAAGGAAGAAACCACACAGTCCGTGTCAACAAGATGGGCTCCTCTGTCTACCCTGCTCTTTCTGTACCAGGGAGCTAAGGCCGGGGGAAGAAGAGAAGGACAGTGGTATAGTGAGGACTGGAAGTGGCTTTCTGGATACCTGGGTTGAGCGTGGCCAATCAGCATAAAGCTGTCAGGTGAAGGCCCACAGGGCCCTGATGGGCCCCTGTGGAGATCCTGGGGATGGGGGATGGTGACATGAATCCCCCAACTGGCTGTCCTGGCATAGTTACCAGGGGAAAAGGAATTTAACATAAAATCCCACTGACCTGGGCTGGCAGGGAGCCATAGGATCTCCAGGCAGCAGCAACAGCTCCCTGCACAGTGGCCAGGTTGAGGTGGCCCACAAGCCTGGAAATCTGGTCAGCAGCTCCGGGAAACCCTGGGTCCTGGGCATTGCCCCGTCCCTCGGCTTCCTCCACCTTCCCGAATCAACTGCCATCGGAATCCGCTGCCCCCCAAAGCTCTGGGCTGGCCATGAAGGGGCCAGTGCTTCCGGGCTGCCTGCTTCGAGGACACCAGCACTCCTGCCACGGGCCATTCGTCCATCGCTGCCAGTGGCCCTCCCTCTCAGGGTTCGGCAGTCCACTGTCCCCGAGGAAATACTAGTTACTAGGTGACGACACGGTTCCTAAAACAGGCTGGTGTTCTGCATTCAGCCCTGCTGCAACCTCAGAGCCGTGCTGCCTGCTCCTGATCCCAGAGGTGCCGTCTCTGAAGAGGCCACCCCTGGAAGCGCTGTCCTGCCTAGAGTCAGGGCTCACTTCCCTGGTTATGCCCACTAGCTGTGGGTCCTTGGGCAGCTTCTCAACCTCTCTGAGCCTTGGTTTCCTCATTGTAAAAAGGAGATAATAAAGGCATCACGTCACAGGCTTGTTGGGAGGGTGCAAGGAGGTACTAAATGTGACAAACTGAATACAGTGTTGGGTGCACAAGTGCTCCTCAGTGCTACATGTCACCCCCAACCTCCTGGGCCAAGTGCCCAGAGTGCTGTGATGAGGGTCAGACTCAACTCAGCCAGACCCAGGGGACACTGACCCAGGAATTACAATGGAAGATGTTTTCACTGTGGAGGAGCTGGGGGCCGGAAGACTTGCCACGTTTAGGGAGGCCCAAGTGGACACTGGCTGGTTGGGGGTGCCCTGGGGAGGAGAGACTGGTGGAGGGACCTGGGCCAGCGGGGAGGGTGGCCAGCAGGCCTGGACTGTTGGGCTGATCAGAGATCCTTGAGTGCAGGTGGGGAGAAACCTTCTAGAAATGTTTGTTTGTTTGTTTATTTATTTATTTATGAGACAGAGTCTCGCTCTGTTGCCAGGCTGGAGTGCAGTGGTGCAATCTCAGCTCACTGCAACCTCCACCTCCTGGGTTCAAGTGATTCTCCTGCCTCAGCCTCCCGAGTAGCTGGGACTACAGGCACCCATCACCATGCCTGGCTAATTGGTATTTTCAGTAGAGATGGGGTTTCGCTATGTTGACCAGGATGGTTTTGATCTCTTGTTCTTGTGATCTGCCCACCTTGGCTTCTCAAAGTGCTGGGATTACAGGCGTGAGCCACTGTGCCTGGCCAAAATGTTGTATTTATAAAAATTGTTTAGAGAAGGCTGGGCGTGATGGCTCACGCCTGTAATCCCAGCACTTTGGAGGCCAAGGCGGGTGGATCACCTGAGGTTAGGAGTTTGAGACCAGCCTGACCAACATGGTGAAACCCCATCTCTACTGAAAATACAAAATTAGCTGGGCGTGGTGGCGCATGCCTGTAATCCCAGCTACTCGGGAGGCTGAGGCAGGAGACTTGCTTGAACTCGGGAGGCCAAGGTTGTGGTGATCACCCCATTGCACTCCAGCCTGGGCAACAAGAGCAAACTCCGTCTCAAAAAAAAAAAAAAAAAAAAAAAAGAGAAAATCCTCTAACCCCATTCAGCAATTTTTGCAATCCACCCCTGCCTGCAGTCATAGCTAAAATTCTGAAACCATATAACGCCAGCAAGGAAGAGAATTTAACAAAGGCAAGTAATTTGCTTTACTAAGTTTTAAATCCTCTTATATCCTACCAAACAGTTGTCAGCCTCAGGAAAAAATATGGCAGGTGAAAATAGAAGAGAAAATAAGAATCACAGAAGAGGAACAAACACGATGGAGATTTTCAGAACATTAACTAGGCTTTGGCCACCAGCAGTGACTTAGTAAATGGAACTGTTTCTCTGAACATCTTTTTTATTTTTTTGAGACGGAGTTTTGCTCTTGTTGCCCAGGCTGGAGTGCAATGGTGCGATCTCGGCTCACTGCAACCTCTTTCCTGGGTTCCAGCGATTCTCCTTGCCTCAGCCTCAGCCTCAGGTGATCCCGACCTCAGGTGATCCACTCGCCTCAGCCTCCCAAAGTGCTGGGATTACAGGCGTGAGCCGCCGCGCCCGGCCGGATTTTCTCATTTTTACTAGAAGGTTCTATCTCCTGGGGGTGGGGTGAGGTGGTGAGACCAATTCACCTGGAAGTGGAAGCTGGGAACTTGGTTTGAGTTCTGAGGGTTCTGGGGTCTCGCCCCTTATCTTGCTTTGCCTGGAGGGCTGAAGGGCTGGAAATATTTTTGTTTTGGGGCTGGAACCAGGACTGCAGTTTGGGAGCCGGTGCTAGGTTGGAAGAGGAGGCGGGGTCTGGTAAGCACTTTAGCCGAATTGAGCAGTGGGAATTAGGGAATTGAGGGCAGTGGGAAGCTGGTTCTGAGTTTTAAACTGGGGAGTGACAGATCAGAGCTGGATTTTTAGGAGTTTCTCTGTTTGGAGGTTTAGAAAAGACCCAGGTGGGAGGTAGGGCTGGGGTGGGGAGGGAGAGAAGTGGACGATCTGAGAGCTGAGGTGGGGTGGAAGGAGAGCAGCGTGTCACGGGCTCGGGATTCCGGCCCAGGCGGCCAGGTGGACGGAGATAAAGATGCGCTTCTTCATCCGAACTGGGTTTGCTAACCTGTGACTGTCACCACTCCATGCTCCAGGGCACCTGGCCCAAGGGATCCGGCCTCTTGGGCACACAAATCCATATGGAGCCCTGAAGGACCAGACAGGGACCTTGCCTTCTCTGTGTCCTTCCTGGGAAGGGGACTCCAGACCAACTGCCAGTCTTCCGGTTCCACCTCTCTGACAACCGCTCACCTCACCCTCCTTGGCATTTTTATTTCAAATGCTCTATCCCTTTGTTTGCATGGGTTCCTGTGTCATATTCTGTGTTCCCATTTTTAATTGGAGAATAAGGGACTGTATGTTATTCTACCCACAGGCCTAGCTGAGGGGATAGGGAGGCCATGCCTACCTCCAAGGCTCTAAGAAGTGAAGCAGGCGGCGAGAATGTGCAGTCGTTGAGGCCAGAGGACCGGGCCTCAGCTTCTCCTTAAGCCCCTGAGTCCTCCTCTGGGGACCACCCCCTTGTACCTGGAGGTGAAAATGCCCGCCCAGGAGGGAAGGGCTGGCCCCGGGAGAGCCCGCTGCGAAGTGAGTTTGCGCACTGCGGAGCGGGCGCGGGTGACTCCAGAGCGGCCCTGCCAGTCCGCGGGGCTGGCGGGGAGCAGGTTCGTGCACCGCGGGCTCTGTGCATGCAGAGGCGGGAAGAGCCCCCAGCCCGGCAGCCGGCCCCGCGGGAAGGCGCAGCCCGGGCTTCCGAACCCTGTGAACGCGCAGGTTCCTGGTCTTCCAGATGGGCAGGAATCGTCCTGCCCGCCCGGGGTGGGAGGCCACATGGGGGCACTGCGCCCGGGCGCGGCCCCAGGTGCTTTCCAAATGCCCACTGCCGCTCTCATCCGTACCAGCGATGATCAAGAAGGGGCCTGGTCGCCCGGGGAGGTGCCCCGGCCCGAATCGACTCCGGAGACAACGCCGGGCGACGCCACCTGCGCAGGTCCCGGAGGGCCGCTGGTGTCTGTGTACAGGGCGTGCTGTCTGTGGAAACGCGAGGGCACACTAGCACTTTCCTGTATGTATTATTATACTTCAGTTTTTAGGAAGTGCATTAGAAGGGCCTGCACCAGTCAAATTCGGGGATTAAAGCTTTTAAGCGGGAAGCGCGCGCCCCGTGCTGTCCCTTTAAAGCGTTGGGCCGGCCCGAGGCATTCTGGCCGCTGTCGCTGCCCGTAGCGCTCCTCCGAGAGGCCGGCTTTGTGAGCTCGCCCCGCCCCCCGGACACCGCCCCCTCCCCTCGCGCACGCGCACTGCGCCCCCGCCGCCTGGCGCCCGCCCGAGCTGCCGCCTTGTCGAGCTGAGTCCGCGCTCCCGCCCAGGCGGCGGCCGACGCGACGCCCCGAGCGCCCGGCCCCGCCGCCGCGGCCCGGCAGGTAAGCGGGCAGCCGCCCGGCCCGGGGAACACAAGGCGGGCAGCGGGGCGGCGCCAGAAGCTTCCAAACCGCACCCGGCCGCCGCACGTGTTCCCCGCCGGGCCTCGGGCCAGGCCCAGCCCCGGGCGCTGCTCCCGCTGCAGCGGCCCCGCCCGGGACCCCCGCCCCGGCCCCTCGGTGGACGGCCGCGCGCGCAGTTCCCTCCACCCGGTCCGCCCCCACTCGCGCCCCCACCTCCGCCTCCCCGGCGGACCGCTGACAAGGCCAGAGCGCCGGCACTGGGTCCTCTTTCCCGCAGGCAGCGTGCCCGGCCTCACATCGCCCCTCTCCCTCCACTGCCCCTTCAGGGAAGGACCCCAGACCCACCAAGCCACTCAGTCCCTGGACGAGGTGCGCTTCCCCTCCTCGTAGAAACGCCCCCAGCCCGCTCCCGCCGCTCACCCCAACCCGAGGCAGCCAGGCTGCAGCTCGCTAGGTGGGGTCCTGGGGTGCGGGTCCTCGGTCCTGAACGGTAGGCCCACCGTGCCTCCTCGCGCGGGGCCGCAGACCTGTCCTGGCCGGTCTGCGAGAGCCATTTTGAGCGGTTACGTTCCCGGACCAAACAGAGGTCGGCCTGTTACATCGCTAACGACACTCCCTGCTGTCTCGCTTGCAAGTTTCCACTCACCCCGGTCCGTTTACCCATCTCCTCAAATGCTAGTTTAATCTGTGACCTGGGCAGGTGCTGTCCTAGCCGGTGGGGAAGACAGGAAAGCGAAGGACCCAGGCGGGGAGCCTGTCCAGGATCTCAGATAGGGAGAGCCAGGTCCCCACCTCTGTTGGGCCGGCCACCCGGCTGGTGTTTAAGATGCAGATTAATTCCTGTCTTTGCACACAGTATGCTTTTCTGACTGCATGTCACAGGCAGATTCCTGGGCTCCACCTCAGGGACTGAGGGACTCAGGAATCGGCCTGTGGCATGCAGTCCAGGAGGGCACACTGAGGTTTGGTTGCTCGGCTTCAGGTGGTCAGGCTTACCTGGATGAAAAGCAGTGGCTGCTAGGAGGAGCCAGGCAGCATCTGGTCTAGGGGCCGCCAATTCATCACCGTTCCCGTAACCTTGGCCCCCGCTTTCCTCAAGATCAAGTCTCCAACCTTCCTGTTCTCTCAAAAGGATTGTTCCACAGAGACACCTGAGTGTTCATGAAAATGCCAAGCCTTGGCCCGGCGCGGTGGCTCACGCCTGTAATCCTAGCACTTTGGGAGGCTGAGGCGGGCGGATTGCCTGAGGTCAGGAGTTCGAGACTAGCCTGGGCAACATGGCGAAACTCCGTCTCTACTAAAAATACAAAAGATTGGCCGGGCGTAGTGGTACGCGCCTGTAATCCCGGCTAAACTGGAGGCTGAGGCGCAAGAATTACTTGAACCCGGAAGGTGGAGGTTGTAGTGAGCCCAGATCGTGCACCTGGACTCTTTGGACTGTGTCTCAAAAAAAAAACAAAAACAAAAAAAAAACACGCCAAGCCTAGACCCCACCGACGTAGAAACTTGGTGGGTGTGTTGGGTCAAGAAATTGCATTCCCCGCCACCCCCCGACGGAGTTTCACTGTTTGGCCCAGGCTGGAGTGCAGTGGCGCAATCTTGGTTCTGCCTTCTGGTTTCAAGTGATTCTCCTGCCTCAGCCTCCCGAGTAGCTGGGATTACAGGGACCGACCACCACACCCGGCTAATTTCTGTATTTTTAGTAGGGAGGGGGTTTCTCCATGCTGGTCAGGCTGGTCTTGAACTTCCTGACCTCGTGATCTGCCCACCTCAGCCTCCCAAAGTGCTGAGATTACAGGCGTCAGCCACTGTGCCCAGCCATCATATTCTTAAAAGTCAAGTTAAGGTTGTTTTGTTTGTTTCTTTTACATGTTCATGTTTTTTGAGCCCAAAGGTTGGGGCAGGTTGGGCTTGAGCTGGGAGGGGCTGGACACCTTTTTTGTAAGACCGCCTATCTGTTGTTCCTCCTCTGAGGGTGTTTCCAGGCGTCTAGACTCACCCAGGTGAGTTGATGCTGACAGGAGCTGCTCGGCCTTCTGAGCTGCCTATTTCGCCTTCTGTTCCTCTGGTGTTTCGCTTGGGTAGGGCATGGGCACAGTTCACTCAGCTCTGGCCCTGGCCTGGCTGTCTAACGCTAGGACTGTTATAGTGGACTTTGCAGCTTTTTGCTTGGATTTCCTTAGTTCCTCTCTCTCCCTGTATTTGTCCAGCCTGCCAAGGAAAATGCAGCAGTTGGGTTAAATTGGCATGGCTAGGTTGCACTAATGACAAGTACCACGTAGCTGGCATTTACCGAGGACCGGTTTTGTACTGGCACTTTGTCCCCTGGGCAGCGCTACAGGGCCTGCCCCTCCTCTCCCCCTCTCTTGTACTGTACTCGGCCCTAGATGCAGCGTGATCCATCTTTGCGCAGGGAATCTTTGCTGCAGGTGAAATGGAGCGGTGGCCACACCTGTTCTCTGCAAAGTGGGTGTTGTAATTTCTCTGCCTTCCTCTTGGATGAAGACTTTGAGACATGCTTTTTAATGCCTTCCATTTCGCGTTAGTGTTACAATCAGCCTGTGCAAGATTTCAGTTCCAAGCTCCAAGCTAGAATTTACAGTGTGTAAACTCATTAGATTGATGGTAGTGCTAGCTTCTGGGATTCCGATGGCCAGTGGTATTTGCAAGCATGTCTCAGTGGCTTTCCCTTTTAAAAATGCTGTCCCTCCTTTCCAAGTAACCTGTTGTGCTTTTATGAGATGTATTGAAGTAATGAATCTATTCCCATGGTAGAGGAAACTAGCTGCTTACTGTACAGATTTGGGATAATTTTCATTGTCAAGGTGAAACCGATTGAACTGCAGTCTTTTTTCGTTCCCCTGCAGTGTGAGTCCTGCTCGTAGAATATCGTTGGTGTACTTGAGGCTGCTTTTCCAGAAGGCAGGATGTGGAAATTCCAGCAGGCAGAGCTGCCTCTGGCTTGCTCTCATCTCTGTGTTTTGTGGCTCCTCACTGAGTGCGCGAGCCCTGTGAGCTGTTAGCATGCTGGAAGGCAGCCTCGGGCCAGCAGCCTGTGCATGGAGGCACTGGAGCCCCCCCATGAGGCGTAGACCACTGGGTGCCCGTGCTTGTGTTTTCAAACGTGGCTGTGAACGTGATTGCGTCACTTGGGGTGCATTTTAGGATTTGGATGTGATCCCAAATTTCTACACCCTGAAGCTCAGTCTTCTGTCATTTGGCGTGTTAGCTTTCTGTCAGGAAACCTTTTGCTGTTCTTTTTTTAATGTGTCCAGGGCTCTTTGAAGAAAACTGCATTTTGTTTGCACAAACTGCTGCATTCTTACAGACTTCTGGATAACAAAATAAGAAGCACGCTTGAGGGTGGGGTCTTTCATTATGATGACAAAAGGGGAGAGCGCAGGGGTGTCAGCGGAGCAGCTGGAAAGTATTAGCAAGGACTTAGGGGAATTAATAGGGTCCTCAATTTGGAATGGTTTGTTTGCTACAGGGCTCAATATGGTAGTCAAATGTTTTTCTTTTCATCCTTTTTCTTGGAAATCAATTTTTTAAAATATAGTTTGTTTCTTGGCTCCCTGTTCTGCATCTCGCTCAACAGACTGCCTCTGTCACCGGGTCCCTCCACCCTTGTCTCCTGTGCGGCCAGCGTCAGAGCCATGGCGACGGAGGAGAAGAAGCCCGAGACCGAGGCCGCCAGAGCACAGCCAACCCCTTCGTCATCCGCCACTCAGAGCAAGGTGCGTGCCCAGGGGCCCCTTGGACACCTTCCGGGGGCAAATACGCTTAGAGAGTCTCGGAAACATCTCAAGCTCATAAGCCTAGTCTTCCCTACTCAGTTAAATGTCACTGCTAATTTTTATTTACTGACCGCATATCTGGCGAATGCTTGTTGCCTGCTGTGTCAGGGATCCCAAATCTGTCACCTGGAGGAGAGAGCCTTTTATCAAAAATACAGATTCTTGGTTCTGATTGTAAGAGTCTCTGTAGGAACCAGAAAACATCTCTTTATAGTTGCCCCCACCCTGGCTGCGATCCTGACGCACAGGCAGTTCTGCAAGCCCTCCCGTAGACCTTTAGCAAAGGGAGCAGGGCTTCAGTGTTCGGGGTCGGAGGGTGGGGCGCTGGACCAAGGCCAGAGCTGGTGGGGGCCTCCTGTGCTGTAGCAGGATCACAGGTGGGATTGAGGTGGGGGGATGAGGTGGATTGAGGGGGGCCTCACGTTTCTGGCTCGGCTGGTGCTGTTGGTGCTGAGTTTGGAGACTACAGAAGAGGAGGTCTTGTGGGGAAGTAGTGGGCTCAGATTCAGATGTGTTCCACTTGAAAGGTACTGTCCACATAGAGATTGGTGGAAGGCACTGGGCATGTGGATTTGGAGCTCTAAAGATCTGAGCTGAAATTAAATGGTGGGAGTCAAAATCCAAACTGGTCACGGGTGGAACGTACAGTGGTGGTGACTTTTTGCTAACTGGTCTTTCCTGCAGCCTACACCTGTGAAGCCAAACTATGCTCTAAAGTTCACCCTTGCTGGCCACACCAAAGCAGTGTCCTCCGTGAAATTCAGCCCGAATGGAGAGTGGCTGGCAAGTTCATGTACGTAGCACTGAGGCCCTTAGCTGCTGGGAGAGGCGGTCTGAGCTGCAGACAAAAAGCTGGCGAGGGGATGGCTTGCTTCCTCACCTACCGCTGGGGAGACGTAGCAGGCCGCTGGGGGGCACGTAGCAGGCGGGTGTGTCTCCTCCTGGAACTGTGAGCTCAGTGCTGGTTGAAATTGCCCGTGGGGGGCCAGGCGTGGTGGCTCATGCCTGTAATCTCAGCACTTTGGGAGGCAGAGGCAGGCGGATCACGAGGTCAGGAGTTCGAGAGCAGCCTGGCCAATATGGTGAAACCCTGTCTCTATTAAAAATACAAAAAAAGATTAGCCGGGCATGGTGGCACATGCCTGTAGTCCCAGCTACTCAGGAGGTTGAGGCAGGAGAATCGCTTGAACCTGGGAGGCAGAAGTTGCAGTGAGCTGAGATCATGCCACTGCACTCCAGCCTGGGCGACAGAGCCAGACACCGTCTCAGAAAAACAAAAGAAGAAGAAAGAAAAGAAATTGCCCGTGGACCCTGGGAGGGAGGGGAAGGGGACTGGTCCTCTCAGGCATGTGGCCGTGCTGAATGGGTTCTGAGCCATGTGGTTCATGCTGATCACCTGGGACTCATGTGGGAAAAGCTCAGACTTTGGACTCTGGATGACTAGACAATTGTGTCCTGCTCTTAGCCTCAGATCCTTTTGTTTTCTTTCAGCTGCTGATAAACTTATTAAAATTTGGGGCGCGTATGATGGGAAATTTGAGAAAACCATATCTGGTCACAAGCTGGTAGGTTTCAGCCCTGTGCGGTGAAGTTGACTGTTGAACAGGGTGGCTCTAGTGATCAAGGGGTCAGGGCTGCTTCGAGAGCTGTGGGTTCAGGTTTTAAGTTTTCCCCGTTTTTTAATTTTTTTATAGTTATTTGCATCTTGAACTTTTAACCCAAATAACATTTGACTTCCATGGAGGAGTGTCTGTGAGGCTGGCAGAGCTGCAGAAAGCCTGCTGTTTTTCTCCTGGGCCGTGTGTCTTTTGTAAGGTTAACACTAGTGAGAAGATTTCCTGAGGGCAATGGGGATGTTTGGGATTTTGACCTTTTGCCGATGGTCCTATTTTGTCCTGTCAAGTTACTGACCCTGTTTTTTCTCCCCAAGGGAATATCCGATGTAGCCTGGTCGTCAGATTCTAACCTTCTTGTTTCTGCCTCAGATGACAAAACCTTGAAGATATGGGACGTGAGCTCGGTAAGTGACACTCAGTGCTTCTCTCCAGGGGAGACCGGCTGCAGGGCACGGGGCAGGTGCGGGGGACTGAGTTGACTGCTCAGTAAGCAACACTCAGCGCTCCTCTCCAGGGAAGACTGGCTGCAGGGGCATGGGGCGGGGGTGGGTGGGGGAGGCCGAGTTGACTTCGGGGAACAGCAAGTCACTGGCGGGGCATCAGGCATGCTTTGGGATGTCAGACATTGATGAATGTGACCTGACTCTTACGTTTGGGGAAATAAGCACTGGAATAATCCTAATAATACTCTGTTATAGGGCAAGTGTCTGAAAACCCTGAAGGGACACAGTAATTATGTCTTTTGCTGCAACTTCAATCCCCAGTCCAACCTTATTGTCTCAGGATCCGTAAGTGTGGCTGGGGTGTCTTCCCTGGGGGAGGTGGTGTCGGATGTGGGAAGGCTGTTGAATTTGCTTGTAGCCACTGTGGAGAAGGCAGGTGGGCCCTGAGTCCTTTCTGTGCTGTTTGTGGGGAGGATGGGCTGATAGCAGGTCTTAGGTTCTGGGGAGGTTTGTCCCCTCTCCTTCCTGTAAAATCACTGTCATCTCTTTTGTGTTCAGTTTGACGAAAGCGTGAGGATATGGGATGTGAAAACAGGGAAGTGCCTCAAGACTTTGCCAGCTCACTCGGATCCAGTCTCGGCCGTAAGTCCCTCTGACACGGATGGGGTGGTGTCCAGCACTACGTTTCTCTGACATCGGATGTGGCCAGCTGTCTCCCTGAGGGGCGTAAGCCTGGCCATGGCCTGTGCCTAGCTGATTCCTGCTGTCATGCCACAGTCTAGAGCAATCAGGTTGGAGGCTGGGACTTGAGAAATGAGTCCTGTGTGCAGTGGAGGGATGGCGAGGGGGTGGTGAGGTGTCAGTGGGGTGCCCTGTGATGAGCACCAAGGGGCCGTTTGTGCAGACTTGGGGGCAGTGGCCACAGGCGTTCAGGAGGTAGTGTACCCTGAACTGATGCACGGGACAGGAAGGGCGGCCAGGCTGGGAAGGGCACTGGGAGTGGTGGGAGCACAGGTGAAGTGTGAGTTTTGAGTGGAGTTAGCTTTGATGGGCGGGCTGGGTGGGGATGGCCCAGTCCTGGTGGGAAGTGTTGGAGGCTGGAGCTCTCCGGAGAGCGGGCCTTGCACAGGGACACGTCCTGCCATTTTGCTGTTGCCACTGTGCAAACCAAACGGCCGAGAGGCCGGGCGTGGCGGCTCACGCCTGCAATCCCAGCACTTTGGGAGGCCGAGGCGGGTGGATCACTTGAGGTCAGAAGTTTGAGACCAGCCTGGCCAACATGGTGAAACCCCGTCTCTACTAAAAATACAAAAATCAGCTGGACGTGGTGGCGCGTGCCTGGAATCCCAGCTCCTGGGGAGGCTGAGGCCAGAGAATCACTTGAACCTGGGAAGCGGAGGTTGCAGTGAGCCGAGATCGCACCACTGCCTGGGTGACGAGAGCGAAACTCTGTCTTTTTTTTTTTTTGAGACTGAGTCTCGCTCTGTTGCCCAGGCTGGAGTGCAGTGTTGCGATCTCGGCTCACTGCAAGCTCCGCCTCCCGGGTTCATGCCATTCTCCTGCCTCAGCCTCTCCGAGTAGTTGAGACTACAGGCGCCCACCACCATGCCTGGCTAATTTTTTGTATTTTTAGTAGAGACGGGGTTTCACCGTGGTTTCGATCTCCTGAGCTCGTGATCCTCCCGCCTTGGCCTCCCAAAATGCTGGGATTACAAGTGTGAGTCACTGCGCCCGGCCAAAACTCTGTCTTTAAAAAAAAAAAAAAAATCAAGAACAAATGGCCAAGAGTTAAACTACACAGTATCATAAACCGCTCCATTTCACAAAGTGGCCAGAAAGTTCTTTTGTTAACAAAGTGCATGAGGTAGTTTCTTGGCCAATCCTGCCCTTCGTTGAGAAGCGGAAGGAAGGGTGGATGCAGCATTTGTCCCATGCTGCCTGCCCGTGTGCCTTTCACTTTGTGCCATCTTGGCGGTGAATGGGTTTAAGCATTTTTACCCTTGGAAGGCTTTGCCCGAGTGAGATGGCAGGCGAAGCCCTGATACTGCCCGGACGGACAGTGTGTCAGGCCTGGGCGGGGCTGCGGGGTCTGAGCCCCGCACATAGCTGGGCCACAAGACCCTCGCGGGCCCAGTGTCACTGCTGCGGGGAGGCCGTTTGCTGTGGGGATGGCACCATGTGGCCCTGTGCTTGTGGCTGTGTGCTTGCGGGCCCAGCCCCTTGGTGCCAGTCCGCTGCCCTCCAGGACACCTTGGGTCATAGTCAGCAGAGCTGACCTTCAGACTGGGGCTGACAAATGAACGCTTGTGAAGTAACCTGAGAAAGGGGTTCGCTGGTGGCCTTTGAGTTGGAAGAAAGAATTCTGTGAGCATCCTAGAGGCCAAAGATAGCGCAGGTGGGACTCGCGGTTGATAGGTAGGATTTTAAAAGTCTTTTTTTCTTACGAAAGTCACGTTTGCTCATAAAAAAACACAAAAACAGGTTGGGTGCCATGTCTCCCACCTGTAATTCCAGCACTTTGGGTGGCTGAGGCAGGAGGATCCCATGAGACTAGGAGTTTGAGACCATCCTGGACAACATAGTGAGATCCTGTCTCTATACAAAAAGCAAAAATTAGCCGGGCGTAGTGATGCGCACGTGTGGTCCCAGCTACTTGGAGGACGGTGGGAGGATTGCTTGGGCCCAGGAGTTTGAGGCTGCAGTGAGCAAGATGGTACCACTGCACTCCAGCCTGGGTGACAGAGTGAGACCCCATGTCTTAAAAAAACCACAAAGGTGAGCAAATGTAGGAAGTAGAAAATGAATTCCCTGAGCCACCCCTGGGGTCAGCTGCCAGGAGGTGGAGTCGGTCCCTCTGTGGTCTTCTACTTTGCTTTTTTAGGTGCATATTTTCCAGGGTAGCTCACTCCTGTCCTTTAAATAACTGGTACCACATCACAGCTGCTGCTCCGTAGCTGTCTCCACTCCACAGCTGCTGCTCTGTAGCTGTCTCCACTGCAGAGAGGTTTGTGGGGCTTTGTTTTTTTTTTTTTTTTTTTTGAAACAGAATCTCACTCTGTTGCCCAGGCTGGAGTGCGGTGGTGCGATCTTGGCCCACTGCAAGCTCTGCCTCCTGGGTTCAAGGGGTTCTCCTGCCTCAGCCTCCCAAGTACCTGGGATTACAGGTGCCCACTACCACGACTGGCTAATTTTTGTATTTTTAGTAGAGACAGGGTTTCACCATGTTGGCCAGGCTGGTCTCAATCTCCTAACCTCAAGTGATCCGCCCGCCTGGTCCTCCCAAAGTGCTGGGATTACAGGCGTGAGCCGCTGCGCCTGGCCTGGGGCACCTTTGATGTCTGCGCACATCTATGCCCTTGGATTGCTGGTGTGGGCCTGCTGTGTGAGCAAGGACTCTGCCAGTCGCCTCTCAGTGAGTGCTTATGTGTAATTCTCACTTTGACAAAAAGGAGTGCAGTGAGCATCCTGTTTGCATCTGTGGCCGTTTGTGCGGGATGGCTTTGGAGGGGAAATGCAGTAGTCAGGATATGTGTTTAGCTTTTTGACAGGTACATTTTGGAGCTTTAGAGACTTAGAGGCATGTGGCCCCCTGCTCACTGCCTCCCATCCCTGTCCCCTCTCTGGCCAGGGTTTGCCCTCTCTGGCTAGGGCTCCTCGGCTGAGGGCCGCTGCCGACCCCCATCATCCACAGCCCTCGCGCCCTCCTTGCACCCGGGACCTGTGTTTTTCCTGCCCTGGAGCTTCTGCTACTGCTTGTCTGCCCAAGTCGACTCCGCAGAGCACTTGGAGTGCTCCTTGGCTAGGGGCCTTGCCATCCCCTGCTGGGTTCTGGCTGATTACCTTCTCTGTTTCTTTCTTTCTTTTTTTTTTTTTTGTTTTTTAATATTTATTTATTTATTTATTTTGAGACAGAGTCTCACTTTGTTGCCCAGGCTGGAGTGCAGTGGTGTGATCTCAGCTCACTGCAAGCTCCACCTCCCGGGTTCACGCCATTCTCCTGCCTCAGCCTCCTGAGTAGCTGGGACTACAGGCGCCCTCCACCATGCCCGGCTAATTTTTTTTTATATTTTTAGTAGAGATGGGGTTTCACCGTGTTAGCCGGGATGGTCTCGATCTCCTGACCTCATAATCCGCCCACCTCGGCCTCCTGAAGTGCTGGGTCTTTTTTTTTTTTTGAGACAGGGTCTCACTCTGTTGCCCAAGCTGGAATACAGTGACGCGATCTTGGCTCACTGCAACCTCCGCCTCCTGGGTTAAAGTGATTCTCCTGCCTCAGCCCCCCAAGTAGCTGGGACTACAGGTTCATGCCACCACGCCTGGTTAAGTTTTGTATTTTTTTGTAGAGACAAGGTTTCACCATGTTGGCCAGGCTGGTCTCGAATTCCTGGCCTCAAGTGATCCGCCCACCTTGATTTCCTAAAATGCTGGGATTACAGGCGTAAGCCACCGCGCCCGGCCTCCCTTATCTACCTCCTCGAAGTTAACTTTTCTGGCAGCCTTCTGCTGGAGTGCAGTGGATGGGCTGTATTGCCCCTTGCACCTGAATGTGGGTGGAATGGTAGAGCCAGGCCATGTTTGCCAGTGGGTAGTATTTGGATGTGGTTAAGAAGCTGAACAAAGCAAAGCATGGAGTTGGCCTTGTGAGTTTTGGGGACTTGTTTTGTCTTGTTACTGTTACATCCATCGTAATAGTCTCAATAAGAGACTGTTTTGCACATTTAAAGGTAGGGATGAATGTGGTTAGATGGATCACTGTGAGTTAGAAAAGTACTTTGAGAGGCTGCCGGCCAGATGGTTGCAGTGAAGCAGCTGGCACGGTGAGAGCACCCTGTTGGAGCAGAAACAGGTACTCACCCCTCTGTGTCTGCTGGAGAACATCTAGGGCTGCAGTACCCAGCATGCCCAGCATAGAGGCTGCCAGCCGCATGATGGCCCAGAGCTCAGGGCTGTGTGAGGTACCTGCAGATTTCAGAGACCTGGCACAAAAAAAGAAAGTAAAGTGTCTTGTAATAACTTTTTGTGTTGATTATGTTGAAATAATATTTTAGATACATTGGGTTACATGTTACCAAAGTAATTTCACTTGTCTTTTAAGCTTTTCTAATGTAGCTTCTAGAACAATTAAAATTACACGTGTGGCTGGCAGGCTCTTGCAGAGTCTAGCCTAGTGCTTCTCTGGGCGTGCAGCAGCAGGCAGCATGCCCCGGGGACCTGTTCGAAATTTATGTTCTTGGACTCCCCCTCCTGGACTGGTCAAATCAGAAGCCCTGGGGATGGGGCCTAGCAGTCTCTGCCATAGTAGCTCACCGGTGCCTTTGATGCATGTGGATTTGCCTCTGGGGACACATGGCAATGTCTGGAGACATTTTTGGTTGTCAGAGCTATAGGCATCTAGTGAGCAAAGGACAAGGTTGCCACTGCACAGGGGCAGTACCACCCTGTCCCCCCCGGAAGAGTCTGGTCTAAAATGTCAGTGGTGCCAAGGCTGGGAAACTGCTTCTACTAGACAGTAGAAGCAGACAACCTCAGTCCCATCCCCGAATCATTAAACCACGGCTTCCTTGTGTGGCTTGATTTCACCCAGGAAATGTTTCAGCACCCATAGCCTGAGACAAGATAGTTTCCAAAGGTGCTGTTTGATTGTGAGAAGGCTTATCCTTGGCTGGGTGCAGTGGCTCATGCCTGTACTCCCAGCACTTCGGAAGACCAAGGTGGGAGGATCGTGTGAGCTCAGGAGTTCGAGACCAGCCTGGGCAAGATAGGGAGACCCTGTTTCTCTTATGAAGAAAAAAAAAAGGGTGGGCGCGGTGCCTCACACCTGTAATCCCGCAGTTTGGGAAGCCAAGGCGGGTGGATCACTTGCGGTCAGGAGTTCAAGACCAGGCTGGCCAATATGGTGAAACCCCGTCTCTCCTAAAAATATATATATATAAAAATTAGCTGGGCGTGGTGGTGCATGCCTGTAATCCCAGTTACTTGGGAGGCTGAGGCACGAGAATTGCTTGAACCTGGGAGGTGGAGGTTGCAGTGAGCTGAGATCGCACCCCAGCCTGGGTGACAGAGCGAGACTCTTTCTGAAAACAAACAAACAAAAAAACATAACTCAGTCTTTTTTTTTTTTTTTTTTTTTTTTTGAGATCAGGTAAGAAGCAGTTGTGTCCCTGACTTGAAAGTAAGTTTTTGTCTCTTCTTCCTCTCCTTAATTCCTAGGTTCATTTTAATCGTGATGGATCCTTGATAGTTTCAAGTAGCTATGATGGTCTCTGGTAAGTGAAAACATTTTACTTCATGAAGCGATGAGTGCTTAACTAAGGGCCAGCTCTTGCACTGTTCCTGCATCTGGGGGTACAGCAGTGACAAAAGACCCAAGTCCTTAATTTCCGAAGCTTCTCTTCTGGCCACGCTGCAGACATGTTAGCAGATAGGCAGTGCAGTTTCGGGGTTGGCAGCACAGGTGGTGGGGCGGCATGCCTGGGAAGATGTCCTTGTTGTTAGGGTGGGTCAGGGAGGGCCTCCTCCATCAGACTTCAGCTCCGTGTAGACGCTGACGTGTGCTGTTCACACGCTCGTGGAAAATGGGTGTTTGGACCCCTTGAGGTGAAAGCTGTGCTGCTCTGGGAGGATGCTGAGTGATGCCGTCTTGCCCTGTGAGGATGCGTCACCATCCCGGGCAGGTGAACCCAAGCAGATGGCAGCATAGAGAAGGGCAGGAGGAAGAGTGACAGGGTCTCCTGCAGAAAGCCCACCTAGGTCTCAGCAGGTGTTTGTAGTGCTTGGACTTGGTAATCTGTGTCCAGCACTCCTCAGGAGACACAAGGGAAGTGGAGAAGTAGAGGTTAACTCAGCGAAATGTCTGATGGGAGCGAGTTGGGGGAGTGGAGTGTTTGGGTTGTGTTTTGGATGTGGGGCGGACACATCATAAGCTGTTCAGATTGGTCACTGGGGAGGAGGAGGACGGTGGCAGCCACTGGCAGAATTGAAGATCTTACTAGGACTTCCTGCAGGGAACCCTCAGGTGGACACGCACACTCGAAATCTGTTTCCCAGTCTGACTCCCCAGTGACTGTTGGCGTGGGGATCCCCAGGGGGTCACAGTCTGTAGTCGCCATGCATGACCCCCCATCGGTCTTGAGAAGACGGGTCTGGTGGGAGAGGGTCGTAGTCGAGTTGCACCCAACCACCGGCCTCCCATGGGCTTCACAGCACACACTTCCGGGCCATCGCCTCGCAAGGTTCAAGCTGCGGTTGCAGCACTGTGATGGCGTTTGGGGCTGAGGTCACTGGGATGTGCTGTGGCAAAAATGAGGTCATCCGGAGCCCCACATTGGCCAGTAGTCTCCACGGTTAAAGCCATCGTTTACACTTGACCATTTACCAGCTTATTATAAAGGATACACTTCAGGAACAGCCAGAGGGGAGGGGTGCACAGGGTGAGCTATGGGCGAGCGTGGAGCTGCCAGGGCCTCTCTGGTGCCACCCTCCCGGCCCCTCTGTGTGTGTGTCACCAACAGGGAAGTGAGCACGGGACAGTCTCAGAATTACTCATGGACCTGGCTCTAAGAACTTTCTAAAGAAATCAGAAAAAGTATACCAAGGAAATTAGGAGGGAAATGGGAAACAAATGAGAACATAGATGATATAAGATGTCTTCTTTGATGAGGCTAGTAATGAAAGCCTTTTAAGTCCCATAATGGAAAAAGCAAAATAAGCAAGATGAGAACTAGGAGGTGGTTGGAAGCACCGCAGCGGGAGGAAGCGGGAGTCAGAAGCCTCCGTCCAGCCTGAGCAGTGCCTCGGCTCCAGCAGCGAGCTCGGCCACAGCTCCTAAAGGGGCCCTGGGTATGGTGCCTTAAGGAGCAGTCACCGCTGAAGAGGCTGGAAAAGGGGATTGAAGGCCTGAAAAGAACATGTCCCCTGTGACTTTGTATCTGAATCCAGTTCAATAGTGAACTTTGAAGCTTATCCCAACGATTCGAGACCACAGGCGGGAGGGAGCTCCCTGGTTCATGTCTTTGGTTTTAGCATGAGCTTGCTACCTAAGCCTTGATTGCTGGTCCCAGAGGAAGACCACAGAGGGCAACTCACTGGTGAATGTTGATGCCAGGATTCCAGAGGAAGTAGCAGCCTCCTGAGCCTACCGTGCACAGAAAGGAATTCCCATAGCCAAGGAATTCATTCATTATTGGATAATGAAAGGATTATAACGTAAACATCAGGAAACCTATTATCTAATTCTACCAACAGATTAAAGGCGTTAAATGTCTCTGTCTGTTATTAATTAGTAGGGGTCAAAAAGGCGCCTGATTGATAATATCCAGCAGCCAACCCTTCAGCAAGATAGAGCAGTATTGTTGACCACTTACTGGTAACTAATAATTTTCACATGTGGCGACATGCTGAAACTCTTTCTATGAAAATCAGAAGTGGGACAGGTGTGCTTGGTTCCCATGTTACTCAGCATTGTTGGGAGTTTCTAGTTAGTGTAAGAAAATGAAAAAATAGTCCTATGAAAATTGAATAGAGATACACATCTTTGTAGATATGTTTGCATGTTTTAAAATATTTAAAAGCCACCAACACTGCTTTTCAAATACCCATTTAACCCTGTGACGTGGGTACTGTCAGCCTTGCTTTTCAGGCAGGGACAGTTACCACGGTCTCTCAGTTGCTCAGTGCAGGACCAGAACCCGTGTCAGCTCTGGAGTCTGGGCCTGGAACCCCCTGCCCTGCTAGCTACGTGGTGTGATCTCGCGTTTAGTGCCATCAGTGCTTGAAAATGGACTTTTTTCTGTATACTAGGAATTGCCAGTTAGAAGATGGGGAAAATGTTTCCATTTTAACAGTGACAAAAATGCTAAGATGTTTAGGAATGCGGCTAGTGAGAAGGAGCAGGACCAATGCAGGAAATGAGAAATGGAACTGAAAGGACACACGGGGGTTAGGTCTTGAGGGTTAGGAGATGAGGCGGCTCCGGAGAGGCCCTCCCGCAGTGATTGCGGAGCTAGAGGACATGAATTTGAGATCCATGGGGCAGCAGGATGGAGCTGTTGCTGAGAGAATTGAGAAGATGCAGAGTTGGGAGGAGAGTTGCTGCTTCTGGGTTTGAAAACCCTGGGTGAAGTGTCTGAGGTCCAGTGTGGTCTCGTCCCTGGATTATTGAAGTGTGGGCAGAACAGGAGGTGGGTGTGCAGAGCAGAGAGCTTCGGGGCCCTCCCAGAGGCGGCTTCTCCATGGGTGAGAGATGGGAGGGACCGTGCATGGCGGCCATGGGGTCTCGTGCTTGGGGAATGATTTGTCCACGTGTGACCCGAGCCTGTTCCCCGCTGCTGGCATCTGTGCAGTAGAATTGTGGGTGCTAACACAGTGGGCTCTGCTTCCAGAATGCGTCTGTATTGGCAGAAATCACAGAAACCCTGAAATTGGAACAATGTAAATGCCTGGCTTGTACCTTCTGGGAATAGTCCAGAAGACTGCTTACAATACTCTTAAATTTTTGTTTTGAAAGAAGCCCTCTCATTGCTTGCATGTGTTTGCATGAGCGTGGGCAGAGCCTGCGAGAAGCACTGGGCTGCTGCTGCCCCTCTCCTTGGCCAGGGAGAGTGGAGAGAGCAACAGGCTTCCCGCTCTGTGTTGGGGGTCAACTGTGGCTTGTGTAGGAGAGATCCAGAGGTACCCCACACATGGTCTGCACGTGTGTAGCATGTGTGGACTGTTGATGTTTGTATGGACAGTGTTTAGTCTTTGTCCCTAGAATATAAGAGAATGACTGTTAAACAGGTGAAGCATAACTTTTAAAAAAAGATAGGGAAAAGCGTGCTAGTCCTAAAATTTATATCTGACTCCCAGCAGCCCGCGTGAGATCATAACTTGTCTGCTTACGCTTTTTTGTTCTCTTTGCTTCGAAGTCGCATCTGGGACACCGCCTCAGGCCAGTGCCTGAAGACGCTCATCGGTGAGTGTGGCTCTGTGTGGGGGCTGGGTCTGTGGGGAGGGCCTCCCCTGCTGGGTTCACTGCCCCTGTTCTTCACCAGCTCCTCCTCCCTCCTCTGCCCTGGGTCCGCCCCTGCAGGAGGAACCTTCCTCCGTGTCCGACCGTTCCGCCAGCTCCCCCTGACCGCCCGCTGGCTCTGTTGCTCCTTCTGGTGCAGTTTTCCTGCCATGGCCTTTCTCTTGGGCCAGCCTGGGGCTCCTCCACCTGTGCTGTCGGCCTCACTCCGGCTGCTCACTGGAGTCCTCTGGGCAGCCCCATTGCCTCCTGGCTTCGGGCCCCTGCTGTCGTGCCAGCCTCTTGGATCATTCCTTGAGTGACCGGCTGAGTGCCTGCCCATCTGCTGGGGGTGCTGCCGAGGTGGATGGAGGTGTCCTGGGGGCACGGAGGACAGGCCTGAGGAGAGGAAGGAGGGACGTGGCGTGGCCTGGATGGGAAGGCCAGGTGCTGGGCAGGGTGTGGCCTGAGGGTCTGTGACGGCCCGGGGTTCCCAGCTGCCCCTTGCAGAGCCTGCAGAAAGGAGCGGAAGGGTTTTCATCCGGGGAGTGTTCGTGTTTAAGAAGCCTAGGCTAGATGTGTGGGATGGGGCGCACCTTGAGGAGGGAGCTGGGTGGTGAGGATGGGGGGATGGACCCCCGTGTGGGGAGGCACCCCGTTTGCGCCCTTCTTCCCTCTAGTCTGTCATAGCCTGCTGGCCTAGCTGAGACCAAGCCCCACAGGCTGGGAGGCTATCTGTGGCAGGAATGTGTCTCCCCGCAGTCCAGGAGGCTGTGGTCAGGATTGAGGAGGCCTCTTCTTGGCTTATAGACGCTGCCTTACCCTGGCTTCACACCAGTGTCCCTGGTGCCTCCGTGTGTCCAAATGTCCTCTTGTAAGGACACCACCCTTGGGCCTCATTTTCACTCTGTCGCCCTCTTTGAAGGCCCTGTCTCCAGTACACTCGCCTCTGAGGCTCTGGAGGCTTGGGCTTCAGCATGAGTCCCCTTGCCACAGCGGTCTTTATAGCTTCCTGCCTTGTGGGGCCAGCCTTTTGCCATGCATCTCTCCTGATTGAGATCACACCGCACTTGGTGTCCCCTGGACGGGCCACCTGTGCTCAGTTGTGTGCGCCGCTGTTGTGTGAGCACACGTAACCCTCACGGCCACCTCTGAGGAGGGGGGTTGTCCTCATCCTGCATAGAGGCTCATTCACTAGCCCAAAGCTCCACAGCAAGCAGGTGCAGGGACTGGGATTCCAGCCTGGGCGCCCCTGAGCCCAGGGTGGGGACGGAGGGGTCGCTGCATAGCAGTTTTCCCATCGGCGTCTCCTCAGGTCTAGCGAGTTAGACCCTTCTGGACTTCACTGAGACAGGTTGGCTGATGCGTTCATCTCTGTGAGGCTCTGCCCAGGCAGCCTGGGTTAGGCATGCGGACACGCTT
Source organism: Homo sapiens (assembly GCF_000001405.40). Taxonomy (NCBI): domain Eukaryota; kingdom Metazoa; phylum Chordata; class Mammalia; order Primates; family Hominidae; genus Homo; species Homo sapiens. The sequence goes on from NC_000009.12 coordinate 134,153,485, forward strand.
GCCATCAGCTGTGTTAAGGGAGCCCGGCCCCCCGGCCCTCACTGTGACCTCGGCCTGCCTGGCGGTGTGACGTGGTGTGCCCCTGAGGGAGGGACCGCATGGCCTCACAGCGTCTCCCGTGCCTTTTCAGTGTATGTGACCGGGCTGAGGGAGCGGAGACGCCAGGTGCCTGGCGAGGCCAGGCGTCCCCGTGGTGGTAATGCTGAGGGCCGTGTCCTTCCCGGTGCTCGGGACACACCAGCGCGTGCACGTGCTTGGGGGTCGGTGGGGGTCTCTGGTGGGGCCCAGGGGTGGGGCCTGCACCAGGACACACCTTCCTTGAGATTCCCTCCTCCTCACTCAGGTGAGAGGAGATGCCTTCCTCCACTTCTGAGGGTCGTGGGGTTGCCATGTCCTGAAAACTCTGACCTGTACATCGACAGCTTCTGGGAACCTTGACTCTTTTTCAGCTGTGTGAGAAGCAGCGGCTCTGCTCTGCCCTCAGGGCTGCAGAGTCCAGCTGATAGGCCTGGGGCATTAGCTGTGGATGTGACAACAAACAGATGGGTTCTGTGGGTGCAGATGCCCCTTGCGTCGATAAATTCTTAAAGGAGAATTTCCGAGGTGATTCCCCAGCCCTCTTTGCTGCTGGTGGAGTTGTCCCTCTGTTGAGTTGGGCATTCGCCAGCCTTATCCATCCCCTGTGAGGCAGGTGATTCCTGAGAGTGCCCATGGCCTGGTGCCCCAGGAGGCCTGTATTCGTAAAGTCCTGGTGTCAAGGGGCCCCCGGGCCTATGGGCTTGAGGTGTCAAGAACCTGCTCACGGCTGGTGTGCGTGGCTAGGCCACCCTTCGGGGCGGCGAGGGGTGGTGGTGCTGGCACTGATGGTGGTGGCCGACCTCACTCAGATGTCGCACGTGGGGGATGGGGAGCGGGTCCCACCTCCTGTCCCTGCCTGGCTGTCAGCGCCCGCCGTGTGTCACCTGTCCGTTTTTATTGCAGATGACGACAACCCCCCCGTGTCTTTTGTGAAGTTCTCCCCGAACGGCAAATACATCCTGGCCGCCACGCTGGACAAGTGAGTACTGCGTGGGACTGTGGGGGCGGGCATGTGGCCTCCCCAGCCAGAGACACCTGCGTGCCAGCGTGAGCCTTTGGAGAGCGTGTTGTGGGCTTGGCACGGGATCCAGGCTCCTGGTGGAGCTTCGGCTTCTGGGCAGTGGCCTGTTAGGTCGGAGGGCAGGCCCCCGTCCATCCCTTCCCGAGGCTGAACCTCAGGTCCGACTATAGGAGGATTTAGGGTCCGTTTTCTGGTTGAGCAACTGTGGCCAGGGCAGGCCTAGCCATCCCGCATGAAGGAGTCGGCGGTCCGGGGGCCTCCAAGGCCCTTTCTGGTTCTGACCTCTGAGCATCTTGATTTTACCTCTCACAAAGCCACTGCCCTCCTGGGCTGTTCTCTAAGCTCCAGCTTTCCCATGCGTGCACCCTCAGCCCTGTGGGTCCGAGCCTGGGCCCTGATCCTCTGAGGGCTGTGTGGTTGGGTGGTAAAACCTGTTCTGGATGTTTCCAGAACCAAGAGGACTTCCTCACCCTTTTGAGGATGACCCGAGTCAGGGACGATAACACCCATCAGCTTCCTGTTAAAGTCTCTCTTGGAACTACAAATACTTGCGGCTGTCACACTGTGCTCTCAGACGCCAAGTCACTGGACTTTGAGCCTGAGGGGCTCCTTACCCTGATGGGGAAGGGGGTTCCAGCCCCGCTGGCTTTTGCACCTGGCGCTGATGGTGGCTGTGACGTAGTGGCTGCAGAGTTGGGTGTGGGGACAGAAGGATGCCTCCAGACATGCCGCCTCACCCCTCTCTCTGTCTTGCAGCACTCTGAAGCTCTGGGACTACAGCAAGGGGAAGGTGAGCCCCCGCAGGCTTGGGCCCCCATGGTGCACCATCCCTGGGTCATGGCCTCTGGTGGGGACAGAGCTGGCCCCGGTGATGACAAAGGAGAGGAGCTCAGAGAGCCATCTCCGCTGGGTTTGGTGCGAATTCCTGAAAGACCTGGGTATTTGTAGGGTGGCAGTCTGCAAGTTAAATCTTCGATTGTGTGGGTTTGGTACTTGTACTTTTCAGAAATAAGTGAAGTGAGTAGTGAAACGCCTTGCTTAGAACGTAGAATTACACAAAATCAAGGGGAACCATGACTCTGTGACCAGCCTGTCCCCTCCTGTTTCAGTGCCTGAAGACGTACACTGGCCACAAGAATGAGAAATACTGCATATTTGCCAATTTCTCTGTTACTGGTGGGAAGGTGAGTCTCATAACCTTGAAGCGTCTCACCTGTTCCCAGCTTACTCTCCCGAGAGGTCACACCTGTTACAGGTTGCTTTATACTCAGAGACACTTTTCTGTGCCCACAAAATGAATTTCCATTTCAACCAAAGCGCACTGCGCCAAGTACCGGGGACACCTTGTCCCGTTTGTTTCTAGGTCCATCTCCTTAACGGAGGCAGGCAGCCTGTTGTCGGGCTTTGCTGGCAGTGCTTGGTTGACACCTTCCGAGGGCGCTGGGACCCAACAGGTGGAGCTCTGTGTGCTCAGGGTGTCCCTGGGTGGGTGCGCTGGCTCCGGGGCTGTCGTCCACCGGCCCCAGCAGGGAGGGGAGTGTGTTTTCCCGCCCACCCACACTGGTCTCGATGCTCCTGTCTTAGACCGGGGTGACTCGGGCAACATGTGTGTGACACACAGACTCAGAAAAGGGTGACCTGAGAAGCATCTTCCATCCTGGAAGCCTCTCCTGGGGCAGGCAGGTGCCTGGCTTCTGTGAGCGAGGCCGGTGCTGGGATAGAGCAGGCGGGGCTGTCCCCATTGGGAGAGGAAGCCTCAGGCCTGGCTGGAGGGCAGGCAGGGCTTTTTGGTTGAGTTCAGCGAGGCAGCCACCAGCAGGGTGGGCGTGGGGCAGGGCATAACTGGAGATTCTCTCCCTTTCACATGCATGAGCTCTGACCTGCTTTTCCTTGCCCTGTTTTCCCTGCTTGTTGTTACGTAGTGGATTGTGTCTGGCTCAGAGGATAACCTTGTTTACATCTGGAACCTTCAGACGAAAGAGATTGTACAGAAACTACAAGGCCACACAGGTGAGGGCCTGCGCTCCTGCAGTCACTGGCTGCCTGTTGATGTGAGGACAGTTCCTGCAGGTGAAGCGTGGTGTGCCCGTAGGGTGCCGTCGTCTTCCCCTTCCCACCTCAGCCCTCCGCTGGCCCCGCTGAGGAACCGCTGCTAAGAGCTCTTGCCCAAGGCATGGAGCTGGTCACTGTGCTGCCGACTCAGACCCGGGCTCCTGGCTTGAACCCTGTTTCTCCCTGTTCTGCCAGGCATGCTGGTCCGGAAGGTGTGTGTGGCTGTGGGACTTTAGGTGGGTGCAGCCCGTCCCACGTCACGGCGAGCTCTGTTTCCTGGGCTGGGGACAGTGAGGTCATCGCTGCCCCATCCTGGAGGCTCTGGCTCCTTTCGGGTACCTGTTCCCTCTCCCAGAGAGACCCCCCAGCTGCATGCAGGCCTAGTGGGCTCCACGGCGGAGCTGGTTCCCAGGCTACCTGGGGTTGCCACCTCTGTGGGTCCCGGCTGCCCTCTGCAGCCGCCGCTACTTCCTCACCCTCTGGCCCTGCATTTCCACGTCTCATGGAGCCAACGAGAGCAGGGGGTTCGAGCCCTTGTGGAAATCTGGGGAGGCACTGCTTCTCCCTCCCTGTGAGCAGCTTCACCCAGCCTGGGGTCAGTGCTTACGCTCCACGGCGGGCCTGGGCCTTCCCCTGGGTCCTCGCCGGCGTTCTGGGGTTCTTTGGTTTACGTAGAAGCTGTAAACACTTTGATGTGGCCGACCTTGCACCACCAGTCTGTTAGTTCTGACCTCCCTGCTTGGGTGGTGGACTTGTCCTTGCTGTGACAGAGCCAGCCCTGTGGGGTGCTCTGGGGCTTAGCATTGGGGGGAGGCGGTGGGAGTGGGCGGCTCAGGGTCCGAGGAGAAGAGGGACATTGTCGATAAAGGACTGAGGACTGTGAGGGGTCTGACTGCAGTCCTTGTGCGCGCCAGCCTCTGAGCCAGTCCTGCTGCCGCGCTCCTCCTTGTGGGCGCCGAGCTGCTGTTGGTGGGGGCGTGTGGGGCTCCTGGTCTGCAGGCAGGGCTGGCACTCCCTGTGGCCTCCTGCCCCTGTCCCCCAACCGGCTGTGTCGCCCTGGTACCGGCTGCTGTCCCCTCGCTCCCCTCCCCTGGGCTCCCTGTGTCGAAGGTGGGCAGTGGGTGCTTGTCCTGTGACCTCCCAGGTGGCGGGCAGGCGCTACCCGCGTTTCTGGAGAAAGGTGGAGCTCAGTCTGGGATGGCGTCCCCGACCCAGGCGCAGGGATGGCTCTGGTTCTGACTGTGTCTTTGTTTTCAGATGTCGTGATCTCAACAGCTTGTCACCCAACAGAAAACATCATCGCCTCTGCTGCGCTAGAAAATGACAAAACAATTAAACTGTGGAAGAGTGACTGCTAAGTCCCTTTGCTCCTGCCCGCGAGAGACTGTCGGGAAGTTGACCCGGATTGGCAAGAAACAGGGTGTCTTGGAGGTGGTCCCCCAGATCTGCGCCTGGGGGTCAGGACAGGGCCTGATTTGAGCCTCCTCTCTGAAGATGATTTGGCCGAGCGGAAGGTGTGGACCACCGGAAAGTTCTTAAAAGTTGCTGGTGACATTTCTTGCCAATTCTAACACTGTCTAGGGAAGAGTTCCTAGTCTATTGTGTTCAAACAGAGTCAACAAAAGTTTTTAATTTTTTATTACAGAAGGGTGAAGTTCAATTTAACATGCGTTGTGTTTTTTCAGTAAACGTTCTGTATCTTTTTGATATTCCATGACCCAGTGCACGCTGTGGCCTGTCACCGCCACCGTGGCCCCGCCAGCTGGCCTCCCCTTTGGCCCACGCCGGCCGCCCCCATTCTCTGCTGCGTAGATGCCCTGGCCCAGGGCCCTGACTCCTCCATTCCCGCCAGTAGCTGTTCCTAGTGTATTTTCGTCTTTCTGGAAAACAGCATTGAGTGGTTGTTTTCTGTGTAAAGAGCCGTTTGTGTCTTGGGAGTTTGTGGCCCACATGCCGATAGCACGGTCATCGCACATGACTCTCCCGTTTGTCTCAGTGTCCCTGCAACAAGCAGCACCGCAGACTGTAATAAAAGGTGGGGTTTTGTGAATGGTTGTGGCAAGTGCGTCCTTGTGAAGCTCGTCTCCATGTGGCTTTCTTGGAGAAAGGCTCCCCTGGGGCAAGAGGGTGGAAGGTTTCTTTGGACAGGAGGTGCTGAGGCTGGCTGCACCTGCTCTCTGAAGACGCCTTCCTCTCTAGGTTCATTGTTCAGTGTTGCTGGGGGCGGGGAACGGGGGTGGGGAGGTTCTTAGTTGCGAAGGAGCCAAGCTCCTGATGGACTTGCGTTGGGATGTGGGGGACACCTGTGGCATGGTAAGGCTCCCTGAGTCCCTTACTCCAGGTCAGATGCCAGTGGGACTCATGCGCCCTATGAGGGCTGCAGGGCCAGTGCTGCCCCTCGGACTCCTCGAGGGGTTGGGTGCTAAGCGCGAGCCTCGCCGTCCCTGCTGGAGCCCTCGCCTGCCTGCCCCTCTGCCTGTGCTCCTGGCAGTGTGGCTTCCCGGTGCTCACCTGCACAGCAGTTAACAGCAGAGGCCGAGCGGGAGCCTCTGGGGAGCGAGGCTGAAACCTGAACCTGCCCATGGAGACAGTTGTGGTGAGGGTTGCCACACACAGTGAGGGCGGAGCAGGGTGGCTGAGGGCACAGGTGCCTGGGTCTGTCCCACGGGGCAGGGCTTTGGGGCTGTGATGCTCTGGGAAGCCAGCTTGGGTCCTGGGTCTACAGAGGGCCCTGGCCCCGGAGCCCAGCCAGCTCTGCCTCTCTCAGGGCCTGGAGTCCTGGGGGAGCTCAGCCAGCTCTGCCTTTCTCAGGGCCTGGAGTCCTGGATGAATCCTGCAGGTTTTTGGTTGCACCGGCCCAGGGAGGAAGCGGGGGGTTTGTCAGGTGGGCTCTCCTGGAGGTCCTCGAGTGGCAGGGGTGAGGAGGGGATTATCTGAGGCATCTGGAGATGTATATCCTGTGGTTTCCCCTGCCCCTCTGTTTCCGATGAGGTGTACGGATGAGTGACCTGCACTAAGAAGTGAGTTGCCACAGTGAAAATGGGTTGGTTTTTGTCTTCGACGCTCAGGGTCTGGGCGCCTCGCATTTGCAGTCTGTTGTGACAGACACGGGGAGCTCCGCGTGCCAGCCTGTGGCTGCCCTGCTGTGGGGGTCCTGGGGCCGGCGAGGCCCCTTCAGTCTTGTTCTGGGGGGACGGCCCACTCCGGGGAGGGGGTGTGCTGTGCTGAGCGCTGTATCCCTGAATATAGTTTATTTTTTCTACATTTGAATTCTGTTGTAGATTTATGTAAAAATACATTCTTTTTGAAAATAAAAATTTTCATGTCTTCTAATTTAGTCTGGTGAGAATTTCTTAACTTAAAACGTAGCTGTCTCTGTGGGGTGGGAGGGCGGCCGCCCTGGGGCTTTGTCCCCGGTGGTGGGGGTGGTGTCTGGTGAGCCAGGGTGCCCCGCAGGACAGTCCTGGGTTTTTACAGTAACCTTAGGAAAGTCATCTATTTGTGCTAATTATTCTATGTATTTTGTATTGGTTTTTCCACTCTTAGGTATATACCTGTGTGCTAATTACTGACAGTGTTAGGCAGGTAGGCACGGATGAGGAGAGGTCCTCCAAAGTCCTGCTGCCACCACCATGCTGGGGCGTATCTTCCAGGATATGCGTTATAAACTAACAGGAGCTTTCAGATGTGAAGAGTGTGGCGCCCCCCAGTTTCCTGTCCCTGCTGCAGGAACTTCATCGTTGTTCATCGGCTCCTCCTGTTATTTCAGTACAAATCCCAGACATTCTACCATGTAAGTGGTGAACGCATGGTATCTCAAAACAAGTCTCCAGAAGCATTATTACCACAATGCCATTTTCATACCAAAAAAGTTCTCCAACCCCCTGCCTTTTTTTTTTTTTTTTTTTTTTTTTGAGATAGGGTCTTGCTCTGTTGCCCAGGCTGGAATACAGTGGTGTGATCATGACTTACTGCAGCCTCAACCTCTTGGACACGAGTGATCCTCCCACCTCAGCCTCCCAAGTAGCTGGGACCACAGGCACATGATATCATGCCTGTCTAATTCTTTTATTTTTGAGACAGGGTTTAACTCTGTCACCCAGGCTGGAGTGCAGTGGTGCCATCTCAGCTCACTGCAATCCCCACATCCCGGTTCAAGCGATTCTTGGGCCTAGCCTCCCGAGTAGCTGGGATTACAGGCCCGGCTATTTTGTGTATTTTTAGTAGAGTTGGGGTTTTGCCATGTTGGCCAGGCAGGCCAGCGAATTTTTGAATATTTTTATTGCAGAGACAGGGTCTCACTGTGGTGCCTAGGCGTGTCTCAAACTCCTGGCCTCCAGTGATCCACTTCTGCCTCCCAAAGTGCTGGGACTGCAGGCGTGAGCCATTGTACCCAGCCCCCCTAAAGTTATTTAATTGAATATCTGATGTTCAGATTTCCCGTTGTCTTAGTATGTTTTAAAAAATTGTGCCTGTGCACACATACACACACATACACACACATACACACGTCACATGCATGTGTACACATATATATGCATGTAGTGCACACCTGTACATGGGTGCACACAAGTACATTTGTGCAGCAAACCACAGCATGTGTATGTGTATGTGTATGTAGATGTACCTGCAAGGTATGTGTGCATAGGGTATGTGTGTGCACATGCACAAATGCATGCATACACATGTATGCTTGTGTATGGAATCAGGAACCAGACAAGGTCTTCACCTGCATCTGGTTAGTTTACTAGCTGTTTTTTTTTTTTTTTTTGGAGACGTCTTGTTCTTGCCCAGGCTGGAGTGTAGTGGCACGACCTCAGCTCACTGCAACCTCTGCCTCCCAGGTTCAGGTGATTCTCCTGCCTCAGCCTCCTGAGTAGCTGGGACTACAGACCCCCACCCACCACGCCCATCTAATTTTTGTATTTTTAGCAGAGATGGGGTTTCACCATGCTGCCAGGCTGGTCTCGAACTCTTGATCTCAAGTGCTCCGCCTGCCTTGGCCTCCCAAAGTTCTGGGATTACAGGCGTGAGCCACTGAGCCCGGTCCCTCGAGTCTTTTTAAATCGCCAGGTCCTCCCTCTTTTTTCTGTGCCATGTATCGTTGAAACCAGGTCGTTTATCTTGTGGCCTCCTGGTCTGGTTTTGCTGAGTGCGTCTCCGTGGGGCTGTTCAGCATCTTCCTGTCTCCTGTGTTCCCTGTAACCTGGCAGTGGGGGAGGCAGCCGGCCATGCTCCATGCACCCACCACGGTGGGTGGTGCTGTGTGCGTGTTCAAACAGCTGACTCATTAGCAGATTGGTTTTATTTGATAAACATCTTTCCAGTCCTTACTTGAGTCCTATGTTAAAAAACATACAGGAGTTTGTGCCTATGACAGACGTGATGCACGGGGACACACAGGCCAGGCGAATGCTCTCATCACGCTTGCCATTCTCACTCTCTGGGGTGCCTTTCTGGTGGTTTCCATCTATGGGAAACCATGCACAGGTGGGGTCTATCTGTGTCATTTAGGAAAACAAGCTGTGTGGCACATCCTGGCACATCCTGCTCTTCAGCCCATGAAGGAAGCTCTCAAAACACTGCGGTGGGGTAAGGTGTTGGCAGTGTGGATTCACCGTCCCAGCAAGGAGCTACCTTAGGGTCAAGGATGAGTTCTGAGAAATAGGAGAAAAGAAAGACTCAGTGAAGAGGAGAATCAGGTATGGTTACCCAGAGGAAGGGCAGAGGATGCTGAATCCCAGTAGAGTGATGCCCGCTCCTGGGCTGTGGGCTGAGATGGCATTTCATGCCCTTGGGGGAGACCCTGACCCTCACCACCAAGCCCGACAGGTGTGGTGGAGCAGGGGGTGCAGGTACTGTTAAAGGTGAGATCCACTTGGCAAAGATTTTATGTAACTCAACTAATGAGGGGACCTGTAAGATGTTACAACCGCTTGAAAGTACCACACTTACGCAGGGAAACGAATGCTAAGACAAATTGCAAATAGATTCAAACTGGCAAAAGGTCAAAATCCACAGTAATAATCACATCCCACTGGGCAGGCACATTGAGCTTCCTACGATTTCGAGCTGTGAACAATGAACAGCAAAGAGCAAAGGTGGAGAGGACCTGGATGGCTGCTTAGACTCCTTAGGTTGAGCAAAGGGTTTTTTCCTTATGCCTATTTCAAGGTCTCTCTGTTTTTCCTGATAGTCGACTCTTCTGTCAAAAGCTTGGTGAGCAGGAGGGAGGGTTCCCATAAGGTCTTTTGGGGAGGGAAATACCAGAATATGGGGTGACCCCGAGGGGAGGGGCTCTAACAGATGAAGGCCGCTTGGTAGCTTCATTGTCGGGGTGCAGGGGGCGAGCTGGGCTGCGGTTTCCAGCCTCCAGGCTGAGCCCTCACCTGGATCGGCCCACTCTCTCCTAAGGGATGCAGCCAGGCTGTGGCTTTAACGTGGCTGGTGTGCTGACTGCGCAGTCCTGAGCCCTGGAGCGGCGCGCACTTGGCCTGCCTATTTTCCACATCCCAGGCCTCAGTGCCGGGCCCTCCAGCTCCCGGGGCCTGCGCCTCCCGCAGCCTTGGCTGTTTCAGCAGGTGGCACCGCGTCCTTCCCCGGAGGGGGACTGACACCCTGCAGTTACCCCTGACCCTGCCCTCCACGGCTGTTGGCACATCTTCTCCAGAACCCAGGGCTCTCAGCCCCTCCATGGTGCCCGCACCCGGCCTCCGGCCTCGCCCCGCCGCAGCCGCGAAGGTCTTCCCGCTGCCATCCTTGCCCGCTGGGCTGTTCTCAGCGTGGCCGCCAGGGATGTCCTTTGAGCTCATTCGGTCCCGTCCCTCCCCTGCGGGAGGTTCTCCAAGGTCTCGCCCTTGCCGAGGGTCGAAGCTCAGGTCCTTGCACAGGTCCCTGGGGCCCCGGGCCAAACGGGTCGTCCCCTGATCCCTCTCCTGGCCCCTGGCTCCCCTCCAGCCCCGGGACCTTGCGGGGCCCTCCCTGCGTCTCAGGGCTCCGAGGTCCTCGCGCCGCCTTGGATCTGGACTTGGGTGTGGACCTCCCCGTCCGCCCTGCTCGCTGGAGCGGGTCTCCACGGGGCTCGGGGCGGAGGCTGTGGAATGGCCGGGAATGCGCTCCGGCCGGGCAGCGGCTTCGCTCGGTAGCTGCCGTATCTCCGGGCCGTGCCCAGTGCTTAGTTTTCTGTGAATGAATCAATGTTGAGCGGAAACTTCCGTCAGGCTTTGAACCAGGCCCTGAACGTTTGCGATGCTAGGGACGCGCCCGTCAACCCGCCGAGCCGCCCTGTGCCTCATGCGGCGACCGAGGCGCCCTCGGGAGACGGGCCCTGTCGGGTGTCGAGACGCGAACACGACCCAATGCCAAGAACGGGCGGTGAAGATGAACGGAAAAGCCCCAAGCAGCGGCGGAACGGCGCGCCCGTGCACAAGTGCGACCCGCGCCCGTGTCCCAAGGAAAGAAGATAAAAGATAAAACGAAAAATGCCCCGGGGCTTTGCGGTGACTCACGCCTGTAATCCCCGCACTTTGGGAGGCCGAAGCGGGCGGATCACCTGAGGTCAGGAGTTCAAGACCAGCCTGGCCAACATAGCGAAACCTCGTCTCTACTAAAATTACAAAAAAATTAGTCGGGCGTGGTGGCGCGCGCCTGTAATCCCAGCTACTCGGGAGGCTGAGGCAGGAAAATCGCTTGAATCCAGGGGGTGCAGGTTGTAGTGAGCCGAGATCGCGCCATTGCACTCCAGTCTGGGCGACAGAATAAGACTCCGTCTGAAGAAAAATAAAAAACAAAACACCAAAAAAAAAAAAACGATGGTTAGATGCCACGAAGTAGGTGGCAATGCCTTAACCGTATGCGTGTTGTCAGGCCCGAGGGCCTCTTCCATCCTTGTCAAGGGGAGTGCTAACCTTCTCTCCTTTCATACAACACGCCTCGGCTTCCCTGCGCACTTTATTTAAGGACGAAAGCTCCACTCGCCTTTCGGTGAGGGTGACTTCTTGTTCGCTATCCATGGAGGTACATTTATAAAAATGTCACGGTTCAGTGGGAAACCACAAATGTTCGCATTCAATTAATCGTCTTTTTTAAAATTTGAACGTGTAAGAAAAAAATCTACCACTTTTCGTGCCCTAATATATTCATAAAAGTAGCCAATTAGAAGCTGAGGGGAACAAACGGAAGTCCCGAGCGTCCTTCAGAGAAGTAGATTCCCCCGGAAACAAAACAGGGCGGGCGCGCACCTCCTGCGGCGACACGCCTAGCAGACGGCGGAAGGCGGGAAGAACTGTCTACGGAAGTGGAAGGTTGGTAACGAATCAGAGAACAAGGATCGGAAGATCCGTTCCACGGACTTCCGGACGCGGCCCTGCCCCGGGAACTGCGGGTGTTCAGGACCCTGTGGTGCGCGGGACGCCGCCCGCGCATGCGCCGCGCCGGCTCAGCCCCGTTTTCGCAAGCTCTGCGTGGTCTTGGGTGGCGAGTTCGAGCCTTAGAACGGCCGAGTGCCCTGGAACCGGTTTCGGCTCTGGCGTCCTCGCGTGTCCTCCGGCTCCAGGTTACAACGTCAGTATTGGCGCCTTGGCGCGGTCCCGTCCTGCTCTCGTCCTCCGTTCCGTGGACCCCGGGGCTGTTCTGGCGCCTCGCAGGCCGGGCCCCTCCCATCGACTCGATGGGCAGGGCTCTGCGAGGCTCGGGGACCGGGGACGCGCGGCCTTCCTGACAAGGAGCCCGAGGGTCTGCACAGCCTGGGGCACCACCCGGCCTGGTGAGGATGATCGCTGTGCGCGCGATGCACATGCGCCCTCAACACCTCTGCACATTCATGCACGTGTCCATACATGGGTGCACACACGTCCTTACACGTATGTACATACGCATGTGTACACACGCCCATGTCTACACGCGCACATGTCTGCACACGAGTCACACGTGCAAGTGCACGCATGGATGGTGGACACGCGTTTACACACGTGAATATGTGTATACACATGCAGACACATGTGCCTGCCCACATGGATGTGTGCACAAACAAGCACAGAGGTCCTCAGTGGCTCACTCCTGGTGGCCGTGTGCTGTGGGCTGGGAATGGCCATACTCATTTCTCAGAGCTTTTGAGTTGTGTGTGTTTCCAGTTGTGCATATTAATTAGAAAAAACAAAAGTGAATTTGTAGGTTAAGGCAGGTCCTTAAGTTTCCTTAATTTCCTCTCCCTGGAGACCTGGCAGGCTGGGCCGGGCACTGCTGCGGAAGGCCAGCCGCACCCTGAGTCAGGTCTTCTCCAGAAGGTTCAGGGCAAGCTCTGGATTACAGATAGGAAACCAAATGCATGAGGAAGGCACTGCTCACCCTGCAATGACGGTCAAGGTGTGGGGTGGGGAGCAGCAGCCTGGAGGTCAGAGCCAGGACCTTGGGGGCTGAGAGTGGTGTGCTTGCCTGGTGATCTTCAGCAATGGGAGGCCTGGTGTCACCCTGGGGCCCAGACTGTGAAGGACTGGTGGCTTTGGGGATCTGCGTGATCCAGGGGGCCCAAGCATCTGCCCAGCCGGCATTCTGTGCACTGCCCACCTGCCTGTGTTGTCAACGAGGACGGGGTTTGCTAAAATGCAGATTCTTGCCTCTTCCCTAGTCTGAGTCCAGGGTCTGTGGTCAGGCCTGGGAATCTGTATTCATTGAGGCCCTTTGGGTCCCGCCATCATAGCAGCCTGTCTTTACTTTGGGTGGAGGTCGGAGGTCTGCACATCACCCAGGAGGCTTACCAGTGGTAACCCAAGAAGAGGGAAGATGGCAAGAGGGTCTTTGCAGGGTTGGGAGGGCAAGGATGGAAGGACCTGGGAGGCCACAGCACCCTCTCGGACTTGGCGCAGAACCCGTGGAAACAGCCTGCGATGCACGGATGGAGGTGGCTTTGCCCTGTGTCTGCTGGTGCCTCTGGAACTCCGGCTCTGACAGACGCTGCGTCTCCTGCTGACTGCTGCATCCCAAGATGAGCCCAGCGCTTGCACACAGGGCGTCCCAAAGTGTTTGTTGAACAAAGGCATGATCAGTGTTGGTATTGCCCTGAGACTCATGCCCTCAGCCCCGATTCGGGCACATGGCTCATGTCAACCGCTGGAAGTCCCTCTGGGGCCCACAAATGTCTCTAGACCACAGGAAGAGTCGGCCTGGCTCCATGTGCCTGGCGCCTGGGGCAGAAAGGTGGACGGGGCAATCAGAGTGGTCACCATCGGGGAGTACACTTTGCACTCCACTCGAGTCTCCAGGGATATAACTCACTGGATCCTAAGTCTCACTTTCTGAGGGCCGTTCTTAGAGTCTCCTGTATGAAATCAGGCTACATCCAGAGAAAGTTCCAGAAATAAGAAAAGATGAGATCGCCTACTGACCCTCCCATTTTTTGCACACGGACACTGAGGGAGGGGAGGAACTTGCTCAAGGGCACCACACAATTTTTTTTTGAGATGGAGTCTCAAAGATGGAGAATTCCTCCAACCATGAGGAATTTGAACGCTTATCCCGAATAGTGGAAAATGAACGTCTCATGGAGTTAGGGCCTGTCACCACCTGGGGATCTACAGTCAGACATGGCATAGAGGATGCCCTCCCAGATCCCGCTCTGTCTCCCAGACTGGAGTGCAGTAGTGCCACCTTGGCTCACTGCAACCTCCGTCTTCCGGATTCAAGCGATTCTCTGGCCTTAGCCTCCTGAGTAGATGGGATTACAGGCGCACACCACCACACCCGGCTAATTTTGTATTTTTACTAGAGATGGGGCTTCACCATGTTGGCCAGGCTGGTCTTGAACTCCTGACCTCAAGTGATCCACCTGCCTCAGTCTCCCAAAGTGCTGGGATCACAGGCATGAGCCAACATACCCAGCCCACCCCATGAGTTATTGCTAGAGTGGTGGGGTAGGGACCCGGCCCCCAGCTCTCAGTGCTGGACATGGGCAGGGTGGGCATGGGTTCCCTTCCAGCCCTGGCAGAGCCCTGGACCATGCGTGCTTTTCCCCTCAAGTGTCGAGGCAGGCAGGGCTGCTGCATAGAATACAAGATGCCCCATTGAGATGGAATCTCAGACAAATGAGTCATGTTTTACTGTAAGCATATCCCAAATATTTCATGGGACACACTTATACTAAAACTTATTCATTGTTTATCTGAGCTTCAAATGTAGTGGAGTGCCCTGTATTTTTATTTGCTAAATTTGGCAGCCCTAGTAACGGGAGCTGGAAGGCTTTTGTTATTTGCCCTCAAGCAGCATTTCCTGGCATTGGCTTCAGTGACCAGTTGTCTCTTGAAATGTCCCATGGACAGAAGGGAAGAAAACTGGGAAATACTGTGTTAAATAAACTTGCACAATTCCTTTTTTTTTTTCTTTAAAGAAAAGCCTAGCCGGGCGTGGTGGCTCACACCTGTAATCCCAGCACTTTGGGAGGCCAAGAAGGGCGGCTCACAAGGTCAGGAGTTTGAGACTATCCTGGCCAATGTGTTGAAACCCCATCTCTACTAAAAATAAAAAAATTAGCTGGGTGTGGTGTCGGGTGCCTGTAATCCCAGCTACTTGGGAGGCTGAGGCAGGAGAATTGCTTGAACCCAGGCGGGAGGTTGCAGTGAGCTGAGATCACGCCGCTGCACTCCAGCCTGGGCAACAGAGTGAGACTCCGTCTCAAAAAAAAAGAAAAGAAAAGAAAAGAAAAAAGCCTATTAGTTGGCAGGAGGGCTTATGAAAATGAGGCCTGGGGGATGTGTCATTTACTCAACTGTCTTGGCTAATGGGATCTCTAGGCTGGTGAGGTTGCGTTCTGTGTTTTTTTTTTTTTTTTTTTTTTTTTTTGAGACGGTGTCTCGCTCTGTTGCTGAGGGTGGAGTGCAGTGGTGCGATCTCGGCTCGCTGCAACCTCTGCCTCCCAGGTTCAAGCAATTCTCATGCCTCAGCCTCCAGAGTAGCTGGGATTACAGGCATGTGCCACCATGCCCAGCTACTTTTTTGTGTTTTTTCTAGAGACAGGATTTCACCATGTTGGCCAGGTTGGTCTCGAACTCCTGACCTCGAGTGATCCGCCCACCTTGGCCTCCCAGAGTGCTGGGATTATAGGCGTGAGGCACCGCTCCTGGCTGTGTTCTATGTTCTGTAAAGGAAAACAGTGCAGGTAGGAGAAAAGAGGGGCCTGGGAAGGGAAGAAAACAGCAGGGAAGAGGAGGGCTGAAGACAGAGCAGGAGGAAGGCTGAGTGGCTTTAGCTCTTTGGCCTAACCCAGACCAGTCAGAGTTCACTCTGGGCACCTCCCAGTGGCAGCCACTTGATTTGCAGGCAAAGAGCTTGGAGACCGGCTCTGCAAATTCAGCCTTATCCATGTCCACATGGGTATGGCCCCGGAAAGCACTCAACAAATATGCACTAAATGGATGACTTCAGGCAGTGATCCAGATTATTCAGAGCAGAAAGCTGCTTGGGCTCTGATTACAGAAAAGTACTCCCCGCTCATCCGGATGCAGGGATACCTTCCAAGACCCCCTGTGGAGGCCTGAAACTGTGGATTGTACCGAACTGTAGAAATACAGTACTGTTTTTTTTTCCTATACATACATACCTATGATAAAGCTAGGCACAGTAAGAGATTAACAGTAATTACTAATGATAAACAGAACGATTGCCACAATATACTGCTGTAATAAAGTTAGTGTGTGTGATCTCTCTTTCACAATATCCTAGTGTTCCATGCTCACCTAGTTTCCGGCCACTATTGACCGTGGGTACCTGAAATTGCAGAAAGCAGAAACTCAGATAAGCAGGGACTACTGTACTCTTTTTTTTTTTGAGACAGAGTCTCGCTCTCACCCAGGCTGGAGTGCAGTGGTGTGATCTCGGCTCGCTGCAACCTCTGCCTCCCAGGTTCAAGCAATCCTCCTGCTTCTACCTCCCAAAGTACTGGGATTACAGGCATGAGCCACCACGCTCGGCCCTGTACTCTTATTTGCAGGCTCACATGGCTTTAGGGAGACTGTATTTTCCAGAATGCTGATGACATTTCTGCTCCAGATCTGGGGAAGTGTTGGTGAGTCAGTACTCAGCAGGATAGAAGGCTGAGGACAGTTTGGGCCCCCACAGGTGGCCATTCTCCCTCCCCAGAAACCTGGCCATGTGGTGGGCCGAGGCTGCCCGCTCTTTCGAAACTCCAAGCTCTGGGCACCCACAAGGAAGGAAGGACGAAGCGAGGGTGGAGTGAGTGCAGTGAGAAGCGCTCCTCCCGGCCGCCAGCACCATCCTGCGGAGTTAGTGATGTGGCGGGATCAGAGTTCAGTCTTTACAGGGAATGTCTCCTGGAGACACATCTTACTGGCAGCATCTGTGGGCTGCCTGGGGTGGGGTGAGGCAGGAATGGGGTGGCCTGACCCCTGCCCTGCCCACCTCTCACGCACGCACCTCCACCCACCTGCTGGCTGGTCCCAGAGGCCTTCCTAGGTTCCCGGGAGGCTCTCCGCTGGGAGCCAGGGGAAGTGTCAGAGCCAGGGCGACATTCCCAGGAATAGCGAGAGGCCCCAAGGACTCATTCCCTTTCAGAACGGAAGGCCTCGGTGACCCAGGACCCTCCTGGGGCCGTCACAAGTCTTCGA
Organism: Homo sapiens; assembly: GCF_000001405.40. NCBI lineage: Eukaryota > Metazoa > Chordata > Mammalia > Primates > Hominidae > Homo > Homo sapiens. Next base: position 134,170,249 of record NC_000009.12, read on the forward strand.
GTAACCACTGGGGCCCAGCGGGTGAGCTTCAAGGCCACTCCTAATGGCCACCACGCTGACCAGCAGCTTTTCGAATGGGCTGGTCCTTTGGAACTGCCCCTGGCTGGTGGGTGTCCCTGCCTGCCAGCCCCCGTCCTGCTGGCCTTGGCCTGGGTGGTGGGCTGGCCCCAGGGTGGGGTGTTCCTCCTACCCCTGCCTCCGCTTCCATCACTTTTTTTTTTTTTTTGAGACAGCGTCTCTGTTGCTCAGGCTGGAGTGCAGTGGCGCCATCTCGACTGATTGCGACCTCTGCCTCCTGAGTTCAAACAATTCTCCTGCCTCAGTCTCCCGAGTAGCTGGGATTACAGGCGCCCACCACCGCTCCTGGCTACTTTTTGTATGTTAGTAGAGATAGGGTTTCACCATGTTACCCAGGGTGGTCTAGAACTCCAGACCTCAGGCAATCCATCTGCCTCAGCCTCCCAAAGTGCTGGGATTACAGGCTTGAGCCACACAGCCTGGCTGCTTTGGTCACTTTGGGAACAGTATTCCAGTGTCAGGCTGCTGGGCTCGGGAGCTTGGGTGTCTGCCCCAGTCAGTCGCCCCTCTTGGGGTGGGACACCCAACAGGCATGGAACACAGGGTACCTGTGTCTTTTAGGGTGCAGGGCTGGGCAGTTCCAGCAGTGTCCACCAGGGGGCGGGGCCGCACCGCTCAGGGTGGAGCTGGAGCCACCAACCCGCATCCTGGCTGGGGCTCCCGGCTCTCACCACAGCCCTCTCCGCCTGGCTTCTCTGGGCTTGGGCAAGGCCCCTAACTGTTCTGTGCCTCAGTGTCTTTCCCCTTGAAGGGACTGATCTGCAGAGTGCCCGCCCTGGGGTTGAGCTTATGGTGAGGGCTCGGTGGCAGCCAGCCCTGACTGTCCTGTTTACCCCATGGAGAAACTGAGGCTGGAGTGTCCGCTGGACATCCGAGGTGACACCCTCAGGTGCAGCTGGCAGCGGGGCCCCAGGAGATGCTGGGAGATGCCTAGATTTGTGGGGTTCTTGGTATGTGCCCAGCACGCAACAGTTCCAGTTGCAGTCTGGACTCTCTCTGGCATTGTTTTTTTCAGAAGGTCATGTTTTCTGTGTGATACATAGAATACCTGCTCACTATAGAGACATTTAAAGCAACACTGAGCCGGGCGCGGTGGCTCATGCCTGTAGTTTCAGCTACTCCGGAGGCTGAGACTAGAGGATCACTTGAGCCCAGGAGTTCAAGACCAGCCAGGGCAACATAGCAAGACCCCATCTGTAAAAAATTTTTAAAATTTACCCAGGCGTGGTGGCACGCACCTGTGGCCCCAGCTACTCAGGAGGCTGAGGTGGGAGGATTGCTTGAACTTGGGAGGTCGAGGCTGCAGTGAGCTGTGGTTATGCCACTGCACTCCAGCCTGGGCGACAGAGTGAGACCCCATTTCTAAAAACAAACAACAAACTAAACGACAGGGAGAAAGAGTACAATAAAAACTAAAAAGAGCTCTAATCTTACCAATCAGCACGTGACGGGCACCACTGGCGTTTCTACGGAGGAGAGTCGTTGGCATTCCTGTGGGTTTTCTGTTTCCCATTGGGTCCAGAGTGTGGAGCAGCTCAGGGAGGCCCTGCAAGGGTGAGGGAAGGACGCAGCGTGCCTTTTTGTGTGTTCCAAGGTTTCCTGGGACTGGAAGACTCTGTCAGTGATGTGCAGGGGGAGCAGGAGGGTCCAGATAAGGCCCTTTCAGTGCTGTGTATCGAAGGCCCCGAGGGTTTACAATGGGATGTTTCCCTGCATGCAGATGCCTTCCCCGTCACGTCCTGGGTTCCTGAGGACCAGGCACTTTGCCCGAAGTACACAGTTACTGTGGTTTCTTTTTGCCGCCCCACCCCCCCGCCCCCAGCACTATTATGAAATGGATATTGGCCTTGAAGTAGATGGTGTCTTAGGAAGGAGAAAAAACATTTCCCTTCACAGTGCCTGTGGTGACCTCTGGGCAGAGTGGTAACCGCCCTGCCTGGCAGGCCCAGGACTCCCTGGATTTCTCCGACTCTGCAGGGATGCCCCCATGGCCTCCCAGTCAAGCCTGCTCAAGGGGCTGCCGTTCCCTGCTTCTGCAGAGAGGGTGATGACTGTCTAGGGGGAGAAGACCTCTTCTCAGGGCTCAGGGGCCTCTATTAATAAAGTGACTGCTGACCCCGGACGTACGGGAGGGAGGAGGGGATGGAACGTTCCCAGGGTTGGCGTTTGGCCGGAGACGCTTCTTGCCTGACCCAGTGCTGGCCTCCTGAGCATTCCGGTTCTGCCCTGGACCCCGAGGCTCCGATGGGCCGGAAGCCCTGCATGGACCAAGTGCTGGGGCTCCCCTTCCTCAGGGACATAAATCTCCCTGGACTGGCTCCCTGCGAGCGTCCTGAGGGCCTGAAAGAAGGAGGGACGGAGCCTCAGGCCTATGGGACCAGGAGGGACTCAGACATAGGCCATCGACCCTCCAGGAGCTGGCTCACAGCTGTTCTGGAAACTTCTCAGGCTGCACATGATCCGGCTCTGCCTCTAGACCCCAGAGGCAGCCCGCAAGAGGGCTCTTGCTGTAGTTCGCTCGCGTTCGGTTGTTTCCATGGGTGTTAGTGGGTGTGGGCTGGGGACAGGCAAGAGGACAAGTCCTCTCCACCATCAGAAGCCCGGCCTGTGCTGCAGAGACAGGAGGATGTGGTACAGGCCAGTGAGCCCAGCTCGTGTGTCTTAGTTTAGCCACTCACAGACCCCCGTGCAGTTCTCTGGGGCTGAGGTCCTCGGTACCCCAGGAGGGGAGGCAGGCGATTTTAACAAGTCATTCTAAGGACAGCACGGCTGGCAAGAGGTGGCCACTGCTGTTGCCCGGACGGACAGGTGAGAAACCCAGGGCACAGAGAGGCCACTTGCCGGCCCTACGCCACACAGGGAGTGCGGAATGACTTTGGGATAACTCCACACACACCGCGGCAGCCCCTACTTACGAGAACTTTGCGGCAACCTTGAGTGTGGGTTCTAAGCAGAAAGAGAGGCCAGGCTTCAGGGACGGGTGGTGCCACCAGGAGGGGCTTTTCTGGTCTGACAGGCCGAGTGGGGCCGGGGCCTTCGGGAGGGAGGCCGGGGCCTGCGCGGTCACCGCTGTGCCAAGGAAGAAGGCACTCCAGGCAGGGATCTGGCCCAGGCAGAGGCCCCGGGAGGGCTGCTGGTGAGGCTGCGGGGTTGGGGCTGGAGTAGGAGGTAGAATCTTCTTGGGACTGGCCCAAAAGATGTCACAGCACCAAAGTGTGGGCCAGCCTCGGGGGTCCCTCCAGGTGACATTTCAGTGCCCCAGGAGAGACCACCTCGGAGACTTGGCCCCGCAAGGCCCTAGCGCACACTGGCGGGGAGAGGCTGCCTGTTCTCCCTGCGGTAAACGCCCCGGGCCGACAGACTGGGCCGAGTCCCGTGGGCCTGGGGTCGCTTTGGTGGGTGCCCTCCCCTGCCTCGGCATTTGGACCATCCCAGAGGCTGCAGGGATTTAACTCAGGGGTGGGTGCTGGTCCCTGTAGTTGGAGCCCCGAGACCCTCCGGCCAGAGGAAGAGCCCAGCATTCCCGGCACCCATGAGAGGACCCGAATAGCCCGTTTTGAATCATACCCGCTGCCTCCACGCCCCTCGCCTGCCTCCTGCGCCCCTCGCCTGCCTCCTGCGCCCCTTGCCTGCCTCCCACGCCCTGCACCCCCATGTACCACGCCGTGTACTCTGGGGCTGGGGAGCCCTGGGGAGGCTGAAGCACTTACAGAAGCTTCCCTGGGGCACCAGAGCTCGGTGAGGGTGGAGATAAGTTAGTTTAAAAAATGCAGCCAGACAGAGCACGTGGAGGCACGAGTGGTGCCAGCTTTGCCCTCTCTCGGGCCTGCCAGTCAAGACCCCTGCCCTCTGAGTGCTTGCTGCGCATGGGCTGGAACCAGGTGCCCACGTGCATGATGTCTGGCCCCTGGGGGCTGCGCATTGCTTCCTCTTTGGGACTGCGGAGAAAGCAGAAGTTCAGAGAGGACCTCCAGCTAGTAGGGAAGAGAGAAGGAATTTGCAGGCAGCTCTGTGTAACTGCAGAGCCCAGGCTAGCCCCTGCCGTCTATCAGAGAAGCGGAGTGGTGACTGATGTCTGCTGGGAGCCACAGCTCCCTCATCCCCATTGCTGCAGATGTTTGGGAAATTCTGCTCGCAGCTCTCCCTGGGGGCCCACATGCACAGTGGCTAAAAACTCTGAGAAGTCCTGCATGGAAGAAATCTGCAGCCCCTTGCCCACCCAGTGCTTCCCAAACTTCCGCCACCACAGAGCGGCACCCATAACCCTCCACCCCTGGTCTAGGGCTCCGCAGACACACATTTTGAAAAGCGCTGCCCTTTAGAGAGCTGGGGGCAGGACGTGAGCTGATGGGAGTGGGAGGCGAACTCATGTCTCTCCTCTGCCTGCAGGGTCCATCCCAGGCAGGAGTGGATGGTCCCTGGGGGTCAGATGTGGCGCTGGGCTGCTGTGAGGGGCTGCAGTCAGGCTGTCCAGATGCCGGGGACCCCAGGGCCACCCTTTCCCTTCTCTGCCCCTGTTTTCTCCTCTGTAAATGGCAGGAGAAGCTGTGCCTGCTTGGTAGGGCTGTTGGGGGATGCCAGCACCTGGCGCAGGGAGACCCTTGACCATTGGCAGCTGTTGGGGCCCTGCAGGCGGGGGCTCAGGCTTGCTGGTCTGAGAGGTCTGAGTAGGGCGGGATCCTTACGGGAGGCAGGCCTTGTTGCTGCGGGGGTGTCCTGCCCTGCGCTAGGCCTGGTGAGAAGAGGTCCCCAACAGGCACGTGGCCTGGCCCTGTTGGAGCTTCGGGCTGGTTGGGTGGAAGAACCAGCTCTAAGCAGATGATTTCTGGATTTGAGCCATTCAGGTTCTGGGAGCTGGGGAAACTCATTTAGGGGTGGGCAGAGCTCGTTCCTGAGGAAACAGCGTGGAGGACGAGTTGGAGTTTGCCAGGGAAGAGGGGAAGGAGAGGGCTCTGGTAAGAAGAGACAGCTCTGCAAAGGCCCTGAGGCTGGGAAGAGCAGCCGCTCCCCAAGGACAGCTAGGCGGGGGCGGGGCCCAGGCGGGGGCGGGGCCCAGGCGGGGGCGGAGCCAGGGAGGAGGAAGGTGATGGGGTCAGATTCCACAGGACCCAGCTTCCTCCCTTCCCTGAGAGGTGGTTTGGGCAGAGGTGGGCAGCATGGAGGCGGTGGCCCAGGGAGTCCCTGTGGTTGCCCGGGTGGAGTGCGGGGCTGGCCTGCCCCGGTGGGGACATACGCGCTCCAGGCACCCAGCAGCCCTCACCCAGCCCATCCGTCTTGCCCCGGGCCCCCGGGTGCTGCCGTCTGGAGGGTGCTCTGTCTGGGCCTTGCCCTGGGGAGGTGGCCAGCCCAGATCCTCTACAAACAGCTCGCCCCTCCCAGCTGCCCCCATCCCCTGATGGCCCCCACTGTGGGAGATGCTGCTTTGGAGAGGGGCAGGAAGTGTCGCTGTGTTGGAAATCTGGGGGCGTGGGTCTGGAGGTGCACGCTCGATGCCCCTGCCCACACGGGGTCTGTCACGGTGCCGGGTTCTGAGGGGCTGGGGGGGCCCAGGGTGGGCTGAAGGACCCAGCGCAGTGGGTGACAGAGCAGGAGGTGCTCCCAGAGCTGTCCTTGGTGAGGGAGGTGTGGCGGTCACTGGTGGGGGCTTCTGTTGGTCCCTCCTGCTGTGAGGGGCGCTGCGTCCACTTGGGGGCAGCTCTGTCCCGGCTCCCACCTGGAGGCAGGGGAAGCACTTTGCCCAAGATCATGGGAGGGTCGGGTTGGGTGTCATCTTTCAGGCCACAGGCCCTGGCCCCAACGTCCCGGGGAACAGTGAGGACACTGCCCAGAGCGCCTGGACCCTGACCCAGGGACCCTGGCCTTGCCCCGTGGCCCTGGCAGCCTCTGCTATTTCTGGTCCTGCTGAGCTGGGGCTGCTCATGGCCGCCGCTCCCTGCAGGCGCCGCACGCGGTTGCTGGCCGCAGAGGGGACCCCTGCATATGCTCCAGAAGTGCAGGGTGACCAAGCACCTCCTGTCAGCTGGCCTCGGGCTAGACGCTGGGGGTGCAGTGCGAACCCTAAATAAAGGCAGGAAGGGCCCTGGCGCTGCCCCATGGAGCTCTGAATCCAGTGTGGTCGGCACACAGCGGTGTCGGGGACACAGACACGGAGGTCCCGCTAACTAAGGCTGGGTCCCGCTTGGTCCCTGGGAAGCAAGGACAGCTCTCTCTGTGGGTGTCCAGCGGCTGCTGTGACGAATGAGCACATGCTGGGAGGCTTCCGACAACAGAGAATGATTCTCTCCTAGTGCTGGGGGCTGAAGAATCGGGGTGTCTCAGGGCTTGGCCCCCTCAGAGGCTCCAGGGGAGGGTTCTGCCTGCTGCTTCCAGCTTCTAGAGGCTCCAGGGGTTCCCTAGCTTGTGGCCACATGGTTCCCATCTCTACCTCTATCTTCACACAAGCCTCCACTTCCCCCATGTCGCTCCACTACTGCCTATGTCTCTCCTCTGCCCGGTGTCTCCTCTCCCTCCTGTGTCTCTCCTCCTCCCCCCGTGTCTCTCCTCCCATGTCTCTCCTCCTCCCCCATGTCTCTCCTTCCCCTCCATGTCTCTCCTCTCCCCACCGTGTCTTTCCTCCTCCCCCATGTCTCTCCCCCCGTCTCTCCTCCTCCCCCCATGTCTCTCCTCCCCCATGTCTCTCCCCGTCTCTCCTCCTCCCCCCATGTCTCTCCTCCCCCATGTCTCTCCCCGTCTCTCCTCCTCCCCCTGTGTCTCTCCTCCCATGTCTCTCCCCCCGTGTCCCTCCCCCCATGTCCCTCCTCTCCCCCTGTCTCTCCTCTTCCCCCCGTGTCTCTCCTCCTCCCTGTGTCCCTCCTCTCCCCCGTGTCTCTCCTCTTCCCCCCGTGTCTCTCCTCCTCCCCCGTGTCTCTCCTCTTCCCCCCGTGTCTCTCCTCTTCCCCCCGTGTCCCTCCTCCTCCCCCGTGTCTCTCCTTTCCCCCATCATGTCTCTCCTCCTCTCCGTGTCCCTCCTCTCCCGCTGTGTCTCTCCTCTTCCCCCCGTGTCTCTCCTCTCCCCCCATGTCTTTCCTCCTCCCCGTGTCCCTCCTCTTCCCCCCGTGTCCCTCCTCCTCCCCGTGTCTCTCCTCTTCCCCCCGTGTCCCTCCTCCTCCCCGTGTCTCTCCTCTTCCCCCCGTGTCCCTCCTCTCCCCCGTGTCTCTCCTCCTCCCCGTGTCTCTCCTCCTCCCCCTGTGTCTCCCTTCTGTATGTCTCCTAAGGACAGTTGTCATTGGATTAAGGGTCACCTGGACAATCCTGACAGTCTTCTCCCCAGTAACTTAGCCACATGTGGGAAGACCCCCTTTCTAAAGAAGGTTCCAGCCACAGGCTCCGGGGGCCACGGTCAGCCCACGACGCTCTCCACGCTTCAGTTTCCACATCTGTAGAATGGGGATGCAGTGAAGCCTGTCGGGCTGGGCAGTGAGGTGTAGTAATGGCACCGTGACTTTTGTCAACCCCTCTCCTGTGCCAGCCCAGACCCTCCTCCTTTGCCACCCGAGGTGAAGCCGCCCCTCCCAGGACCCAGGACCGGGGTTTTAGCCCCTGCTGGGCAGCCTGTCCCTCCCGTGTGTGGGGAATGGGGAGATTCTTGCTGGGGATGGACAGGGGCTGGGATCTTTAGCCCCGGATGGAGGTCTGCACTGTGACATGTGGAGCACGTGATTCCAGGGCCTCGTGGACCCAAGAAACTGGGCTTTTTAGTGCTTCCAATGCACCTTCTGTCAGCCCCGATGAAACGCACAGGTGACACGGCACCTGCCATCCACGCCAACCCCAGCTGCACCCCTCGGGCCCTCACCCGTCCTTTCCACCCCTCGAGCACCCCCAGTTCTTCCTGCTTCAGGGTCTCTGCCGCTGCCCCGTCTTCTCCAGCCTGCTGGGCTGGCTGTGCTGTCCCCACCGGGTGCCTGAGCTGGATGTGGTCGCCCCACCTTTTGCAGGGCCCTGAGGCGGCACCCACTGCTGAGGCCCCACTCCTGCGCTGGCCAGGCCTACCGTGCCATCCAGAGGGCACAAGCAGGGGGCCTCATGGCAAAGGTGGCACCAAGGGGCTTCAAATTCACAGCTGAGGGATGTCAGGGGAGAAGGAGAGGGCTCCAAGTGGGGGCGACAGGAGTGAAGGTGAGAGAGGAGGCGTGCCCGGGCATGGCATGGATGCCCACCAGGCATGGGGGTTGCCGTGTGAGTGTGCTCTGCCCACCGGTGGGTAGGGGCAAAGCACACTTCTGTGCCAGGGCATCTCCATGGGCCGGCGGTGTGCCTGGCCTCTGGGGAGGCTGAAATGGCCCAGCCAGCCACAGCCGAGGGCCCTGCCAGGTGGGGCAACTGCCTGGACACTGACCCTCCCAATGCCCCTTTCAGTTTGGTGCCACTGGCCTCATTTCAGATGAAGCAACGTCTCCTTAGAGAGGCACATGCACCCCCAGTGTCTCCCAGCCAGGCCCTCCTCTCTGCATGGGGTCCGTGGTGAAGACGGGAATGGAGGGGGCTGGCGGCCAGGTCACAGCTGTCCACACACACAGTGCCTTGGCCCGGAAGATCCTGCCGTCGGCCCTTCTCGTTAGCAAACAGGCCCGCAGCCCTCTGCCACTGCCAGTCCGTGTGGCTGCCCGGCTCCCTGCAGGGCGCCCTCGCTGGCTGACGGATACCCGCGTGCTCTCATTTCTTCCTGCCCGGGTCTCCTATTTATTTAGCCTGGAGTAACCCCTGCTGTTGCCTCTGCTCAGCTGGGAGCTAGCATCCTCTGTGCTTGGCCCTGCAACCTTGGGATTCTAGTCCCCGTGTTCCTCTGTCTTTCCAGGCTCTTGTCCAGTGTGAGCCCAAGGGACCCATCATTCAGGCTGCGGTGTGGACTGAGCACCCGGGGCCAGTGCTGCTGAGTGTTGAGCTCTCTCCCCTGCTTCCTGTTTCCTCCCCTGCAAACTCGGGTGAGCCCACCTCTCTGGAGGGGCCAGGCTAGGAGCAGACAAGGCCCTGTGTGCACAGTTTGAATGACACCAGCACACACCGTGGGCGCTGGAGAAGACCAGATGAGGTGATCCGCGGGTGTGGGCTCCTGGAGGGACCAGGTGCGTGCCGCGGACGGTTTTGTCTGAGCTGAGAGCGCATTTCAGGTTTCTAGGGAGGCCAGGAAGCCCTCAGGAGGGGCTGTCCGGATGTCCCACACTGGGAAGAGGTGGCATGGATGGGCATGGCTTCTAGAAGGAGGAGTCTGGGGGCGAGCATGTGAACAGGTTAGGAAACTGCAGAGCTCAGGAAGCAGCCTAGCAGGTGTCAGCCAGGAGTTCTGGGAAGTCTTTTTCAAAGAGGTGAGGCTCAGCTTTGATCTGAAGGACAAGAAGGAGCTGGTGACACGGAGATCTGGAGAAGGGGAATTCCAGATGCTGGGGCCAGCACGTGCAAAGGCCCTGGGGTGGGAATGAACCAGTCCTTGGAGGATGAGCCTAGGAACAGGACGAAGCTGGTGGAGGGGGCTCTTTGGGAGCCCAGAGACGCCTCCTTGTGCAGACAGCTCCCCATCTCAGCCTCAAGGAAGCGGCCCCGCCAAGCCTGTCTTCCTCCGTGGTACTTGCGGGTGGTCCTTCCTATGCTGGCCTTGTCCTCTCCCTCAGCCGATGGCTCCCTCGTGCACTCGATCATTGTCGCCTTTGGCCCCTCACTCCCCCCAGTACCAAGCAAGTCCCCTGACCCTCACACTCCAGGCCTCTGATGTCTGCAATCCCACCTTAACCCCACACCCATCGACACCCCAACTTCCAGCACCTCTCACACCCTCTCACCTCACAACCCAAAACCCCCAGGGCCGGATGAGCCTCACCCCCGCGGTGTCCTCTCTGTGGCTGTCCCTCTTGGGAGCTGCCTCCTTTCACTGCATCCCTGTGCGGTGAGCTCCCATTCCACCCCGCGCCCCTCTGGCCGTCCTGCCATTCCCTGGCTCATCTCACAGAGAAACCTCAGCGGGGCACGATGCCCTCGCAGCCCCCACTCCCTCCCCATTCACCCACAGATCTCCTCCACTCCAGCCCGGCTCCCCCTCCCCTGGGGATCCTGTGACCTCCGCATGAGGGTGCGTCTCCTCCTGAGCGTGGCCTCCTCCTTTTACCTTTCCTTCCCTCTGGAGGTCTCTGGGCACCCCCCTCCACCATCCCTTCTCCGTCCCCGCTGGGCTGCCCTGTTTTTTCCACCAGGGTGTCTGCAATTCAATGTGTCCAGTGCCCAAGTCCGAGGGCCCCTTGCCCACTGCCCAGGCCAGCTCCCCTGCTCCGTCCAAGGTGCTCAGGCCCCGAATCCCGGATCCTTGCTGGCTTCCTTTCGCTCACATCTGCCCGCATCCATGAGGAATCCCTGCTGCCTCCTCCCTGCAGGCCCAGGATCCATCTTCTTCCCCAGCATGCACCCACATGCCAGGGTCTCTTCCTGGTCTCCTATCCACCAGGCAGCCAGCCCAGGTCAGAGCCTGGAGCTCCTCTGCCCCAGCCAGCCAGGGCTCACCAAACCCCGGATCCTGCCTGGCTTCTGAGGCCCTGTGGGGCTGCCCGCCATCCCTTGGGCCTCCACTGCCTCCTGGCTCCTCCCTGGATGGCCGAGCTGGCTCCAGTCCGTGATGGCCCCTGCCCTCTTCAGCCTGGGCCATGCTAAGGGCATCACACACCCACTCCCGCCCTCACTTCTCTCTCCACACCTGCAAGGCCTTCCCTGGCCGCCTCAGCATCCCTGTGTCCCATTGGCCCCCTGTTCTTCACAGTGGGGACGGGTTCCCATGTGCACAGCTGTCTCTCTGCCCCGGTCTCCTCCTGGCATGCAGCCTCCTCGACGGCTTGCTATTCCATGGTGGAATTGCAGGGCTGCAGCAGGGCCTGGCTCAGGGCAGCAGCCCACGGGAGCGTGGGGACTGGGATTGGGAGGACGGGAGAAGGAGAGGAACCAAGGAGAGATGGAGACAGAGTCCCCCATCAGAGAGAGCAGGGAGAGGGGGTGAGGTGGCCTCCCTCTGCCCCTGGACCGTGTAGGAGGGCAGGTCCCCCAGAGTGGCAGGTCCCCCGGAGTGGCAGGGACTTAGCAGTGTGCACTCCCCACTGTGCCGCCTGCAGGACCCACAGAGTTTGGGGGTCACTGGGCACACACGCCCAGGCAGCGCTGAGGGTGGACATCCTGTTGCTTTCAGGGGCCTCCTGGAGGTGGCCTGTCTTCACCTGTGAGGTGGGCATGGCATACGCACCAGCTGCCACCTGCCCACGGGTCCTGCTGCAGCTGGGCCCAGCTGGAGAGGTGTGCAGGATGTGGGATCCCTGTGCCAGGACCTGAAGGTTGAATAGCAGATCATCAGGTGACACAGGGTGGCCTTGATTTCAAAGGCCACTGCCTGGAACTGAGACGGTGACAGGGCACCGGCCTGGGATGGCCCGGTCACAGCCACGCTCCAATTTTGCCCTCTGAGGCAGTGGGTGGGGTCAGGTGTCGCCACCATGGTTCTAGGTGAGAGCTGCGGCCAGGGGTGGAGTCACTCATTCAGGAAACTGCCGTGGGGTTTGCAGACAGGACTCCCAGGCACCAGACCACAGCCCCCTTCCCAGCTCTGCAAGGAGTTGTTGAAAAGCAGTAATGTTTAGTGTTTTATTGTCATCAGGAAAGTGAAACAGATTCGTTATTCAAAGTATAGAAGAATAGGCCAGGCGTGGTGGCTCATGCCTGTAATCTCAGCACTTTCGGAGGCTGGGGTGGGCAAATCCCTTGAGCCCAGGAATTTGAGACCACCCTGGGCAACAGGATGAAACCCCATCTCTACTGAGAGAGAAAAAAAAAGGAGCCGGGTGTGGTGGTGCACGCCTGTGGCCCCGGGTACTCTGGAGGCTGAGGCAGGAGGGATGACTTGAGCCTGGGAGGTCGAGGCTGCAGTGAGCTGTGATTGTGCCACTGCACTCCAGCCTGGGTGGCAGAGTGACAGTGAGACTCTGTCTTTAAAAAAAAAGAGAAAAGAAAAGACAAAGGGACTTAGAGGTATAGAAAAGTAAAAAAAGAAAATCAATTGGACTACCCCTGTCAATATTTTGTAGTAAATTTTTGCTGCTATTTTCCCCATGTGCTGTGTGGTGTGTGGTGTGTGGTGTGTGGTGTGTGGTGTGTGGTGTGCTGTGTGTGGTGTATGTGTGGTGTGTGTGGCATGTGTGTAGTGTATGTGGTGTGGTGTGTGTGCTGTGGTGTGCTATGTGTGGTGTGTGATGTGTGTGGTGTGTGTGTATGACGTGCCTGTGGTGTGGTGTGCTGTGTGTGGTGTCAGTGTGTGTGGTGTATGTGTGATGTGCTGGTGTGTGTGGTATGTGGTGTGTGGTGTGTCTGTGGTATGTATTGTGTGTGGTGTGTAGTGTGTGTGGTGTGTGTGTGTGGCATGTGTGGTGTGTTTAGTGTTTGGTGTATTGTGATGTGTGTGGCGTGGTGTGTGTGGTGTGCATGTGGTGTGTGTGGCATATGTGGTGTTTGTGTGGTGTATGTGTGTGTGGTGCGTGTGTGTGGCATGTGTGGTATGTGTGGTGCGATGTGTGCTGCATGTGGTGTGTGTGGTGTTTGTGTGCTGCATGTGGTGTGTGGTGTGTGTGGTGTGTATGATGAGGTGTGGTGTGTGTGGTGTATGTATGGCATGTGTGTGGTGTGTATGGTGAGGTGTGGTGTGTGTGGTGTGTATGGTGAGGTGTGTGTGTGGTGTGTATGGTGAGGTGTGGTGTGTGTGGTGTGT